>NC_000020.11:40254112-40557143 GCF_000001405.40 Homo sapiens | reverse complement strand
AGTGTTTGGTTTTATGTTCCTGCATTAGTTTGCAGAGGATAATGGCTTCCAGCTCCATCCATGTCCCTGCAGAGGACATGATCTCATTCCTGTATAGTATTCCATAGTGTACATGTTCCACATTTTTCTTTATCCAGTATATCATTGATGGGCATTGGGGTTGATTCCATGTCTTTTCTATTGTGAAAAGTGCTGCAATAAATACACATGTGCATATATCTTTATAATAGAATGATATATATTCCTTCGGGTATATATCCAGTAATGGGATTGCCGGATCAAATGGCATTTCTGGTTTTAGGTCTTTGAAAAATCACCACACTCTCTTCCACAATGGTTGAACTAATTTACATTCTCACCAACAATGTAAAAGCGTTCCTATCTTTCTGCAGCCTCACCAGCATCTGTTGTTTCTTGACTTTTTAATAATCACCATTCTGATTGGTATGAGACGGTATCTCATTGTGGTTTTGATTTGCATTTCTCTGATGATGGTGATGTTGAGCCTTTTTTCATATGTTCGTTGGCTGAATAAAAAAATAATTTTTTGTCTTTAGTTCTGTTTATTGATTTGTGTATGTTGAACCAGCCTTGCATCCCAAGGATGAAGCTGAGTTGATTGTGGTAAATAAGCTTTTTGATGTGCTTCTGAATGAGGTTTGCCAGTATTTTATTGAGGATTTTTGCACTGATAATCATCAGGGATATTGGCCTGAAGTTTTCTTTTTTTGTTATATCTCTGCCAGGTTTTGATATCAGGATAATGCTGGCCTCATAAAATGAGTTAGGGAGAAGTCCCTCCTTTTCAATTGTTTGGAAAACTTTCAGAAGAAATGGTACCAGCTCCTCTTTGTACCTCTGGAAGAATTCAGCTGTAAATCCATCTGGTTCTTGGCTTTTTTTGGTTGGTAGGCTATTCGTTACTGCCTCAATTTCAGAACTTGTTATTGGTCATTCAAGGATTCAGCTTCTTCCTAGTTCAGTCTTTGGAGGGTGTGTGTGTCCAGGAATTTATCCATATCTTCTAGATTTTCTAGCTTATTTGCATAGAGGTGTTTATAGTATTCTCTAATGGTTGTTTGTATTTCTGTGGGTTCAGTGGTGGTATCCCCTTTATTATTTTTCATTCTGTCTGTTTGATTCTTCTGTCTTTTCTTGTTTATTAGTCTAGCTAATGGTCTTGTATTTTATTAATTTTTTCAAAAAGCCAGCTCCTGGATTCATTGATTTTTTGGAAGGGTTTTTTTTTGTATCTCTATCTCCTTCAGTTCTAGTCTGATCTTGGTTATTACTTGTCTTCTGCTAGCTTTGGGGTTTGTTTGCTCCAGTTCTTTTAATTGTGATGTTAGGATGCTGATTTGAGATCTTTCTAGCTTTTTGATGTTGGCACTTAGTGCTATAAATTTCCCTCTTAACACTGTTTTAGCTGCATCCCAGAGATTCTGGTATGTTGTTTGTTCTCATTTGGTTTCAAAAAACTTATTGATTTCTGCCTTAATTTCATTATTTACCCAGGAGTCATTCAGAAGCAGATTGTTCAATTTCCATGTAGTTGTGTGGTTTTGAGTGAGTTTCTTAATCTTGAGTTCTAATTTGATTGTGCTGTGGTCTACGAGACTGTTTGTTAGATTTCAGTTCTTCTGCATTTGCTGAGGAGTATTTTACCTCCAATTATGTGATCAATTTAGTGCCATGTGGCACTGAGAAGAATGTATAGTCTATTATTTTTGGGTGAAGAGTTCTGTAGATATATATCAGGTCCACTAGATCCAGAGCTGAGTTCAAGTCCTGAAGATCTTTGTTAATTTTCTGTCTCAATAATCTATCTAATATTGGTAGTGGGGTGTTAAAGTCTCCCACTAGTATTGTATGGGAGTCTAAGTCTCTTTGTAGGTCTCTAAGAACTTGTTTTATGAAACTGGGTGCTCCTGTATTGGGTGCATATATATTTAGGATAGTTAGCTATGCTTGTTAAATTGAATCCTTTACCATTATGTAATGCCCTTCTTTGTCTTTTTTGGTCTTTGTTGATTTAAAGTCTGTTTTGTCAGAAAACAGGACGGCAACCCCTGCTTTTTTCTGCTTTCCATTTGCTTGGCAAATTTTCCTTCATCCCATTATTTTAAGCCTATGTGTGTCTTTGCACATGAGAAGTGTCTCTTAAATACAGCACACTGGTGGGTCTTGTCATTTTATCCAGTTGGCCATTCTACGTGTTTTAATTGGGGGCATTTAACCCATTTATGTTTAAGGTTAATATTGTTATGTGTGAATTTGACCATGTCATCATGATCCTGGCTGGTTATTTTGCAGACTTGTTAATGTAGTTGCTTCATAGTGTCATTGGTCTGTGTACTTCAGTGGGTTTTGATAGTGGCTAGTATTTAGTGTTTCCTTCAGAAGGTCTTGCAAGGCAGGCCTGGTGGTGACAAATTCTGTCAGTATTTGCTTGTCTGAAAAGGATTTTATTTCTTCCTCACTTATGAAGCTTAGTTTGGCCGGATATGAAATTCTGGGTTGGAAATTCTTTTAAGAATGTTGAATATTGGCCCCCAATCTCTTCTGGCTTGTAGGGTTTCCACTGAGAGGTCTGCTGTTAGTCTGATGGGCTTCCCTTTGTAGGTGACCTGACCCTTTTCTCTGGCTGCCTTTAACATTTTTTCCTTCATTTTGACCTTGGAGAATCTGATTATGTATCTTGGGGTTGATCTTCTCATGGAGCATCTTACTGGAGTTCTCTGGATTTCCTGATTTTGAATGTTGGCCTGTCTTGTTAGGTTGGGGAAGTTCTCCTGGATGATATAATGAAGTATGTTTTCTGACTCGGTTCTGTTCTCCCAGTCTCTTTTAGGTACCCCAATCAGTTGTAGCTTCAGTCTTTTTACATGATACCACAGTTCTTGAAGGTTTTGTTTGTTCCTTTTCATTCTTTTTTCTCTAACCTTGTCTGCCTGTCTTATTTCAGCAAGATAGTCTTCAGGCTCTGAGATCCTTTCCTCCCCTTGGTCTATTTGGCTATTGATACTTGTGATTGCCTTGTGAAGTTCTCAGGTTGTGTTTTCCAGCTCCATCAGGTCATTTATGTTCCTCTCTAAACTGGTTATTTTGGTTAACAGCTCCTGTAATGTTTTATCATGGTTCTTAGCTTCTTTGCCTTGGGTTAAAACATACTCCTTTAGCTCAACAAAGTTCACTATTACCCACCTTCTGAAGCCGACTTCTGTCAATTCATCCATCTCAGCCTCAGCCCAGTTCTGTGCCCTTGCTGGAGAGATGTTGCAATCATTTGAAGAAAAAAAAGTGCTCTAGCTTTTTGAGTTCTCAGCCTTTTGCACTGATTCTTTCTCATCTTTGTGGGTTTATCTACCTTCAATCTTTGAGACTGGTTATGTTTGGATGGGGTTTTTGTGGGGTCTTTTTTGTTGATGTTGTCCTTGTTGTTGCTTTGTTTGATTGTTTTTCTAACAAACAACCCCCTCTTCTGTAGGGCTGCTGCAGTTTACAGGGGAACCATTCCAGACCCAATTCTCCTGGGTCCCTCTTGCACCTGGAGGTATCACTAGTGGAGGCTGCAGAACAGCAAAGATGGCTGCCTGCTCCTTCCTCTGGGAGCTCTGTCCCAGAGGGGCACTGAGCTGATGCAGGCAAGAAAGCTCCTGTATGAGGTGTCTGGCAACCCCTGTTGGGAAGTCTCACCCAGTCAGGAGGCATGGAATCAGAGACCTGCTCAAATAAGCAGTCTGGCTGCCCCTTGGCTGAGCAGGTTTGGCTGCACTGGGAAGAATCCCCCTCATCCAGACAGCCAGCAGTCAGGAAACACTAGCTTTTCCTTGCTCTGTGTGGGTCATGCCAACATCCTAATCATTCCCAGTGAGAGAACCTGGATACCTCAGTTGATGGAGCGGGATTCACTCACCATTTTCATTCTTCTCAGTGACAGCCACAGACCGGAGCTGTTTCTAATGGGCCATCTTGGTTCCTCCAATCAATATGCATTGTTTAAGCTCCTAAATTCATAGTAGTTTGTCATGCCAACAGTAGCCAATTAACATAACATGCATGGGTCCACATAACAGTTGATGTTTATTAAATGCAAATAGATGCTGTGCACTCTGCTGTGTGCTTTGTGTGTGTGGCCTTGCTTAGTTTTCATAACAACTTTATGCAATAGCATTATCTTCATCCCCATTTTAAAGATCGAGCCTTAGAGAGGTTCAGGAAATTGCCCAAGGTCACAGAACTTGTGAGTGACAGAAGTGGGATTTGAACCCAGATCTGTCAGTCTGTTCAGCTCTATGTAGAGTCACTTACATCTAGAGTAAAAGCTCTTTTTAATTCTTTTTGTTTCTGATCCAGGCATGACTAAGATACAGTCTACTTTTGCAGAACCCATGAAAAAAATATGTCTACAAGACACTGGAATGTGACAGCTCTTTAGGGCAACATACTTTAGTACTTGAAGAAGCATCTTTTTTTTCTCATAAATTGTCTACGGGACATATGCTTTAGAACTTGAAGATGCATCTCTTTTCACATAACCAATTACAGAACTAATTACAAACTGTTTTTATCTGTTCATTAAGGTAGATATAATTAAAACAACATTTTGTTAAACTAGTTTGAGTGTGTGCTTTAAAGTAATTATTACTACTTTTATTTCTTTGAGATTCTTTCTAATTTGTCTTGGCTCTATCTCAGTCTGTCTCATGTTCTGTCTTGCTCTTTGCTCTACATCAGAAAGACTTTGGCCCTTCTGTCCTGCATTCCTGCCACTTTACCTAGCTAATTTCTACGCACCCTTCAGTTGTTCTCTTAAATATTGCTTCCTCTGGGAGGCCTCCCTTCCTAGAGTCCTCTGGTGTTTATTCCCACAGTGCTCCATCCCTTATTTTTATCTGTCTTATTATACTCAACAGTATATAAATGTATTGGCTGTATTTCTCACTACATCATAAGCTTCATGAAATCAGGGCTTAATGTTTGTGCCATTTTCTCTTGTGTCCCAAGTGTTCAAAGTAGTGCTTGGCGTGTAATAAAGTTAAATAACTATTGGTGGATTGATTAATGATTTGGACTGGTCTTTTCCCCTTACTGACCACTGTTGGATTCTAGACCTACATTAACTGGGTTACACACTTTTTTTCTGTCATCCACCCTCTACTTCTTCCTCCTCCCATTTTTTTGAATATGCACAAACACACAGGTACACCTTGACATGTACACACACACACACACACACACACACACACACACACACACGAGGAGCAAAGTCTTTTCAAATGTCCTCTTTGCCTTTAAGCTAGAGGCCCTTAGCCCTTGTTAGTGAGCTTTTGAGTTGGGATATAGAAGGAGAAAGAGGTTTCTATGCCACTTTTGGGGAGAGGCGCATTGCCTCCTGGGAGTATCTACCTTCTGAGGTGCTGGGCGATTATTTGTGCATATCTTCTGCAGATGTCCACCTCTGTCTCTGAGCAGCACCCTGTGGGAGGCCTTCTTTGCCCTGAAGCTCACAGCCTTGTACCCCATTCCTGCTTCTTTGCGGGCTGACGCTTGGGCTGTGGAGGCAGAAGCTGAGGCCATACCTCCTTCTCTCCCTTTCTCCTTAGTGCCCTACAGGTGTCTCCAGTAGGAGGTTCCCTCCTTCCAGGCTCAGCACTGCTGCCCAGAGAACACATGGCCATGAGCATGAGGCCAGGGTACAGTCCTAAAGGGGCCTGACCCCTGGACCGCAGCCCTCTGGTGCAATGCCAGGGTGGTCATTGCACAACAGGAAGGGAAATTCATATCATGGAGTTTAAGACCTTTGGCTGTGGAATCTCAGCTCTTGGAAGCAGATGTAGCTGGCAGTGGTGTCCTCTTGTGTCCCTGTTCCCAGTCTGGTTCAGCTCTTCTCCTTTCCCCCATTTATGCCCTGCCTTTGCCCTGAACCCTGCCCCTTCCCAATGTCCATGGTCTGCTCCACCTACTGTCCAGACCAATGAGACACCAGAAGAGGAAAGTCTGATGGAGGGGATGGGGGTGGAAAAGCAAAAGCCTTCACACCTAAAGGTGGAATTGCGGCAACCCCACAGTGCTTCAGGCAGCAGCTGCCTGGACTCCATGTGGAGCTGGGTGAACACCCTCATTTGTTTCTTTGTCCCCTCAGGGCACTGGGGTGTCTGGAGGGTGCCCAAGTCCTTATGCCAGCTGACCTTTCTGCCTGCCTCCTTGCTGCTTGCTTGCCTCATTTCTGTTCTCCAGTATCTCATCCATACCATTTTTCCTCAATAGCCCTGCTCCTTTGTTTGTCCCCCAATGGACACAGAGTGGGTTAAGACCTTTGGAGTCCACAGACCTAGGTTCAATGCCTGACTGTTTGACCTTGAGCATGGGACTTCCCTCTTTGAAACTGTTTCCTCATCTGTAAAATGGGCTTAACAATTCCTTTCTCCCAGGGTTGTAACGAGAATGAATTAAGGCAATGTACCAATTTAACATACATTTTCTGAGCACCCACCATTTGACAGTCATGGAGTGGGGTGCTGGGATTACCGTGGTGATTAAGACAGAATCTGGTTGGAAGGAACCTATAGTCTAAAGTGGCAGGAGAAAGCTCTCACAAATATACAAAGAGATACCCCAATAAATAAAGAGTTATAATTCCCATTGCACATTGAGGCTTGCTAAGAAGCAAACAGAAGGGAAGCAGTGAATAAAGGTACCAGGGTGAGGTTATCCTTCGTGGGTGAGGAGAGGGAAGGGCTGTTTTAGGAGATGGCATCAGCCAGAACCCTGGAGAATGAGAAGGTTTTCAGGACTGGGGACTAGTGGGACACATAGAGGGCCCTCCTGAGCACTAAGGTCCTGAAAGCAAGAAACAGTCAGGTGAGTTTATGGATCCCAGTGAGGGTCTTTGTGGCTTGGTATATGTGAATGAGAGTTAGGTTAGGAAAGAGTGAGGCTGAAGAGGCCAACAGGAGTCAAAATATGCTGGGTTCTATGGGCCAGTGGTTCTCAGGGGCATCAGCATCCACTGGGAGCTTGTTAGAATACACATGCTTGAGCCCCACCCATGATCTGCTAAATCGGATACTCAGGAGGTGAGGCCCAGCAATCTGTGTTTTAGTAAACCCCACAGGTCATTCTGATGCATGCTAAGTTTGAGCATCTCTGCTAGACTATGGTATAGAGTTTGGATTTTTGGCCATTGTGTGGCAGAACACTGTTAGAAGGTTTTAAATGAAGAGCGAACTGTGATCTGATTCATTTATCTTAAAAGATCCTCCTGGCTGGAGGGTAGATGGATGGTGGGAACCTGGAGTGGGAGTTTAAGTTCTTAGCTGAGGGAGGCCTACAGTATCACTTAATGGTTGGAGTTAGCACCATCTTTGTCTTGTCTTTCCACACTCATGCCTTGCTGTCTCCACTTCTACTTCGAATGAATTTTGAGTAGCCACATGCTGTCCACCTGAGGTCACCTCCCAGGGCTACTACTTGAAGGGGTTGTATGCCATACGGCTATGAAGCGGGACCATGATCTTGCAGAATTGTGTTTAAGCAGCTTCCTTGTGGGAAGACTAGGAGATGAAACTCACCAGGCCATAGCTTGTGTCTGGAAGGCTGACATTGTTTGCAAGAAGAAGGCAGGAGCTGCACTCTGCAAGGCTCACGAGGCCAAGAGGGAGTTCAGGCAGTCAAGCTTGCACTCTCCTGGCCTCATACTGCTTCTGTGGACAGTGTCCCATGGACATGAGTGGCCCAGGAGGACTTACAATCTAGATCCTTCCCACTGCCAGGCCCATGCCTGAGGCCTCAAGTTTTGGGGCTTGCTGTGGAGTGTCCACTCCTGTCCAGCTCCTGGTGTGGTCAAGAAGCTAAGACCCCCACAACCTCACCACACCCACCACCAGTGGAATAATCTCAGCAGAGATTTAGGTAAAAATTACTAAGACACCAACGAAGTCAGGAAAAATAGTTGAAATATTGAGGTAATTAAAGCCAAATACCTGAATGACTTTGGAAAAGTTTAGGCAAAATAGTTGAAATATGTAGAGAATTCAGGCAAAGCTGTTTGGTAGTCAGTGTGGCCAGAGGAACAAGTAGCAGTTTGGATCTATAGCCAGGGCTGTGGATACCATCTTTGCTGTGTGGCCTGAGGTAGGTAACCTATTCTTTCAGAACCATCATTCCCTCTTCTGTAAAGTACGGACAATAGCACCCACTTTGTAGGAATTTGGTAAAGACTGATTGCAATACTAAAATATGCAAAGTGACTGACAGAGAGTAGGCATGCAGTGAGTACTTTCCCTTTTGTTACTACTATGCTACTACTGCTGTGCTTCCTTGCTGATGGTTACAGTTCCTATCGCTGTGTAACAAACTACCTCAAAATTAATGATACAGAAAACAACCATTTAAATATGCCCACAGTTTCTGTAGGTTGGGAATTTAGAGAGGGTACAGTAAGGATTGCTCGACTCTGCATTAAAGCTTGTCTGAGGCCTCAGTTGGGAAAACTAAAAAATTTGGAGGTGACTTGAATGGTAGGAGATTGGAGAATCTGATTCCATGCATCTGGCATCTTGGCAGGAATGGCTGGAAGCTGGACTCAGCTGGGACTACATGTTTCTATTCTGGTGTGACTCCTTATGTGGCAGCACAGTGTCCCAGAGAATAAGATGGAAACTTTGTGGTCTTTTATGACAAACCTTGGAAGTCACATAGCATCATGTCTGCCACATCCTACTGAAGCAGTCACAAGACCACTCAGATTCCAAGGAGGGCAGACAGAGATCCTAACTCTCAAAGAGAGAAGTGTCAAGAAGTGTGTGGTTGTGTTTAAACCCACCACACTAACAAGCCTTCCTGATGCAGGCTGGCGATGACCAAACCTGATCCCAGTTCCTTTTCTGAGCAATAGGGAGGTATCTTCCAGCTGCTATAGATGCAAAGTTGTCTGCTCCTTGCAAGCTTCAGAGTTCGACTAATCTTAGTCTGTGACCTGAGTTGGGGCATAGAGTCCATTTTCCTGCAGCCTGTGGAGGTCTGCCTAGATGTGGAGGGGATTAAAAACATCCACCAGTTTCTCCCTCTCCAAGCACTTAAAAAGCAGTAATAAATAGATGAGAGCCTGGGAGGTGTGATTGATTTGTTTTATGAATCACAGAAGAAGCTGTAACTCATGGGAGATTAAGGCTGAAGTAAGTTGTACAGCTCTTGCATTACATGTAGAGATTAATGACTTATCACATGAGGCCCCACCGTTAACCCAGCTCACCCACAGGGAGTTTAATAGCAGGACCGTACAGGCTCACTTTTAATACTTGAGCAGATGCTCCTGGCTTGTGTGTGGCCCTGATTCTCACCAAATGAGCACTTTCCTGGTTAGAGTTATGAGTGCCCAGGAGCTGGGGAGTAGCTTCCTCTCTTGAGAAGAAAGAGCTAAGTATTTCCAAGGATACCCATTTCCTTCCTACCCTGTTATTTTCTCAAAGCAATGAGCAGGATGTCTCAGGAAGGCTGAAAGATGATGTCATTTCTCTCAGGCCCTTATTAGGTCCTGTGCTGAAGGTTTTGTAGTTTCTTATGGAAATTTCACAGTAGCTGTATGAGGTAGGCTCTATTGAACCCATTTTTTATTTTATTTTAATTTATTTTATTATTATTGTACTTTAAGTTTTAGGGTACATGTGCACAATGTGCAGGTTTGTTACACATGTATACATGTGCCATGTTGGTGTGCTGCACCCATTAACTCGTCATTTAGCATTAGGTATATCTCCAAATGCTATCCCTCCCCCCTCCCCCCACCCCACAACAGTCCCCGGAGTGTGATGTTTCCCTTCCTGTGTCCATGTGTTCTCATTTTGAACCCATTTTATGGATGAAAAATGTGGGCTGGAGGCTGCATGGTTTTATGGAAGAAGCATGGGCTGGAATCACACGGACCTGGGTCGAAATCCTGTGTGCATGCTTCCTTCCTTAGTATACATACTGTCTTGCAGCTCCAGTTGTCTCATCTCATGAAATGGATAATGTAGATCCTTTGTAGCGGTGCTCTGAGGACTACATGATCATGGTGTCTGGCACCTAATAGGTGTTTATTAGAAGTCACCCCAGGAGACTGCTGAGGGCAGGAAGGGGCAGGAGTGAAAAAAGCCATCAAGTACTTCTAAGACAAACCTGGCATGCCTTGGGTGCCTCTGGGCTCATACCTAGGAGTTCAGAGAGGTTGGCTAGGATGTTTGAATAGATCTAGGCCGGGGAAGGGTGAGGTTAGGCTCTAAATGTGGTCATGATACAAAATCTCAGCCTAAGAGTGCTAGGTGATGCATGTTGCAGAGTGTGATTTGGAGAATTCAGGAGTTGGACTGGCAACATCAGCTGCAAGCTGAGCCCTACTTCCCCAGATATCTGTTTGGATCAGACCAGCAGCTGTCAAGGTCTCAGATGAGCCTGCATCGGGGCTAGAGTTACTTGTACTGCTCAGGGCAGGCCCTGAACCATGGATGAGCACTGAGTGAGGCCATGGGAAGATCTTGACCTTCCTCAACATAGCCTGTTCGCCCATCTTTCCATCTCAGCTTCTGCCTCTGGTCCCTTGAACTGCCTGATGGATTAGAGCCCAAGGTCTGGGTGTGCCATCATATGTAGTCCTAGCTGCTGGTTTGTGTCCAGCTGATTTATTCAGGTGGTACTGTAAACTTTATATTCACCTGCTCCCTCATCCTTGTACTCACAGAGAAGACCTTGGGTTTTATGGTTGTCCATATCCCAGCAGAGTCTCCCACATTGCTTAGAAATCTGTCTTCCACTGGAACCAACACATGTTAATGTTCATGAGCTTGACTCAATGAATCCTGACACTAAAGACAGAGGTATCCCCCTTAAAACTCACTGAGCTAGCTTTAGGACAAATTACAACACCTCCCCACCCTTGTTCTCAGAGTAGGAGTCATAACATTAACATTTGTTACATGGATACTACACGTCAGGCTAAGTTCTTAACATTTTCCACATGAGATAATTCTACTAAATGCATCCACACTTCTTACACCCTGGCTCCCCCTTCTCCTCCTTTTTTGATTTATTTCTGCATAGTACTTAAAAACCTTCTATCTTATAATATCCTTATTCATTTTAATTGTCTTCCTGTCTCTCTATCCCCATGACAATGTAAAGTCACAAGGACAAAAAAATTTTTGTCTGACATGTTTACTGTTCTATCCCAGCCCTAGACAGTACCCGACATATAGTACATGCTCAATAAACATCAGGACTTGCGTCTTAACAGTGGAATTGGTTGGATGGATGAATACATATTTATGAGCTTTCAGAGACCTGGGTCTCCCAGATGGTTGTCTTCTACCCTCAAGCCCTGGCTTTGTCCTCACCTGGCTCAGGGACTCTAATCCCTGGGGAGCTCACCATGGCTAATTGGCCCCTGACTTGGCCACTTAACTTTGCTCCCTGGCTTCAGTCTTGGCCTCTGGCTCAGGCTTTCCGGGAAATCCCAACCCAGCTGTTCCAAAGTCAAGAATGGAAATAGCTCCTAAGTTAGAAGCTCACTGGCTCCTAACTTATCTCTGAAACTTTGTGGGGCTCTCACTCCTCTGTGGGGCAGATACATAGATGCCCAGTCATATCGGGTCTGTGGTCAATCCTGTGGCCACATAGCACATCCTCAGTTGGGTAGCCATTCAACAAGTGCTTACTACACAGAGCTAGAACTTTGGAGCCATGCTGCCTGGGTTAAAGTTCCACTTCTGCCACATATTAGCTTGTGTAATCTTTCTGAGCCTCAATTTTGTCATCAGTAAAGTGGGTTTAATGATGCTTAATTGGAGGCTTCAGTGAGATAAAGTTTGAAAAGAAAATTTAGCTGGGCATACAGTGAGCGCTCAATAAATGTTTGGTATTATTATTAGGTGTCAGGTACTGGGCTTGTTTGGGGTTATGGAGGTGAATAAGCCACAAGCCCTGGTTCCAAAGGACTCACATTCCAGAGGGAGAGGCTGACAAGTTATTATGAAATTGTGGTACCATGTCTGGAGCTGTGATGGGGAAATACAGGGCATGATGGCACCACTCAGGAGGGCTGACCAACTCAGCCAAGGTGAAGGGCAGGAAGCCAGAGAAGACTTCCTAGGACAAGTAATACTGGAGTAAGTGAGTATGACTTTGACAGGTTGAAAGGTATATGTATTAGTTCTCTATTGCTGTGCATCAAATTTCTCTCAAACGTAGAATTTTAAAACCAAAACATTCATTATCTAACAGTTTTGTGGGTCAAAAATCAGGGCATGGATAAATTAAGTCCTCAGGCTCAGGGTCTCCCCTAAGGCTGCAATCAGGATGTTGACTGGTCCTGAGGTTTCATCTGAGGGCTAATGAGGTCCTGAGGTTTCATCTGAGGGCAGAATTCAATTTCTCATGGGCTGCTGGACTGAGGGCCCCAGCTACTCACTGGTTGCTAGCCAAAGGCTTCTCTCAGTTCCTTGCTATGTGGGGCCCTTAACAACATGGGAGCTGGCTTCCATCAGAACAAGCAACCAAGAAAGGATGAATAAGACAAACAAGAGTCTTTGTTACCTAATTTCAGAGGTGACATCCCATCGTTTTTCTCTTCCAGTAACTTAGAGGAGAGTTATTAGGTCCATTCCAGACTCAAAGGGGGGAATTAAGCAATGGCAAGAATATCAGAAGGTAGGATCACTGGGAGCTACCTTAGAATCTGCCCTCCACAGGGATGCTTCTTACAGAAAAAAGAAGCAACATTGTGTAAAGGCATGAAGGAGTGAACCTGTAAGGTGTATTTGGGAAAAGACAAGTGACTCAGGCGGAACATTTCAGAGGGCAATGTGTTGGGTGGTGATTGTAGGTGGAGGTGACAGCAGATGGCACTGGAAAGGAGGTGAGGACTAGTCCATGAAGAGCCTTGAAGACCCTTGATAGGATTTTTTCTTTAGCCCAAGGACAATGGGGGAACTGCTGAGAGGTTTTGAGGAGGGGAGTGACATGTGGAAGGAGGATCTGCACATGTTTTTGTGTTTTCTCATGGCCTTCAGTGACTGGGCGGACTCTTCTTCAAAAGAATAAAGACTGAGCAGGAAGTGGTGTCTCAGGTGGAGCCAGCCTGCAGTTTCACCCCTAAGCTCTTAGGACTTTGTCTTATGGGTTCTATCCTCATGGCTACTTTCTCTCACCCCAGTATTGTCTCCACCAGCCCACAGATGGATATTCTTTGTTCTTATCAACCTCCTCATCAAATACTTCAACCACTGACTGCCAGGCTGGCCTGTGCTGAGCAGAGGAGATTAAAAGGTGGGTAGGGACAAAGGTGAATCAGATGCAGGCAGGGCAGACCCACCACACCCTCTGGGTAAATCAAGGGTATTTTTTTTTTTTTTTTTTTTTGAGACAGAGTCTCACTCTGTCACCCAGGCTGGAGTGCAGTGGAGCAATCTTGGCTCACTGCAACCTCTGCCTCTGGGTTCAAGCAATTCTCCTGCTTCAGCCTCCTGAGTAGCTGGGACTACAGGTGTGCACCACCACATCCAGTTAATTTTTGTATTTTTAGTAGAGATGGGGTTTTGCCATGCTGACCAGGCTGGTCTTGAACTCATGGACTCAAGTGATCTGCCTGCCTCAGCCTCTCAAAGTGCTGGGATTACAGGCACGAGCCACTGCACCCGGCCTAAATCAAGGGTATTAATAACACAGTTAACATTTACAGAGGGCACACTGTCTTAGCATATTTGGGTGGCTATAACAAAATACCATAGATTGGGTGGGTCACCAACAACAGAAACTTGTTTCTCACAGTTCTAAGGGTTGGGAATTTCAAGATCAAGATGCTAGCAGATTCATTGTCTGGTGAGGGCCTGCTTCCTTGCTCACAGATGGTGCCTTCTCACTGTGACCTCATATGGTGGAAGGGGCGATCAAGCTCCCTCAGGCTTCATTTATAAGGGCACTATTCTCATACATGAGGGATACTCCCTCATAAGCTAATTATTCCCCAAAGGCCTCACCTCCTAATAGCACCATTTAAGCCTTAGGATTTTAACATATGAATTTTGGGGGGACATAAACATTCCGACCATTGCACGCACCATGCACTAGGTACTGCGTTAACGGAGTTATACACACCTCATCTCATTTAACTCTCCGCTAACCTCCTAGTTGGTGGTGTTACTACCCTTTACAGATGCTAAGTGGATATTCTGAGAGGCAGGTGACATGTTGGCGACTGCACAGGAGTCCAGGGAGACTGGAGCCAGAGCCCAGGCTCTCAGATGCTGTGCTGTCCAGCCGCAGTCATGTATCCTGGGGAACCGAGTGTTCTGCATTTTGGTCATTTCTCTTATTAATTATGACACACATATAAACTCATTGCATGACATTTTATAATAATGGAAAAAGTCAAGAAAATAAAAACCAACCACACTCCAAAATGCAGACAATGGGATTCTGCTTAAAAACTTAAAAAAAAAAATCACATTTCTATGGCAAAATGATGCCTGACGCATTGTTTCTCTGGGACATAGGATTATCCAGGCTTCTGGTTGATATTAGTTCTTCAGGGAGGCGATGGAATATAGATAAATGACACGGAGCTTGCTGGAATTCCATCTCTGTCACTTGCAAACTGTGTGATTCTGGGTAAGTAAAACTCTTTGTAGCACATACTGCCAGTGCCCCAGCTTTATTCCCCCAGATCCCTTCACAGTTTGTACTCACCAGCCAATGGGCCAGCATGTGTGCCTTCTGGCTGCAGGAGCCCCTTAGGCACTGTGCATGAGAGCTGGAGCTGAAGGCAATTGCTGGGTGCAGGGGTCAAACATTCTCCAGCTCCATTGTCCCTAAATTGGACAGCTCTGAGGTGTGACCCATACTGTTTGCAGAGCTTCCCTGTGGGACCGAGCCAGACTCGCCTGCTGTGGGACTTTGCTTGATAGTACAACTTTGCTGACCATTTTCCTTCTGTGGTTCTACTTCCTGAGGAGTGCTTTCAAAAAATCTTTGTCTCAGTGAAACCAAAATTGATGGACATTCTACACAATTCCCAGCCAATACTCTTCAAAAATGTTAAGGTCAAGAAAGGCAAAGAAAGGCTGAGGAAATATTTTAGCTTAAAGGAGGCTAAAGAGACATGATAATTAAATGTAATCCCTGGTTCTGGACTGGATCTTGAACAAGGAAAAATAAATAGTTTATAAAAGACATTACTGGGACAATTGATGAAATCTGAGTGTGGCCTGTGCAGATAGTAGTATTGTGACAGTGTTACATTTCATGATTCATGGTACATAATTGTACCATGGTGGCATTGAAAGTGATGCAGGAACAGAAAGCCAAATATCAAATGTTCTTACTTATAAGTGGGAGCTAAGTGATGAGAGTACATGGACACGAAGAGGGGAACAACAGACAGTGGGGTCTAACAGAGAGGGAGGGTATGAGGAGAGAGAGGAGCAGAAAAAAGAACTATTGGGTATTAGGCTTAGTACATGATAGTTAACTAGTACCTAACAGTTAACTTTTTCATCACCCAATAGTTATTGGGTGACAAAATAATCCGTACATCAAACCCCCGTGACAAGAGTTTACCTATATAACAAACCTGCACATGTACCTGAAACTAAAATAAAAGTTAAAAAAAAAAAAAAAGAATGTCCTGACTAGGCATGGTGGCTCATGCCTGTAATCCCAGCACTTTGGGAGGCCAAGGTGGGTGGACCATTTGAGCTCAGGAGTTTTGAGACCAGCCTGGGCAATATTTTTGTGGAAACTTTGTCTCTACAAAAAATATTAAAAAATTAGCTGGGCGTGGTGGCTCATGCCTATAGCCCCAGCTACTTGGGAGGTTGAGGTGGGAGGATCACTTTAGTCTGGGTGCTGGAGGCTACAGTGAGCCAAGATCGTGCCACTGCACTCCAGCCTGGGCAACAGAGCCAGACCCTGTCTCAAAACAACAACAACAACAACGTCCTTATTCCTAGGACATAAACACTGAAATATTTAGGGGCAAAGGTGTATCAGGTCTCTAAATTACTTTCAAATAATTCATTAAAAAACCATGGGAGGCGGGGAGAAGAAGGAGAATAACAAAGCAAATAGGAGAAAATGTAACAATTAGCCAATCTGGATAAAGAGTATTTTGGAACTCTTTATGCTGTTATTGCAACTTTTCTTTAAATTTGAAATTACATCAAAGTAGAAGGAACCTTTGCCTCACCATCTGCTTCTGGGGGAGCCAAGCTAAGACACTCCCTGAGCCTCAGTTTCCTCAATTGTTATAAGAGATCAGGGTCTTTACCTCACCAGACTGATGCAAGAATGAGAATAGCTAATATTTGAGACAAGACTGGCACAGAGCTGGCTCTCCCCTTCCCATTTGTTAGCCATGCATTCTGGAACTCAGGGCTTGGATGACTGCAAAGAGCACGTCACACGAATGTCAGGGGCCTTGGAGAAACGCACTGTGCTTCCTAGTTACCTCTCTCTGAGTCTATGTTCTCTCACTGTACTTGGCTTGTCTCTTTGCAGAACCCTTCCCTGTCTGCAGCTGTGGTCAGTGATTTTTGTAGATTAAAAGAAACTCTGGGGGGAGGCAGAGTTTTTTTCTGGGGAGATCAAAGACTCAGCCTAACATAAAAGAAACCTTATAAAACGATATATATTAGGAACAAAACAAAACAAAAACCAACCTGAGAGCATGATCCATATGTCAGAGTCAATATGTCCAAACTTCTGCAATCTGCTCTATAGAGCTGCCAACTGAGACAGGAATGTTGCCTTGTCCAGAAAAGGCAGCCACATAAAAGAGAGATTTTTATAGACTTTGGCACAAGGATGAGGCAGGAACCAATCGTATGTCCAAGGCTTTGTGAGGAATCTCTAGGAACTGATGTGGCTTCTTTTAGCTCTACATTTTTTTAAACAGCTTTATTGAAGTATAATTGATATTAAAAATACACAGATTTAATGTATACAATTTAATAGTTTGGACATATGCATACACCCATGATAATATCACCATGGTCAAAGTAACAAACCTATCTATTACCTTCAAAAATTTCCTTTTGTACCTCCTTTTTTTGTGATAAGAGCACTTAAAATGAGATACGCCCTTTATACAAATTTTTAGCTGCACAATATCATACTGTTAACTATAGACACAGTGTTGTACAGCAGATCTCTAAAGTGTATCATTTAGTATAACTGAAACTTTATGCCCATTAAGCAAAATCTCCCTTATTACTCTCTTCCCCCCAGCCCCTGGCACCCACCATTCTATTCTCTGCTTCTATGAGTTTGACTATTTTAGCTACTTCATATAGGTGAAATCACGCAGTATCTGTCCTGTGACTGGCTCACTTAACATTATGCCTTCCAGGTTTATCCATATTATCACAAATGGTAGGCTTTCCTTCTTTGTTAAAAGTCTGGATAATATTCCATTTTATGGACAGATCGCATTTCCTTTATCCAATCCGTTATTGTGTAAATCTGGGTTCAACCAGAGACACAGAACTAGTAGGAGATATGTATTCAGATTTATTGCAAAGAATTGGCTTTTGCGATGTGGGGGATTGGCCAGGAAAGTCCAAAATCCATAGAATAGGCTGGTAGGAAGGGCAGGCTGGAGCTTTTGGCTCAAGCTGCTGTCCACAGGCAGAGTTTCTTTTACTGCAGAGGAGCCTCAGCCCTGCTCTTAAGGTCTTTCAACTGAATCAGACCCACTCAAATTATGTAGGATAATCTCCCATACTTAAAACCAACTGATTAAGGATTTTAATCACAGTCACAAAATACATTCACAGCAAGTCCTAGGTTAGTGTTTGATTAAAAAACTGGAGGCTGTAGCCTAACCAAGTTGACACATAAAACCGACCATCACAGTCAGCAAAACCAGTTGAAGCTCCCTGCTAATATCTTCAGGATCCCTTCCCTTCTCTCTGCCCTCATTTATACCACCCGAAGTCAAGCCCCAAGTCAGTGGCTCCTCCCTGGTGTCAATATATCCAGGCCCATGGTCTCTACCCCAACTCAGTGTGGCATACTTCAGGTCAGAAACCGCTTGGCATTCTCCATTGATTATGGGATAAATACCAAAATCTTAAGTTGAACAGTTACTACTATTCATTTTGTACCAAAGCTCTAAGCCACAGTGGTTTTCTCATCCACTTCAAACCTTTCCTTCTGCACATCATGATAATAGCTGACATTTCTTGGCCCTTGCCAGTTCCCAAGAACTGTGCCCTGTGCTTTGACATAGATTGTCTAATTTAATAATGAGAACAATTGCATTTTTTCACATGTGGAAACTGAGTTACAGAGTCATTAGAGTAACTTGTCTTGGTCACCAGGTTAGTCCCTGGCCTAACCTATAATCTCACAAGTCTGACTCCATAGTCCATGACTTTGAGCATTACGTTGTGCTGCTGCTCTGAAGGGTCTGTCCTCATTTATCCAATGATCTTCTACTTACCCTCAATGTCCATCTCAAATGACAACTCTTCTCTGAAGCCTTTCAGATTTCGCAGGTAGAATCTGCAGTCCTCTCTTCTGTGCCTTCAGAGTTCTTTGCTCACTGAGTTTTTTGTGCCCCTTTCTATAATAATTTGCTAACTTGACTGCATTGTCTCGCACTTGATGTGAACTCCTCAAGGAAAGGCAAAGTGTTGGCCTCACCTGTTTCCCTAAAGCCCAACACAGCGTCTGATGTAACTTCTAGTTATCAATAATTGTTGTCGAAAGATTGACTTATCTGGGGATTTATTGTCTTTCCCAAGCCTCACTAATGACCCTGCATTGCTGACAGCCATGCATTGCTCTGCTCTTTGGTCTCTACCCATGCATTCCATGGGAACTGCAATAAAATGGAAGCTGATTTCTAATCCTCTTAATTGCCATTGCAACAGGGTGCTGATGACTGATAACACCCTGCAGATACATTATCTGACTGGTTAATGAAAGAAGGGTAGTATGTGCTTTTCCCCCTTGAAGGAGCTAGGTAACTGTCTCCACTGCCAACTTCATCTCAGCTATGTTTCCCCAGTGTCTCAATGGCTGAATCCAGTGAATTATTCGCTAGCAAAGCAGTTGTCTGGGAGGGTCCAAGCATCAGATGGCATGGTGTCACTGGTGTGCCCATCTGGGGCACCCTGGCATCTCTGGGGTGGCTGTAAGGAACTTAATTTGCATGAGCCCTTGAGATGCCTTCTAGGACCAAAAGGCAAGCAGGGGCCCCCAGTGCACCAAAACTAAAATTCCTGAATATGGGCATCACATGTTACTGCCAATCTTTTAGATTCAGGTTTCTGTAGATTAAAAAATAAATCAATGGACTTGCCCTGAGGTGGGCAAGCTCCCAGATGCCTGGGCTGTTAATGGGAAGTGACAGTGTCTGGTACCAGTTGGCTGTCAGCCCATCTAGCCTCCAAATGATCCATGCCTGAGTCCCCCAAATCCTAGCTAGGATGCTGTTATACTTTGCCCTAAGTGAGAAAGCCTCCCTTGTTTGACAGGGCAATGCGTATTCCTTGGGTGGGAAGGGGATTCTGTTCAACTAAGGGAGAGCATCAGGGATGAATAAGGTAGCATAAAGTGACCCACTCTGGCATGGAGGAGAGATGTGAGGCTCAAATGGCAGGCACATGAAGTATCATGATTAGCCTCCTGTGCATGAAGACTGCTCATGCTATGGGCTGAAAGTTTGCGTCCTCCCAAATATCATATGTTGAAGTCTAGCCCCCAGTGTCATTCTATTAAGAGGTGGGGCCTTTGGGAGGTGTGATTAGTGCCTATAAGAAGACTTGAGAGTGCTCTAGCCATATGAAGACACAACTAGAGGACAACCATCTGCAAACCAGGAGACTGCCCTTATCAAACACCAGATCTACCAGTGCCTTGATCTTGAACTTCCCAGTTTCCAGAACTGTGAGATATAAATGTTTTTGTTTAAATCATCCAGTCAATGATGATTTGTTATAGCAGCCTTAGCTGACTAAGACAGCTAGTCATCACAGAAAGATTTGAATGGTGGCTACTCCTGTCCCTGAGGAGGGAAAGGGGAAATCTAAGCTGTTGCAGTCCCTTTTATTCCGCTTTAGGGCCTCAGAGTGAGTAGCTAGCTGCATTCCCATTGCAGTTTGGCTGGTCTGCCCTAGGCTTGCATGATTTCCCAACCTTCATCTGCTTGCTCCAGTGGCTTCTTCTTGGGAGCTGCATTCTATGACTTTCCTGGACTGCATGCTTCCCAAGGGCGGGGACCACGTCAGTCATCTGTGTCATCTCGAGTTCCAGCACAGGGCTTGGCACATCACTGGTACCCAATAAATATTTGATGAATAAAAATGAGGTGCCGATCACAGGCAAGACACAATTGCTTCATGCTAATAGACATGTTGATTGGTTAAGAACTGCTACAGTCTTGCTTGGGTGCAGATACAGCTACATGTCCTTGGTTAATTTTATTTGTTTTGGCAATTATGATAACAATTATGATAATAAGAATTCTCTTTCACTCCTAAATCTTCTGGCTTGAATGTCTAAGATACTTGCCAAATGCTCTGGGTATTTGCTAGTTCTCCTTTTTTGCTCTGTACTCTGTGGATATGGCCTTGATCCTCCAGAGCACTGGTGCAGAAGTGAGTTTGGGAGTTTAAATTAGTCAGTTAATCTGTTCTTTATTTGGACTAGATATATTAACTGGGGGATTGTGAGAAGAACATGAAACTTGGGGACCAAAGAGACTTGAGTCCTATTATGATTAAGGCATTTAGTCTCTGTGTAATTTTGAGTAAACATTTAACCTCAGTTTCCACATCTGTAAAATGGAATAAACCATATCTGCCACATAGTATTGTTCAGAATATTAAGGAACTACAGGAAAGATCTGGAGATAGAGAGCTCAGGCTGATGAGGGAGATAGACAATAAAAAAATCTCTCTACAATATCTGTATCCTGGCAGGGGTGAGTCTGAGGCCCGCTGTAGGAGCCTGAATTACTGCGTATCCACCCTGTGTCTCAGACTGTGCAGGGGAGAGAGGCCATGGAGGTTTATGCCCATGCATGAGTAAACGCAATGCTCGTGGCTCGCCACAGCCTCTGGCATGCGTGGGTCCTGGCTTGGGGTTGAGAGCCCTGTCAATGGACGATGATGAAACATGTCTTTGGAAGTAGGGTCCTGCACACACGTGTGAATTTAGCTCCCAGTGCACATTAGTCACAGGAAATAGAAAATGATAGCTTTCAGGAGGCAACAGTTAAATGGATGCAGAGGGCACTGGCTGTGGACACTTGTTAGAAACATGAACTTTCATTGTAGGGATCCAAACCTGTCCTTATACTAAACCGCATGAGAAGGGGGGTACATTTTGCTACTTTGTTCAGGGTGGAGGATTTAAATGGTAAGAGAGGGGCCAAGGTGAGGCCAGGAAGGGAGGTGGCCAATTTGTCCTGCTGGATCCCTGCACCTGCCCCAGTGGGAATGAGGGTGATTTCAACAGGAAACATTTAAATAATGGTGTCTAGGATGGGTAAAGGTGGGGGTGGGATTTGGGGCTGGGGAGAAGGGGGCAGTCAGTCATGCAGAGGCACAGTGCTGAAGGCCCTGGAGAAAGAGTGTGGAGTGGGGACTAAGAGCCACGATGAGGTATCAGATGATCTGTGCCAGTTCACCTGGCCTCTCTGTGCCTCAGTTTCCTCATTTGAGAACATGGTGCTGAGCTGTGTTCTGGGCACAGCAAAAGAAAAAAAATGACAGTTAAAAAGGTCTTTGATTACCCAAATCACTAAATAATGGCATTTAATTATTCATAATATGTTTTGAGATCTTGGGATTGAAAGCTATGGAGATTATATCCCGTTATTAGCTGGTTGTTAGGAACCACTGTTCAGGTAAAAGACATAATTACTACGCGAATTTGATATCATGGGGGAAAGGAGTAGAGGTCCATCCTCTAATTCCCACTCCCAGGTCTTCCTAGCTATTCCAGGGTGCGAATGTGCACCCACTTGTTCTGAGCCTTTTTCTTTATCTCATGCATGGCCTGGGCTCCACCACTGTTATCTCCAGGGAGTGCATTCTGGGTGAGGGCTTCCTGGGCTTTTTGGAGTTGATGAGGCTGGTCTCTGCTGTCCCTGTCTATCAATCATCAGCTCTAATTCGATTGAAAACATCCTCCTCCCAACCCCAAGTTTGTGGCAGCTCACATGGCTGCTATGTAAATCTCAGCCCCCGGAGCAGTTTAACGGCTGCGGTGACCATAGGTGGTAACTCAGCCACCTCTATAAATGGAAAGTAAAAACAACAACCTATTATGGATGATGGTAGGTCTGCAACCTGCACGCAGCACATCGTAAACTTGAGCGACTGCTCCTGTGCTTGGCTGAGGACAGGACTGGGGAGGGGGCACAAAGTGGCAGGAGAGGAGACTTGTGACCTGCAGCTTCCAGGTTGCCTCTCCCCTCTCTGTCCTGGCCCAGCCCAACCACAGGTGCTAAAGAACTTCAACCTGCCCTGTCCTGAGCAAGCAGGACGTGGCTTCACATCAGGCTCCATCTCCACCTGTGGTGGGGGTTAGCGTTGGCTGGTTAGTCTTGCTGCTCTCATTCTAAAGCTGCTGTGTATGCTGGACCTTATTGGGGCCACTGCAGTCCTGTTGCCCCTCTCATGTTGTGTCACCAGCTTTGGGGGGGTGCATGACAGAAGGAAAGTGTAAATGCCATAAATATGGGGACACTTTAATCACTTGCCTTAGTCACTGCTGTACCCCTAGCATCTAGAGCTGTGCCAACAATACAGTGGGTGCTCAATAAAGATTTTTCTGAGAGGAGCGGTAAATGAATAAGTAATGTCTCTGGGTTGAGGGGCCTGGTCTGATCCCAGCTCTGCTGCTTACTAGCTGTGTAAAGTGGGAAAGTTACTCAATCTCTCTGAACCTCCGTTTTTCTCATCTATAAAGTGGAAATCAAGTGCTCATGTACCTTGATTGTTGTGAGGGCTAAAACAGATGGCGTTTCTAAACATACCTAGCCCTGGCCGGCACATGAGTTACTTCAGAGTGACAAATGAGGCTATTGAGGCTTAGAGAGGTTAAGGGGTTTGCCAAAGTGGTGGAAAATGTAGGAGGGAAAGCTCAGGTGTCCTGAGTCATCCAGATTTAGTTATTTTAATTGTTGTGAACTATGTGTATGTCCCAGATATCAGAGGGAATTTGGTGGTTCCTCTCTCCAGCCCTGAGGGACTTGGGAGTCCTCAGAACTTATTCAGGTTTGATGTCCATTTCAGTAAGTGTTTATTAAGCACCTACTCCATTCCAAATTGGGGTGAACCTAGGAGTAAGGGTGGATAAAACCAAGTCCTTGTCCTCAAAGAGCTCACAGTCTGGTGGAGAACATAGGCACAGTGGAAATCAGAATAGAATATGACCAGCACCATATTGGCATTATATACAGAGTTCTTCAGAAACTCACAGGTGGGAGAGTCTAACTCTGTCCAGGGGTATCTGGGAAAGCCTTAGAGAGAATAGGATGCAAACTGAGTCTTGAATGATGAGAAGAAGCACTCCTGGAGGAGAAGAAAAACTCTCGATGGAGAAAGGAGTGGAGTATTAGAGATAGAAAGAATAGGGCAGAGGGCAAAACCTGAAAGTCCAAATATATGTGTAGTGTGCATGGATTAATGAGTGGGTTAATGTAGAAGAAGTAGAGGCAAGTGGAGGAGTAGGGGAAGACCAGGCTGGGCCAGATGGTGAAGGGCTTATGGGCTCTTCCAAAGATGTATTAATATTTTTTCTTAAGGGGAACCATTTTTTCACCGGGGAACCATAGTGGACTGTAAGCAGAAGAATGACAAATATATTTATGACTTCATAAGATTACTGTTGACTGACTGGTGAATGATACAGAAGGCTTCAAAACTGGGCACAGTAAATGTAAATTCAGATGCAACTGAAGGTAACCAACTGTGTACAACATGCCTGACTGTCATCTCATTGTAGCTACAGGCAAGGGAGATCCAAGGAATGATAGCAACCATCAGAAACTAAGGAAAATATGGAATGACCCTCCCCTAGAACTTTCAGAGATTGGCCCTGTGACATCTTGATTTTGGACTCTTGTTCTCTAGAACTGTTAGAGAATAAATTTCTGCTGTTTAAACCACTTAGTTTGTGGTGATTTGTTATGGCAACCCTAAGATACTAATACACCTTACACAACAGCCTGTGAAGGAGATGTTATTTTTTTTTGAGGAAATCTAATTCTTGTAGAGCGTGAGGATCCTGACTATCCTCCAATTATGGGAAGGGGGGAAATATCATGCAAATAATCACACAAATAATCATACCATTACAAAGGTGATAGGTGTGATAAAATTAAAGCACAGGACATGGGAGGATTATGGTTATCCTCCCAGTAAGTACAGGATCTGGGGTTTAAAATCAGGTTTATCTGACATCAAACTCATTTTCTTTTCATTAGACTGGTGAGGAATTTTGTGAGCAGCTTATTTGGGAGGGAGGTTAGCTATCTGTGGGAGCTCCAGGTCTGGAAGGTGAACAAAGATGCAGATTGTCTTTGGAAAGCCCCACAGAACATTCTAGAGACTCATTTGAAGCCAGTAGGAACTACTTAGTCAGCTCAAGGGACACTAAGGTCACTGCTCCTTTATTTTTTCCAATTACTTGAGTCCCCACTTACATTATTAGCGTAAAGAGAAAATTTCCAAGGACCACTTGGCGTCTTGTTTAGTAAAAAGGGGGCCCATTCTGTTCCAAATGTCAGGTGAGAGAACTAGAAATCTTCACCTATTCACTAGAGTATCGTTTTGGTCCTGTCCACATGGTGGCACTGTTGAACACCAGTCTCGTACAATCCAGTGGACTCTTGTTCACTGAAGCAGTAATGTTCTTGCTGGCCTAAATTTCTTCAGAAGTCACAGTGGTGGGGGCTTCAGATGTGAGGTGTCCCAGAATGGGCCACTTTCATTACAGCAAGACCCTAGACTTTCACTACAGTTATGTGTATGTGGGTGCCTGTGTGTATATGTTGTATGTATGTGTGTGTGTTTGTGTGTATAAGTGTCCGTAGGTGTATATGTGTTTACATATGCATGCATATATGTATGTGTACATAAAGCACTTGGATTCCCAAGACTTTTTGTAGGATAAGGTAGATTGTCTCTAAAATGATTATTGAAGTAGTCATCCTGATTTGACAGTATAGGGGCTCTGCCTTCTCTTCCTTCCTGGTAGTATGCTGATGGGAAGGCATTTGACCAGAGCTGGGGCGAATAGGCTGGGGACATGCTTAAATGTGACTCCCACAGGGAGGCTTTCCTTCACCCCTAAGTTTAAGTGGGGGCTGCTCTGTTATAACCATGCATGGTGTCTTGTACTTTAATTTTATCATATTTATCACCTTTGTAATTGCATGATTATGTGTGTGATTATTTGCATAATATTTCCCCCCACTTCCCATAATTGGGAACTCCATGAATACTGGAAACATTTTCTTACTTCTGTATTCCCAGGGCCTAGAATCTGGCACTTAAGAAGAATTTTGTGACTATGAACACACTATCAGAGACAACAGCTCATACCTCAGCTCTGTTGCTAACCATCTGGCCTATGAGATCTGGGGCTAGTTGTCCAATCTCTCCAAGCCTCTGCTTCTCCACTGGAAAAATAAAAATAAAAATATACCCACTTCAAAAGGATGCTGTGAGGACTGAATAACATAAAGCATGGAAAACACAGCATAATGCCTGGCACAGAGCAAGTACTCCCCATAGAGTAATTTAAAAAGATCTTCCTCCATCCCGCACTCCTCTCCCTCCCTTCCTTCCTTTTTTCCTTCCTCCTTTCATTTCCATCCTCCTGCTCACTTGCTACTCTCTCAGAGCATTGTGTGTATATGTGTATGTGAGTCCATGTTGTGTGCATGTATATGTATATGCATATGTGGTTATGTTTATGTGGATGCCTGTGTGTATATGTTGTATGTATGTGTGTGTTTGTGTGTATAAGTGTCTGTAGGTATATATGTGTTCACATATGCATGCATGTGTGTATGCATATCGATGTGTGTATCTGTGTTAATTGTATGTGTGTGTATATTATATGTGTACATGCATATGTATTTTTTGTGCATATGTGTATATACACATACATGTATATATGTGTATGCATGTTTGTATGTGTATATACACATACATGTATATATGTGTGCGTGTGTATATGTATGTGTGTTTGTATGTTTGTGTGTGTGTGTCTGTATGGGGTTTTTCTGTATGGGTGTGTGTGTATGTGTGGGGTTTTTCTGTGTGTGCACCTCCAGCGTGGGAGACTCTCACCCTTGAGGAGTAGGGCTGTGAGTAAATCTTGGGTAGAGGAGTCTGTGCTACCAGTTTAGGGGCTCCACTGCCTGGAAGGCCTGGCCCTTCCAGGGCATGTAAGGACAGTGCCATGCTTAGAGCTGTTCTCACCTGCCTGGCGGCAGCTCCACCCCTGCAAGCCATCAGCAGGGGAGGAGGCCTGATTTGTGATGAAGGCCAGATATCCATGCATCTGAGTTTGTCTTTTGCCTGCGTCATCCTGGGTCTTCTCTAGCTCCTCCTGGCCTCCAGGCTTGGCAGGTGAAGATCATGGGAGGCAGAGAACAGGCCTGTTAAGGAAGATGCCTTTACTTTCACAGGCATTGCAGAAGGGCAGTTATCAGGAAGACCCAGGGGATGCCACCCACTAGTGACCTTGCAAGTTGCCAAGTTCTTGATGTCTCAGTTTTCTCACCTGCATAGTGGGAATTTTTGAGATGAGAGTCTTAAACTCAACTTAGTCTTAAACATACCCAGTAGCCAAATGAGTGAAGAAGGTTAATTTTGGGGGATAAAAAGGATGCAGGGAAAATATTCTGACCCACATATAATTCAACCTCAGCCAATTGCTGCTGTGTGAAAAGTTCATCTGAGAACTTCCAACTTTTCAATCATTCAAGAGAAGGCAGAAATCTGACTTTGTACACAAAATCCTACAATACTTCATGTTGAAAAAACATCAAGATTTCTTAAAACACTCTATGTGTTGTAAATAAAACATCTCTATGGTCCAGATATGGTAGTCAGACCACTAGTTCATGTTCTCAGTCTTGTGCATATACTAAATACTCAAATATATTTGTAAATAATCAGATGCTGCTTGCTCCAAGAATGAAAGAAGGAGAGAACTGGGGAGAGGGAGAAAAACAGAAGTGAATAGTGGAGCAGGGGAAGGTGGCCTAGTCAGGGGGGTGGTTGAGGGCCGGTGAAGGGAGAGTTCAGTTGTGAGAGTGTGTTTGGCTTCTGTCTGATCTCAAGGTGGAGCCCCCAGGACACACCTGGCTCCCCCTTCTCCACTGATGCAGGTAAAAACCAATCTCGACGTTGGGATGTTCAAGATGGGGGCTACCAGCCAGATAGGCTTCTGTCCATGTGCATGTCCTCTTTCCCCACCTTGCTGTCATTGTAGAATATGCTATTTCAGAATAAGGAGATTCCATTAAGAGATGGAGGGGTTTTTGAGTTGTTCAGCTTGGCACTTGATATCACCAGACTAAGTCAGATAATATTGCACCAGCTGGGTTTACAAAAATCACCCTGCGCCTTACAGGGCTGGGGCCAAGTTAGGAAGGTGGGTGCCTGTCAGTGAGCTCAGCTACCCGCCTACCCAGATGCATTCCTTCCAGTACATCTCAATCCATGTGCAGGGAGCTGTAACTGCCCTGGGCAAGTGACTTCAACTTCCTGAGCTTCAGTTTCTTCATCTTTAAAATGGGGATAATGACACTTGGCTCACGGTTGTTGGGAGGACTGGGTAGTATGCCTGCTCCTTTCTTCCCACCTTGCGTTGGCCAGTGTTACACAGATCTCATCACTATACTTACTTCCCCTCTGTGTATCCAAGCTTTTTGAGAAGTCCACCTGACTCTAGCCCTGCTCCTTCTCCCAACAGCCACCTAGGGGTCTGAAGAAGAAAGGCCCAAGATATCTCTGGCTTCTAAACCCTAACTCACTCAGGTCATCTGTTGACATGTGTGAGTGTAGACTTCGACAAGCACACTCTGGAAGAGTTCAGCCTTCTTCAGATTCAGGATTGGCAGAGAGACAACGGGCCCACCTCTCAACTTCCTTTGGTCAGGAGGGATGGGGTATGTGGTTAGGGCCAATTCCTCTTTTTTTTTTTTGGGATACACATTGACTCATTTATCCTTGGGGACAGTACAGCATGGAATTAAGAGTGTGGATCAATGGAGAAAAAAAAAACCTCTTATACACTGTTGGTGGGAGTGTAAATTAGTTCAACCATTGTGGAAAGCAGTGTGGCAATTCCTTAAAGAGCTAAAACCCAAACTACCATTCAACCCAACAATCCCATTACTGGGTATGTACCCAAAGGAATACAAATTGTTCTACCATAAAGACACATGCACATGTATGTTCATTGCAGCAATTTTCACAATAGCAAAGGCATGGAATCAACATAAATGCTTATCATTAGAAAACTGGATAAAGAAAATGTGATATGTATATACCATGGAATTCTACACAGTCATAAAAAAGAATGATATCATGTCCTTTGAGGGAACATGAATGGAGCTGAAGGCCTTTATCCTTAGCAAACTAATGCAGGAAAGAAGACCAAATGCTTCATGTTCTCACTTGTAAGTGAGAACCGAATGATGAGAACACATGGATACAAAGAGGAGAACAACAGGCCCTGGAGCCTGCCTGAGGGTGGAGTGTGGGAGGAGGAAGAGGAGCAGGAAAAATAACTATTGGGTACTGGGCTTAATACCTGGGTGATGAAATAATCTCTGTACATCAGACTCCTGTGATCCAAGTTTACCTACATAACAAACCTGCCCATGTACCCCTGAACCTAAAATAAGATTTTTTTTTAAAAAAGCAACTGTCTCTTTAAAGGAAAAGAAAAGCAATTAGCCTGGCCAACATGGTGAAACCAAACCCTATCTCCACTAAAAATACAGAAATTAGTCAGTTGTGGTGGTGCACGCCTGTGGTCCCAGCTACTTTGGAGGCTGAGACATAGGAGGTGGAGGCTGCGACATAGGAGGTGGAGGCTGCAGTGAACTGCGATCATGCCACTGCACTCAAGCCTGGGCAATAGAGTGAGACTCTGTCTTAAAAAAAAAAAAAAAAGGCACGTGGATTCAGAGTCTCTTCCAATCCCAGGACTGCCATTTACAAACTGGGTATCTTTGGGCAAATGACTTAACGTCTCTGAGTTTCAGCTGTAAAATAGACAAAACAATAATGTTGACCTCAACACAGAACCAATGTCAAGAGTAAATAAGACAATGCACAGAGCATGGCAAGTAGAAGCACTCCAGATTCTCAAGTTTACACATGTACTGCGTTGATATAAATTTATAATTCCATCAATAAACTTTAACAAAAAATTGCACCTTTATTGTTTGATAGTATCCAAATCCGAGGGCAAAAAATTCCAGAAGTCTTAGAATCCAGTACAAAAATCCCCTGGCAATTAGAAAGACAATGCTTTTCTTCTGAATATTTCAGGGCACAGTGCAGAGTCTGTGTTATTTCCCTCTCAGACTCCAAGGACATTGAGCAGAGCTCTGGATTGGACTATGGGTCCACTGCAGGGGAGGTGGTAGAGATGAACAAGATGGAAGGATTATCTGGACACTCCAAGAGGGACAGGGGTAGGGAGGTAAAAAACTTCAGAGAAGAGAAGCTGAGGTGGGAATGGGTAGAATGGGAATAAATTAAATTGAAAATACTTTTTGAGCATTTACTGTGATTCTAGACACTCGAGATGGTGGGGAACAAGATGAATGTGGTCTATGAGCCACTCATGGGACAACAGATCCTGAGCAGGAATTACAGGTGTGGGGAAAGCTACAAAGGAGGATGTTCATGGTGCTATGAAGATTCATATAAGGGCATCTAGCCCTTATATGAATGGTGTGGTGCAGAGTCTCCCTAATGAAGCATGCTTGTGTTTTTAATAGTAATAGTAACAACAACAACAACAACTAACAATTACCAAGGTCTCACTATCTGCCAGGCATTTTGGATGTATGATCTCATCACATCCCTCCCAGAGCAAGCCATTGAAATAGATATTTTAAAGAAGCTGTGGCTCTGGGAGGTGGAGTAATGCCTACAGTCACTTGACTATCAAGTGCTGAAGTCCAATTTGGGGTCAAAACCTCATAGTTGTCTGGCGCATGAACACAGCGAATTCTGGGCTTCAACTAGTCCTACTTGGGCTAGTTGAGTGCAATCTGAGTGTAACCAAGGAACAGCCTCAAGCTTCCCTTCTGTTCTCTTCCTCCAGGGTATACACAAGTTCTCATAAGGTAGAAGGAGAGACCCTGGAAAAGTAGACACTCTGAAGGAAAGACTGGCATAGAAAAAGGGAGGGCCATTTCCATCTCCTCCCTTTGGTGGTGATTTTGTTGTCTCTTTCCTTCAGGAATGCACAATCTCACTGCATTCATTCAAACTTCCTGGGCATCTATTTCTCTAGGAGGCTCATACTGTCTATGGAGTGAGTTCTCCTGTGGGTACGTTTCCAACTTTTCCTTTTTATTTGGCATCATTTGAGGTTGAAGAGGGAGCTGAGGTCTATTCCTCTGAGGATTGAGGGATGAAAGAAATTGCCTGATTTCCAGCTCTTTGTGCTGCCACCTTGGGCTTCACGCACTATCCCAGGGACCAGCCCCTCAATTCAGCAAAGGAAGGGGAAGTGTGTTTTTGTGGTCTTTCCAACACTTGGACAAAGCCAGAGGCCCATGTGGGAGAAGACAGATTCATAAGATAAAATCTTCCCAAACTTAGGGATAGCATGAAGTGTGACTGCTAGAAGGGTGCTTGGTATTGGAAGTTATTTTCTTTGTAGACCTCGCACAGTTGCCTGCATGCATGAATGTGGCAAAGTCCCTACTAAAATTCCATTTCCCAGGCAAGGTGAAGGTTGAGCAAATTTTTGCTAGGCCTGGTTGAACCTGGGCAATGAGAAGAAGAAGAGGCACAAGGCACATTTTTAGAATCAAACTGGACAACTCCTCTTTGTGGTTCTAAATATTCAGACACTTTAAAACAAACAAATTTCTGTTTTCCATCTCAACTGGAAGTGGTCAGGACCAAAACTGAAAGCAGTGGCATCTAGGAGTGAGGCTGACCTCTCTGTAGTGGAGTCTCCTGTCCTGGTCTGACCAGAGTGAGACCCAGGTGCTGGGTCAGCTTGGTGAAGACTTCACAAGATAGCTTACTCTTTAGTCGCATATTCAACAAGAATCAATTGCTACTTTTTCTATGTCAAGACTTGTTCTGGAAACTGGACATTGAGAGACGGTGAAGACATAGCTATCCCTGATCTCTCAGGATCTCAAGGACTGATGACAGAGAAAATATATAGTCAAATAAAATATCCCAATGTTAAGACTTAAAACAAAGGTCTGTATGAAGTGCTCTGGCTACAGAGAGGAGTGACTAATTCTGCTGGGTCAGGGAAGGTGGTCAGGCAAGCTTTAAGAGCTTCAATTTAAACTCTAAAGAATGTGTAACCTAAATAATTCTTGACATATCCCATGTGGCTCAGTCTGATTTCGGTGTAGCCGAAGAGATAGTAAAAAGAGGCAAATGTGATTGTTGGAAGTGATTCAAGCTTTGATTCAGTTTCTGAAGGAAGTGTTAAATGGGGACGGGCTACTCTTATAAATACTGTCTTCTTATAGCTCCCTCACTCAGTATCCTCTAGGTGGGAGCGCCTGAAGTTCCTCCTATTTTCCAATCTCAACTATTAATGCCACAAGACTCTCTGATGCTCAGCTCTCTTGTATTTTAAAAAATATATCTTCCCCATATTACCTATGTCTCAGCTCTTTGTTAAATAGGGGACTCAGTCTCTGCATTCTATGGTATCTTTATGAAGACTGGAGCCCTGGTTCTGCCTCCTAAGGAAGTGGAGTGGGGAGGGAAGGAAGATCCTGAATGCTCACATTTTAGTAATTCTTTTTCTTGTTAATGTTAAATGGGGTTTCTCTAAGACAAGAAGTGGGAGAAGGGCCATCCTGGTAAAGAGGACCTTGTCAAAGGTATGGAGGCAAAAAAGAAGACATGAGAGGGCAATTAGATGTGAACAGAGCTGGGGATGTGCATGAAGAAGAAAGCAGGGAGATAAGATTGGAGAACTTAAAAGCCACTGGAGTGTGAGTGGCCTTGAGGCCAATGTGTAGGAATCTGGACTTGATCCCGAGAGTCATGGAATCTACGGAGGATTTTTTTTTTGCTTGTTTTTAATTTGGATAAGATGGGATCAGGTTTGCATTTTAAGAAGATGGCTCAGATGGCCTGTGGGAAAATTGGGTGGGACGGAGAGAGAGGCTTGTAGCCCGAAAATCAGTCAGGAAACTGTTGCAAAAGCCTGTGCACGTGAGACCTGAATTGTTGTGAACAGGGAGACAGGGAAGAAGGGATGAATGCCCAAGCTATTTCAGGGTGGAACAGGCAGGGGAAATAGCTTTGCCTGTTGACCAGCGTCCACTCATTTGTCAAGGTGGTCATGAAAGAAGGCATCAGGCACAGAACACATGGATACTCAATGCCTTGGCACCCAATCTATGTGCGCAGTAGGTTAATTGCACCTGTAATTAATTACAAGTCCAGGCTTGGAAGCCTTTTTCTGAAGACATAGACCAATGGACTCAGAACAAGCAACTGGGTGAGGCTTATCCACTTTCCCAGCTTTCCTGGCTACTTCCCACATAGACTCTGATCGCCAAAGACCAACCTGGGAGCACTGCCCTCTTTCTCAATCCATTGTTCCTGCCTGCTTGGCTTGAAATCTAGGTGGAGGCAATAATAACTTCTTTCCCAGGGTGCATTCAAGAGCACAGAGAGGAGGACATATGGCCTTTTGAGGCAGGAAACCAGGACTCAACTCCAAATACCACTGGCCTTAATGAGTCACTGCACCTCTCAGAGCTTTAGATTCTTCATCCGTAAAATGGAAAAGAGTGCCTTCCTTTGAAAGTTGTGAAAATTATGAAGTAACACATACAAACCCCATGTCATGTGCTTGGCACATAGTAGGTGCTCAATAAATGTTTACTTTCTTCCATTGAATTTTGACTTCCAATGTAAGACTCAAGTCATTGCTTAGGGGGATAAGCAACTGTGTCTGGTACCTGTTATGATTATTTTGTAGATAAGGACATTGAGGCACACACACACTACATATGTCACTATTTGTAAAATATGACTTGTACTACCTTACAGCCAGAAACTTGGCCTGCTTCAAGCTACCTGAAACTTACTCCACCTCAAGCTGGGTTCTGGCTCCTGGCTCCAAAGGACCTTCAGAACCAAGGTTCTGAAACACACAGCACTTTAGCTGACCAGGGGCCTGGGAAGTTGGATTCTAAGGGATGCCACAGAAAGTTTGAGTCTCTGAGCATCAAGCCTATCTTCTGTCCTGTCAGCTGGGTGACTAGCCAAATGGTCCTCTCACCAGGAGGCTGGTTCATTAAGTGTTTATTATGGACTTTGATGAAGCTGGGACTAAATTTCTCTGAAGCAGTTGTGTTGTAGAAGGAAAAGAACAGGAGAGAAGGAATGAGGCGTGTCATAGGTGCTGAAGGAGAGACATTAGAGGCCTTAGAAGGATGGGTCTCAGGCTGGGGACTTAATGAGGACAGCCTTAGGGAACTCTTTTCTTTCTGCCATGAGGGGCAGCTGAATCCCAGAAAGTTGTATTAGTATAGGGCTTTCTATCTTACAGGCATTCAACTTACACATTTCAGCTTTGAAACAAAAAGAAAGAGAGGAAACAAAAATGTAAATACAGAGATAATTCTGACCATTATTCTATTCAGTGAGGGTAGGCACAGAGAGAGCATGTGGTGTGGGGAAAGTGAATCTTCCAACTGGGCATTCACGTGCCTCTTTATGTATGAGTGCCTTGAAGCATCAGGTGTGATTCTGGGGTTAAGGATTTTAATATTTCCATGCAACATTGCCCGAAGCATACATCTATTTTATTCTGTAAGTGCTTAAGGGAAGCAATGGTGATTTGTTCCAATGCTAGAGAGACAATCTGGCCTTGTGGACAGATTGAGAAATGTGTGCGAGTCTCCCATAGGGATCCTAGGATGGTGATTCATAATACTCGCCAGCTCCCTGTCCTTTTCTCTGTCTGTGGACATAGAAGACTGAACAACTTTTAGCTCAAGTGGGGCCATGCGACAGGTTTTAATCAGGTTCTAACCAGTAGGTTGTGAGCAGAAATGATATGCCCCACTATAGGGTTGAAGTTTGTAATTGCCAGTGCAAGAATCTCCAGAGCTGTCTTTCTTTCTGGCATGGTGACCACTGATGGCTGCTTTGTAGGCCCTGGATCCTGAGTGAGTGTAGCTAACAGAGTCTCTCTACCTGCCTGCATGAGAAACATGCAGCACTGAATGAGAGAGAAACCTTCATGGTTTCAGCTGAAATCTTTGGGCCTGCTTGTCATAGCAGCATAACCCAACCCATCCTGACTGATACAGAGATTTTTAAAGGGGAATTTTGGGTATACATGATTGCCACCTTACACTGTGACTTTTGAATCTATGCCCCCATGGGCCCATTAGAGTAGTAGCTCTATACTTCACATGCATGATCTCGTTCAATACTTACCAGTACACTAAGAGGTTGATAGGATATTCCCCATTTTGTAGGTGAGGAAATGAGCATAGAGTGGTCAGATACCTTGTCCATATTCACCATGGCAGGGATGGATTTTAAAGTCAGGTTTTTCTGATGCTAAAGCCAGTGCTCTCTCCATAGTATCACCGGTCCTTATAGCTTCAGAGCTAGGTTCCCCCAAGAGGGAGGGTGAAGCAGTGGAGGTTGGGCAATGGAGCTGCTCCACCAGGCTTTGGTCATTCCAATGTCAGCCAGTCCCTGCCATGTGCTAGGAGTCCCTGCTCATCCACTTACCCCATACTCCCTCCCACACTAATGATATTTACTCTAGCCACCCTGGCAGGGTGTTCCACTGCCTAATTACTGTTTAGAAACTTCTGAAGGCAGAAAACATGATGTTAAGTACTTAATGGTTAAAGGATTTATTTCAAGTCTAGAGTAGAGTGGGAGACCTGGGTTGCTGGCCCAGGGCAGAGTGGAGAAACTGGGGATTGAGACCAGAGAAGGTGCATTGTGTCATGGAAAAGCAGGGTGGGAACAGAGGCTCTGGCAATGCCTACTTAGGCTTAAGCCAAGACTCATATTTTCTGGGTCATGTGGCCATGGGGAATGTCACCCACCATTGTTAACTCTTGATTTCTCTCTGGGGCCAAACTCTCGGATTTGCCATTGTATCACAAATACAACAAACTATTTATTGAACAGTTGCTAAGTGCCAAAAAGCTGGCTAAGGACCAGATAGTCATAATTTCACGTATTCTTCACCATGATGAGACAGGCTTTTTTCCCCATATGGAATCTGAGGCTGACAGGGTGACATGACTTATTCAAAGATACACAGGTGATGAATGGTAGATTCTAATCAAGATATTTCTGGATCCTGAGCTTGGGCTCTTAAACTCCAAGCAGCCATATGTCTCTTTTGAATGAAGTTTGGAAGAACAAAGTCAAGCATCTTTGGAGTCACAATGATATGACTTTGAGACTTCAAACCCTGTGCCTCAAATCCCTATACCTTTTAGTCTGTCTGAATCATGGTGCCCACTTCATTAAGGTGGGAATTGTGATTATATAATGTAATAAAAATTAGTGTCCTTCTTGAGGATTCTTAAGTCTTAGCTTAAAAAGACTGTTCAATGATAATCCTCTCTATCCCAGACTTACAAATTCATTCCTCTCTTGAATATCTCCCAAGATGGGGAACACCACTTCTCAAGGCAGCCCTTTCCCAAGTTGCACAGAGCTCTGTCTCAGAGAGCTCTACCTGAGTAAATGTACAGGCAGAGGAACAGCCCTCATCCCCAGCGGGTGTGGGAAGAGTAGGAGGAGCAGGGAGGGGTGGGCATTTAATGGTTGCATCCTGGTGGGTGTCCAGGGGTGCATGCCTGTGATAGTGATGACTCCATAGTGATAATGGGCCCATTTCCCTAATTGGCATTAGTGATGCCATTTGGTCTGAGCACCCACTTCTGCTTTTCCTTGAGCCACACCTCACTGAAGCTCTGTTCTGAATGGTCACACCTGACCTGCCGATATCCCACTTGTCTTGCCAACACTGATTGGTCCTGGAAGCCTAGGCAGAAGGTGTGTGTCTGTTTTGGGTGCTTCTAGACTCAGGCTTCTGGCCTGTTTTGCCCTGGATACAAGTGAAAGCCTGGTTTCCTTCCAAAATGGGATGATCATTTTCTGAGAGCAAGGCCTCTTATGACCCAGATAATGGCCTGGACCAGACGTTGCCCCTCCTTGGGATTTGACATGGCTTCCAGGGGCCAGAGGCTGACTATCAGCCAGCTCACAGGAGGGAAAGGGACATGCTGACTGACAGAGAGAGACAGGCTTACAGGTCCGTAGGCAGAGGGAGGCACAGACAATCAGACTGAGAAGTAGGGAAGGAGGTACGGAAAGAAGAAAAAAAGAATGGAAGGGAGGAAAAGGGAAAGGAAGGAAGGAAAAGGGGAAGGAAGGGAGGAGGAAAGGAAGGAAAGAGGAAAGAAAGAAAGAAAAGAAGGAAGGGAGAGAGGGACAGAGGGAGGAAGGAAGCAATAGTACATAATTTCATACATGTTGCTTCTTTTGGGAGGCTCCTCAGTTCCCTGACTTGCTCTCTCCCTCCCTATGCTATCATATGCTGGTTACACAGAGACTCATGAGTAGAAGGGCAGCTGAGAAGAAGAGAAAACAGGTGTTCTGGCTCCACTACGCAGCTGAGTCCCTTCAGGCATGTGTCTTAGTGTGTCTGAGATGTAGCCTTGTCTATCAAACAGAGACTCCTCCCTTTGGTTGGTCCTGGAGCTGCTCTGAGTTGTGAATAGGGAAGTTCCTTGGACTCCGGGAGTTGCCTACAGGAAAGTGTGGGTCATACTTCATAGGTCTAGGCCTGGGACATTGTAGGAAGCCATCAATAGGCTGAGGTTGACTGACACTCAGGAGCTGTGTGGTGGCTGGGGGTGGGTGGCCAGGGTCAGCTGCCTCCTGAGGTGAGAGGTCCTGAATGCCTCTATGGGCGCCAGGGGGAAGCTCTTGGGGTAAGAGGGATGAGAGAGCATTAACCCATGGGGATGGGGTTGGTAGGAGAATGATGTGAGATGAGGGGACCATTTCCTGAGCCCTCTGCCATGTGTTTCTGACTGGTGCTCCTCTCATTGACTTCAAGTGGCTTTTATGATTCCCATTTTAAAGATAAGAAAACTGAGGCCTTGAGAAGCTCAAGTCACACCTTCTGATTATGAGGGGTGGGGTGGGGTCAGTGTCTGGTGGTGTCTGCCCCTTCTTCAGGCATAAAAACTGGAAAGTGGTCATTCCCACATGAGAAGTCCAATGCTCTGAATCCACCAGTCCAGGCCAGAGCGTGGCCAGGCTAGGATTCCTGCTGTGCAGGCACTGCAGCCCAGTAGAAGAGAGCCAGAGGCTGGTGAGGGATCTCTGCCTGCTCTGGACTGTGGCAGGAGCCAGCAGGAGGACTCTCTGAGCCAGCCAGCAAGAAGCCACTCACCTTCCTGTCCTCTCCCTGCCTCTCCCTGTCCTCTGGCCAGGGCTGAACATGATGTGGGTGATGCAAGGCCTATGGTTCTCTAAATATGTCCCTCACCTTGCTGGATCTCTGTCTTTCCAGCTGCAGAGGTGAGAGCTGGGGCTGAGTGGCCTTGCAGGGCTGTCATCCAGAACTGAAGCTGTTTCTGCCAGGTGCGACCACCTAAGAATAGGAAGGAGGAGTCCCTGATGTCCCTGACCTTGGGAAGTTCACAGTTGAGAGAAAACAGATCTTAAATACATAATCTTAAATTACATAAGTGCAAATTGTTCTAAGTGCCATGAAGGAAAAGCACAAGATTCTTTGAAATACTGTAACAGAGTGACAATGCAAAGTGAGCCTTAATTTAGAAGGAATCCCTAAGGAAATGACAGCTCACCTGAGACAAGGAGTGTGAGTAGAAGTAGCCAGCATTGAAGGGAGAGTGTTCCTGGTAGAGGGGATAACATGGGACAGACCTGAGGCAGGAAAGACTTAGGGATATCTGAGAACTCTGCTAAGCTCTTTTCATGCATTATTTCATTTAATCCCAATAACACTCCAAATGAGGGTTATTAATATCCTCATGGAAGAGATGAGAAAACCTGGGGCCAGGGAGGTATACATGACATATTTTTTGATGGTCTGCTTTTTATTCTCATCTCCTATGCTCTGCCCTGAATCTCAGTGACCAGAAGCCCAGAAACCACCTTCTGCTGAGATTCCCTTGCCTCTAGAGTTCTAGATGTGATCAGTTTTCTTGCCAGTGAGATGGACTTGTGCAAGATTTGGAAGAAGAGGGGCCCAGAAGCCATTCTTTCTCCTCAAGCAGTGATGGCAGACATGTGAACTGCTGTGAGCCCTGCTTGTCACCTGCCCTGACCTGAAAGTATGGCAGCTGTGAGGGTCAGCAGTGGCTTCCTGGAACCTCCTGACTTCTGCGTCAGGAGGAAATTGCTGAGTTTCTGAAGCACAGCCAGAAAACCTGAACACTAGGGACAGACTCTGATCCTTTCTCCTCCAACTCTTCCAAACGTTTTATAAGCACCCAATTTTCTGAATTAAATTTCCTTCTGCTGGGGATGTCTGGAGTGCTTTCCATATTTTGGACTGACTGCATCCTGGCTGATAGAGCAGATAGGAAATTTGTCCAAGATCACAAGCGAAAAAGTAGAACCAGGAGTCAAACCTAGGTGTGTCTGATTCCGGAGCTTGCATTAAAGAAAACAAAACCACAAAACTTAAAATAATAAAACATTTAAAAAATTGTGGTAAAATACACATAACATAAAATTTGTCATCTTGACCATATAAAATAAACTTTGCCATCGTAACCATTTCTAAGTATACAGTTCAGTGGCATTAAGGGCATTCACACTGTTGTGCGGCCATCACCACCATCCATCTTCAGAACTCTTTTCATCTTGCAAAACTAAAGCATTGTACCTGTTAAACAAAAACTCTTTATTCTCCTTCCCCACCAACTCCTGGCAATTACCTTTCTAGTTTCTGTCTCTATGAACTTGACTACTCTAGGAACCTCATGTAAGTGGAATCATTTGGTATGGATACTTTTGTGACTGTCTAATTTCACCTAGCATTTTGACCTTAAGTTTTATCCATGTAGTAGCATGCGTAAGAATTTTCTCCTTTTTTTAGGCTGAATAATATTCCATTCTGTGTATACGCCACATTTTACTTATCTGTTCATCTGTGGATGGGCATCGGGTTTGCTTTCACCTTTTGGTTATTGTGACTAGTGCCACAATGAGCACAGGTATAAAAAAGGGCCTGTACACTCAACCTACCCACCATGTGGTTTCTAGCTGCCCAGTGGTTTCCCTTTCACAGCATTCTGAAGACATGTGATTACTCTCCTACCTTTGAGGCTGAAGAATGGGACGTCGTTTCTCCAAAGTTGATATGCAAGATTAACAATCATTTCTTAGAAAACCAGGCTGTTTTTCAGCATGGTACTGGTACCAAAGCAGATATATAGACTAATGGAACAGAACAGAGGCCTCAGAAATAATGCCACACATCTACAACCATCTGATCTTTGACAAACCTGACAAAAACAAGCAATGGGGAAAGGATTCCTTATTTAATAAGTGGTGCTGGGAAAACTGGCTAGCCATATATAGAAAGCTGAAACTGGATCCCTTCCTTACATCTTATACAAAAATTAATTCAAGATGGATTAAAGACTTAAATATTAGCCCTAAAACCATAAAAACCCTAGAAGAAAACCTAGGCAATACCATTCAGGACATAGGCACGGGCAAGTACTTCATGACTAAAACACCAAAAGCAATGGCAACAAAAGCCAAAATAGACAAATGGGATCTAATTAAACTAAAGAGCTTCTGCACAGCAAAAGAAACTACCATCAGAGTGAACAGGCAACCTACAGAATGGGAGAAAATTTTTGCAATCTACCCATCTGACAAAGGGCTAATATCTAGAATCTACAAAGAACTCAAACAAATTTAAGGAAAAAAACAAACAATCCCATCAAAAAGTGGGCAAAGGATATGAACAGACACTTCTCAAAAGAAGTCATCTATGCAGCCAACAGACACATGAAAAAATGCTCATCATCACTGGTCATCAGAGAAATGCAAATCAAAACCACAATGAGATACCATCTCACTCCAGTTAGAATGGAAATCATTAAAAAGTCAGGAAACAACACATGCTGTAGAGGATGTGGAGAAATAGGAACGCTTTTACTCTGTTAGTGGGAGTGTAAATTGGTTCAACCATTGTGGAAGACGGTGTGGTGATTCCTCAAGGATCTAGAACTAGCATTACCATTTGACCCAGCAATCCCATTACTGGGTATATACCCAAATGATTATAAATCATGCTACTATAAAGGCACATGCACACGTATGTTTATTGAGGCACTATTCACAATAGCAAAGACTTGGAACCAACCCAAATGTCCATCAATGATAGACTGGATTAAGAAAATGTGGCACATATACACCATGGAATGCTATGCAGCCATAAAAAAGGATGAGTTCATGTCCTTTGCAGGGATGTGGATGAAGCTGGAAACCATCATTCTCAGCAAACTATCACAAGGACAGAAAACCAAACACCGCATGCTCTCACTCATAGGTGGAAATTGAACAATGAGATCACTTGGACACAGGAAGGGGAACATCACACACCGGGGCCTGTCAGGGGGTGGGGGCCTGGGGGAGGGATAGCATTAGGAGAAATACCTAATGTAAATGATGAGTTGATGGGTGTAGCAAACCAACATGGCATATGTATGCCTATGTATCAAACCTGCACGTTGTGCACATGTACCCTAGAACTTAAAGTATAATTAAAAAAAAAAAAAAAGAAAATCAGGCTGTTTTTTCATCCCTCTGGGTCATTGGTGCAGATGGACACATCAGGCTGAAGAAGGAGCTGGGCGAGGGATGCAAGGGAGGGAATGGGTGGAGCCTTGAGGTAGTTTGAGAACCAGCAAACTAGAAGCTTATTTCTGAGCCCCTGGTGCAGAGGCTGAAGACACTGCCCTGCTCTGTTTAGCAGCAGGCTCAGGACACCTCCTATTTGAAGGGCAGACTGTGTATTAGGAAATCACTGGTGGCTCTGGAGTGGGTTTTGCTACCAAAGTGAGATCACTGGGTTGCCTTGGGTCCCTGCATTGTTACTTAATTTCTGCTTTTACCTTTCTTACCTTCTGCTCCCAAGGGCTGGGACTTCACTCTGGCGTCTTTTACTCATTTATTTATTAAAATCATTTATTCATTGATTCAATAACTACCTATTGAGTTTTGGTGTGTGCCAGGCATGGGAGATAGAGCAGCAAACAAGCAGATACAGTCCTGGCTTTGCGAATCTTGCATTAGAGCGGGAGAGGCACAGAATAAATACACACATAGGATTACTTAAGACATCGGCTGGTGCCATGAAGAAAATCAAGCAGGGTTGTAAGGTAGAGAATGACTGGGTGAGGGGAACGTGAGGAGGTGGGTTAGGAGATGTATCTCTGAGGGGATACATGAGGAGATGTATCTCTGAGGGGATACATGAGGAGATGTATCTCTGAGGGGATATCTCTGAGGGGGTGATGTTTGAAATGAGATCTGAGTGACGAGGCGCCAGCCCTGCAAGGACCTGGGGGAGGGCATTCCAGGTGCAGGGAAAAGCAGGTGCAAAGGCCATGAGGCAGGGAAGAGAACTTGGCATGTTCACAAAATAGAAAGAAGGCCTCTGGTTACCAATAACAATGAATAGTCCTTGGCCAGGGCTGCAGATCACCTGAGGTCAGGAGTTCGAGACCAGCCTGGCTAACATGGTGAAACCCCATCTCTATTAAAAATACAAAAAATTAGCCAGGCACGGTGGCAGGCACCTGTAATCCTAGATACTTGGGAGGCTGAGGCAGGAGAATTGCTTGAATCTGGAAGGCAGAGGTTGCGGTGAGCCGAGGTCCCACAAATGCACTCCAGCCTGGGCGACAGAGTGAGACTCCATCTCAAAAAACAAACACAAAAACAAAAAACAAACAAAAAAATGGATAGTTCTCACGACCCAGTAGAACATAAAATTTGAACCGAAGGCTGCCTGCCTTGAACACCCACTGAAAATGGAAGTGGCTTCCCTTGTTAACCCTTACTTCTGGTTAACCCTGGTCCTGGTTAATCCTTATTTCCCTCACTTCTGCCTCTTCCTATGCTGTCTTCATGTCTCCCTTCACTGCTGTGTTCCAAGCATGTTCCACAGCTGAGCCCAAGAAGCCAAAGGCCTCTTTTTAGATACAAGTTCTTACTCAACTTTGAGGCAGAGTATGTTTCCCTAGACAGAGGTTTGTCTGTTTCTGACATGGCATGCCCTGGGGCCCATAGCACCGCTTTGACCCAGGCTCACAGATTGGGCAAGTCCAAACTGGGGTTGCAAACACATCACTCATTTATTCATTTATCAATAGTTATTAGCATCACCATCAATAGAAACAAGTATAACAAATGACAGTTAATGAGGGGAAGTTAGCAAGGAAGATATTTTTTGAGGGCACCTAATTGGGACCTGAGGCTCAGGCAACATTTTTAGAAGGAACTGATGTATAAATGGGAGTCTGAAAGATAAGTAGGAATTGGCTAGTAGAGGGACTCATGAGAAAGAAGAGAACTGTGGATTCTGGAAACTGCCTGTGCAAAGGCCCCAAGGTGGAAGAGAGCATGGGGTATTTGGGGACTTTTATATGGATATAGAGGTGTTTTTAAAGGAGGGTGTATGTGTAAGAATCTGGCTGGGAATCCTCTAGCCTGTAGGGTCCAGATTCTGCAGGGCCTTTTTCACCACGGTTTTTGTGTGCGGATTTTTTCTGCACACTTCAAAGTTCTTTATTAGAGAGTCAGGCCAATCTCAGAGGTAAATTATTGCAGAGAAGGAACAAAGATTGGAGAGATGATTAACCTCGACTTTCTCTTGTGCTTTTCCTGCATATGGAAAGTGATCTCTACAGACACCTCTTCCTTTCTGAACCTTGCTTTCCTCCCTCGGTTTCTGTCCCTGCCTACACATCCCCATTTTTCCAACATTGCACCCAGCTACCCTCCTGACTATCTTTGGAAAATTCTGCTCCTTCTGCCGTGTGGGGTTTAAGCTCCGGAGCTCAGGCTTGGGGTAGACAGACTCCAGCTGTGGTTAAGAGAATGAATTGGAGGAAGACAACATGGAGGGAGAGAGACCAGTTAGGGGACATTGTGATTATCTGGGATGGCAATCATGGCACAGTGGGTGCAGAGAGTGGCCATGTTTGAGAGATTTTCAAGAGGTCTTTTGGAAGGTGTGTGGCTTGGACCTATGGATGGACCTACAATGGACATAGGCACTGAAAAAAGAAACACAGGAGGCAAGATGGGGAGGCAGAGTGGGGCTGGGGGAAGTCACAGTGTGGAACTTGGAGTCACACAACTTCATAACCTTGAACGAGTCACTTAACCCCTCTGAGCTGCCTTTCCTTCCTCTGTAAAGTGGGGAGACAAGCAATGCCTGTCTCATAGAGTGGTGGTGAGAATTAAATGAGTAGTGGTTAGCACAGCGATTGGCACACGCAAGCTATCACTGTTAAATCCATTCCAGGGGCTGCTTTCCATAAACACGTGGTTACTATAGATCTGAAGTCTTGGAGGAAGACCTGGCTGAAGGCAAAGATGTGAGATTTATTTCCCTGAGTCATTGCTCCCACCCACAGGGTAAATGTTTGCAGTATTAATATTGAAGTGTTTAAGAGAATCAACTCTTCACCGAACAGCTTCAGATACTTTAGAGGAACTTGTTTGCATTCAAACAATTAATATGCCAATTGCAAACCAAGCCACTTCACTCATCAGAGCCACCCAGGGACCAGTTGGTGGTAACATTTCAGTGTTTAGTGTGAGTTACAGTATGTGTTGTGGAACAATAAAACTGTAGTTAGTTTTTTTTTTCGAATGCATTTCACTTTTCCTCTTTCAGATTTTCAGACTGGTGTTCCTTCCCAGTAAGTAGCCTGTATTCATGGAGTGTCTGGAATCACTTTGAATTCACTTGTATTTTGGTTCTAATGGCAGCCACAGGGCTCTAAGTGGCCAGCTGTCCTGAGAAGGGCGTGCTAATTGCATTGAGGGGCAGGTTCATCTGTAATCTGTGAGTCTATTTGAGGTGGCCTGGGGTGGTGGCTGATTCGAATTAAGATAATAAACATATAATTTCTTCCAACCAGCCTCCGGGCTCTACATTTCTCCCATCTGAGGAGTCTAGTTGAACAAGAAAAAGTCCTGTGACTAGCAAAGGAAGAGATGAATGGGTAAGAAGATGGACCAGCTGTAAACTAAATAGTCATACCAGGTATTTGCGCTGTGCACAATACAGCCCCAAAACTTAGTGGCATAGGACAGCAACTTATTAGGCTGGGCGGGTTTTCTGCCGGTTTCCTCTGGGTTCATCATATGGTTCTCTTCAGTTGGGACCTGGATTCAGCTGGGATGGCTGGGGATTTCTGGGCCTCTCTCCAAGGCATGGGTCACCCTAACCTTCCTATAGGCAAAGCAGTCTCAGGGCAGATGTCTCATTGGCCAAAACAAGTCACACGTCCAAGTCTAGGGTCACTGTTGGGGAGGAGACTACAGAAGGGCATGGATTCTGAGAAGGGGGTGTCATTGTGGGTCATGGCTATGACAGTCTATCTCAATAGCCTATGCAACATTTCAGACTTAATAACTGCAGATTCACTGACTCATATAAAGGTGGTGGTGCAGATGCTGATAATAATCATAATACTATTATTAATAATATACACCATTTTATACAGCACTAATGAAGTGTTAGGGGTTTAAATAATGCATTCAATTATTTAATCTTCACAGGAATTCTTCCAGGTTGGTACCACCTCCCAGTTTATAATTGAGGAAACCGAGGCTCAGAAAAGTGAAGTACATTTCTCAAAGCATATCTAGTGGCTACAGTTCTTCCTGAAGTGGGAGAGGCATGACTTGAATCCTTCCGCCGTGGCCAAGAGATCTTTGGACAAAGCTAAATCACAATTCCACAGGAGGTCCTTTGACTTGTTGAGATGTAAGCAGCTTTCACCAAATAGCACTTTGATGAGCTGAGCCTAAGTGAATCAGAAACACGAGGCTGATATTTGTCTTCATCTGCACAGGGGTTTGGCAGTTTCCAAATTCCCTTGGCAAGCAGGATTCAGGCTCTGCCAAAACCTGGGGCTCTGGCATCATCGTGCAGGCCTGCAGGTCAGGCCAGGCCTCCAGCCCTCCTGCTGTTCCAATCAGAGTCCGGCCCCTTGTGGTTTCTCCTGCTGCTTCTTCCTGTCCTCAAGTCTCAGGGATAGAACAACAGGAGGTATCTCCATGACTCCAGCACATGTGGGGGCAAGATGGCACAGGCATGGTTTGCTGGAGCACTGTCAGGGCAGCAGTCCCTTAGGTGCCAAGAAACCCAGGCTTCGGAAATTGTGGCGGCAGGGCCCCTCCACAGGGCGTGCTGTCGGGAATAAGCTCTGGGTGAGGAGAAACTTGGCCTAACAGGACAGGGAGGCTCACACCCTGGGCCAAGAGGGAGGCGATCTCGCCTGATTCCTTTAAGATCCTGGGATGTCAATCTGAGAAAAAGCAGGTTTCAGGCTGAAAAAGTTTGGAACAGACCTGGTTAATTATGCATTTTTTATTGCAAAACTTCTCAGAATCTTTGATATTCTGATGTGTCAATCCAAGAAGGGAAGCAGGGGCGCGCAGATTCAAGCTTGTTTGACAGTGGAGCATTTGGCTCAGCATTTTTTGGGGCTGCTGTTCTACAGGAGGCACAAAAAGATGCTGCTTTCAGTGTGCTCTCCCTGCAGGCGCCAGAACGCAGACTCATGATGGCAGGGACTACCCCTGCTTTGTTGATATCTCTATAGTCTAGTACATGAGAAGTGGCCAGTGAAAGTTGGGTAAATAAATCAGTGAGTGAATGAATGTAGGACATTCACAGAATCCCTCGCTCTCTTCCTTTCCTCCTCCCTCCCTCCCTTCCTCTTTCCCTTCCTTCCTCCTTCTTTCCTCCCTGCTTCTCCTCTCTTCCTCCCTTCCTTCCCTTTCTCTTCCTTTCTTCTTTCCTCCCTTCCTTTCTCCTCCCTCCCTCCTTCTCTCCCTCCCTCCCTTTCTCCCTCCTTCTCTTTTCCCTTCCTCCTTTCTTTTTTTCTTTCCTCCAAGTATTTCTTACGGTAGTCACTGTGCTAGATCCTAGGGACACAATATAGAAACAGAACAAGACGGGGAATGGTGGCTCACACCTGCAATTCTAGCACTTCGGGAGGCTGAGGTGAGAGGATTGCTTGAGGCCAGGAGTTTGAGACAAGCCTGGGCAATATGGAGAAAACCCACCTCTACAAAAAAATACAAAAAATTAGATGGATGTGGTAGTGGGTTCTTGTGGTCCCAGCTACATGGGAGGCTGAGGTGGGAAGATCGCCTGAGCTTGGGAGGCCAAGGCTGCAGTGAGCAGTGATCATGCCACTACATTCCTGCTGGGTGACAGAGTGAGACCCTGTCAAAATAAAATAAAATAAGAACAGTTCTGTTGTATGGTAATTCATTAATTACAATTTTTGACTTCAGGAGACTAACTGCTTTTGCTCCCTTAACTGGAGAAGGGTGAAAGGCTGAGAGCTGTCCAGACGACCCTGCCGAGGGCTAGAGAGCAGACACCTCCTGACCCATAGCAGGTTGGCTGCTTGTTTGTCAAGATCAGACTGCAGGCTACTTCTTGCTCCCCTGGAATATCCCTTAGCACCTCTTTGTCGAGAAGGCCTCCTATTACCCAGACCTGGCAAAGCAGGCCACCAGCCCTCTAGCTCCCTTTCCTTGCTGCTGCTAAGGCCAAGACACTGGCCTGGCAGCTTTGGGAGGGCAGGGGCCATGTCTGCCTTGCCCACCAGGGAATCTCTAGTACCTGTCGGGGACCTGGCATTAGTGAATACTTGACAAATGATGAAGTCCAGAAACAATGCTGATTTAAGGCATAGGTCCACATCCATGGGTAAGAAAGAAACAAAAGGAGCAGTGTATGAAGTTCTGGGGTGTTCCTGACTTCTTGATCATGGTCCCAGCTCTGAAACTACATATGTGCCCCTTGCAAAGGCTGCAGAATGTTCCCCCAGCCTCCCTTACTGATTCCTGAAGCTGGAGCTCAGGAAATACCCCTCCATCTCCTCTTATGACCAACTTTTCTTCCAGGGATCTGGAAATACCATTTCTCATCCCATGTTGGCCCTTAGCATCTGCATCTGGTGGCTACTGGTTGGTTCCATCAGATGCTAGAGCTGAACTCACCTCCTAGATTCAAGGCAAAGATCTGAATACATGGGGAGTGTTAACATTGTATTATCATAAGCATGGAAACCTGCTTCAGATCACAGTATGGTGATGATGAGAAGGGGGTGTCTCTGGGGCTTCCTCCAGCATTGAACACCCACAATAGGTAGCTGACTGGGCTAGGGCCTGTGCTCATGCCTTACACAATCCTGCAAGACAGGGGCTGCTGCTCCATTTTACAGATGAGGAAACAGTCTCAGTGGACAAAAGTGACATGTCAGAATCCAAGTGGCTGAATGGGCTTTGAAATCAGGCATGGCTGATTCTGAAGCCCCAGTGACTTTCAGACAGCCGCCTTGTCTCCTGAAGGTATGAACTTTTCAAGGCTGTCTCCTCAGCTCTGATGACAAAGGGAAAGCCTCAGGGAGAGATGTGAGGAGTGAGACCACAAGGTCACAGGGTAAGGGAAGAGGAGTAAAGCTACTCCTTCATTTATTCATCCATTAAGATAATACTGAGATCTACTCTGGGCTAAAGGCTGGGGACCCAGTAGAAAGAAATATAGCCTGTAGACTCAGAAGGTGAGTCACATATTTTTTAAGTATGATAAGTCTTCATTTAACATTGTTGATAAGTTCTCAGAAACTGTGACTTTAAGTCAAAGAATGTGCTATATAACAAAATCATTTTCCCATAAGCTAATTGATATAAACAAGAAGTAAGTTCCTATGGCATGCAGTAGGTCATTTTGCTTAATGTCACAGTTTCTGAGGGCCTATTGATGATGTTAAGTGAGAATTTGCTGTATTCCACACATAAATGTAAATGGAACCTGTGAACAGTGCTCTGAAGGAGAAGTGTGAGATGATAAGAGACATAATGAGAGGGCTCTGGTTTGTTCAAGGAGGATAAGGTGGCTTCCCTGCAGAGGGAATGTTTCATCTGGGATCTCAAAAATGAGTAGGGGCTGGGGACAGTGGCTTGCACCTCTAATCCCAGCTACTTGGGAGGCTGAGGCAGGAAGATCGCTTAAGGCCAGAAGTTTGAGACCAGCCTGGGAAACATAGCAAGAACACTCCCTCTTAAAAGAATGAGTAGGAGTTAGCAAGATGTGAGAGTGTGGAGAGGCAGGAGCAAGAAATAGTCCAGAGAGCACCAAAAGCATATGCAAAGGCCCTGGGCCGAAGAGATCCTGGGTCTGTCCGGAGAACAGTGAAAAAAGTCTGGGTGGTGTCTTGAAGTTGGAGCACAATTAGCTACTGAAATATTTTAAGCACAGGAGGGGACATAATCATGTTTGAATTTGGAAACTATCCTTCTGGCTCCTACACAAGGGGGTATGCTTCATTGTAACTGCTGAGAGTAAGCCTGGCAAGAAGGGACTGGGAGCTGAATCTCGGCAAGTCAATTCCTTTTGAGAGGCCTCAATTTCTCCATCTCTATAGTGAGTTTGTAGTCAATGGTGGATACTTTCCATCTAGTTTAAATGCTCTGTGGCACTTCCTTACTCTCTATGCTGTCCCTCAACAGGACTTTCAGTCCTGGGGAGAAGAAATTCTTTGTATTTCTCAGTCTTCCTCTTGACCATTTTACCATGAACTCTTGGAAAGTGAATTCCCATGTGCACACGGATGCATATTTGTAGATACTTAGGAAGAGAATAGGAACTGTTTTCTTGGGAGGGCCATGCAATGGTATCTATTGAACCCAAACATGTGCAGCTATGATTTAGAGATTCTACTCCTTGGTGTCAACCTTCAAAAAATACCTGCATGTGGGCAAAGAAGGATTATAGGAAAATATTCATCGTAGTATTGCTTGTGAATAGAGAAAAAAATGGAGACAACTTTAAAGTCACTACCTGACAACAATTAAAAGGTATGGCACATTTATAGTATTAGATACTAAGCAGCCATTAAAAGAAATTGTGGCTCCTCTGTGTAACAATGTGGAAAATCTCTGAGACATTCTGATGTGTGAAAAAACAAGTTACGGAAACATACATACAAGTTATGCAAACATACATACATACAGTTGGGAAAATAAGTATAGAAATGTCCCCCACACCTAGCCTTTCTTATGAGAGTATGAGACTGAGGCTCAGAGACTGAAATGATTATTTAATCACATAGCTAGCAAAAAGAAGCAGGATTCAAAACCAGGTCTATTTGAGTCCAAAACTTACCTTCTGTAGTTACTCGTAAGTCCTGTCAACCTGCGGGCACACACTCTCAGCGAGACCCGGCTCTCAGCACTCCTGTTTCTCTATATGTAATCTGTACATATATGTAATCTATACACACCACACAAAGAATAGAGATTGAAGGAGAAACACTTAACTGATAATAGTGGTTGTCTCTGGATGGGATTGGAGATGACAGCGTCAAGGAGGACTCCTGCCTTCTTAGTAATATTCTAATATTTCTAAAAGGAGGAATGTTAGTTTCTTGTGTAAACTAACATTAATTAAAAAATAAGACAGAGCCCTTGAAGACACTCAGGAAAATATTAACCATATTTACAACTGCAGAGGCCATGTGGTAGGGCCTGAGGGGTGGTTTCCCATTTCTATATTTCTATATTTGATAGTCTTTACACTTTTTTCATAATGAGAATATATTTATATAGTCATGGTGCAATAAAAAAGGGAAAAAAGGAAGTAGTCCTTCCAATTTAGTTCTTCTCCAAATGAGCTCAGCAACGAGAACACTTGGGGGAGCTGAGGCCCAGGGAGCCCATGTGATTGCAAGCAAGCATGCAGTGAGTCAGTGGGCGAGGGAAGAAAAGGCCATCCACAGCGCCCGGCTGCATCACGTGACCCCAGAATGCAGCAAACTGGCTTGTTTTGCAATCCAGGCAGGTCCTTTAACCACAGGCCTGCTGGCTGGCCCCATGCGGCTGGGGGAGAAGGTGCCAACCCTCTTCCCTCGAATGAGTCATGCCTCTTCCCGCAATAGCTGGGGGGGGATGTGGAGAAGTTGGTCTCCGGGGCAGAGGCACAGCTACTGCTCATAGGCCCTGCCAGGCTGGGCACCCTGAAGGTTGAAGGGCCCCAGGGGCCTTTGGGGATGTCCCTAGATGGGGGCTGTAGATGAACATAATCATGGACATCTCTTGTAGGCCATTGCAGTCAGTGCCCACATGTGTTGATTATAAGGAGGTGGGGTTTTGGGGACCTTCTATTGCACACTGATGTATATTATGTCCAGGATACTGGGCCCATGTGTCCTATTACCTGTGAGACAGGGCTGACTGTCCCCATTTCACAGATGATAAAACTGAGCCTCAATGGAGGTAAGTAACTTGTCCACATTCTGAGGTCCAAGCTAGTAAGTGGTATAAATGGGGTGCAAAACCAAGTGTAGCTAAATCCAAGACCAGGTGATTTTCACTGCACTCTGGTTGCTTCCTTTGGGCAGAAAATATGTGCTCCCAGCTGTGTGTCCTTGGAGGCCACTTCTCATGGGACACGCTCTCAGGTTTGCTTATAGAAGCAGAAGATGAGGCACAAGAAAAGTGGGAGGTCCTTAGGGATGGCAGCACAGTGATTCTCTGCCAGGTACCAGCCTGAGCACATCACTGCCATATGCTCTTCAGTCTCCACAACAACTGGTGAAACAATCGTGCCTGTTTTGCAGATGGGCAAACTGAGGCTCAGAGACTGAAATGATTATCTAATCACATAGCTAGCAAGAAGAAGCAGGATTCAAAACCAGGTCTATTCGAGTCCAAAACTTACCTTCTGTAGTTACTCGTAAGTCCTGCCAACCTGCGGGCACACATTCTTGGCGAGACCCGGCTCTCAGCCCTCCTTTCTCTCTTCAGCCCAACTCTTGTCCATGAGGCAAATTCTCATTCATGCTTCAGTACTCCATGGGACATGGCCTTCTCCATGAAGCCTTCCTCAGCTCCTCAGTGAGGGATTCTCACCTCTGTCCTCATGGCTTCCTGACCTCAAAGACCTGTAATGACATAGGTCACATGGCTTTGTGGCTCTCCCTACTTATCTATTCAGGAGACTGGTGATCACATGTAGGGTAGAGACAGTATCATGTTTTTCAATTTTTTAACCCCTTTGATTTTTTTTTTTATTTATTCAGAAGCTAATGCAGTGGTTACATCATAGCTTTATGGATCCACAGATCTGGGTTTGAATCTTCACTAGGCTGGGTGATGTTGGGGCAATTACTTTACTTATTTCAGCTCCATCTGTAAAATGGAAATTCTAATGTCTACATCTCAGTGACCTTGTAAAGATTAAGTGAAATATATATGTAAAGTGCTTAGCACAGTGCCTGAGGCACAGAGTGCATAAATATTATGACCCACTGGCTTAGTCCTGTGGTATATCAAGACTTGACTGGGGAAAGTGTGGCTGTCCTTGTTAATGAGGCTGCCCCTACTCCATTGCAAGGACTTGATTTGAAGCTTTGAGTACTGCCCACAGTTTATAACTTTACCCCCTGAATATATCATTCTTTATTCTTCAGAGGTGGCCATGGATGGTGACTTACACCCTAAATTTACAGATGCAGATAGGAATGGGATGGGCTGAGCAAATCTCTAAACAAAAATTCACATATGAAATTATGTAAAAATTAAACAAACATTTTCAAAAATGTTAATTCTTAGTTCTAACCAAGGAGATTAAAATGATTTACGTTAATCATTTAAGAAAAAAATGTTATTAATGACCAATGCTGGTGAGGTTGGAATGAAAATCATGCATGCACTGCTTGTGACCATCCAAATTCTTACAAGCTTTTGGGACAATATGAGAACATATTGTCACACCCTGATATTCAAGGTGTGAAAATGATCTTGAGGAAAGGACTAGCTATAAGCAAAAGATGTGTGTTACATCAATATCTAGAACAGCAAAACCCTAGATAATTCTCAAAGGCCCATTTACAAGGGTGTGGTAAATGAAATCATGGTGCACCAATGTAATCATCAGCAGTGTTGATGACAAAGATCTCATGGAAACATACAAGATGTTTATTATACATTACCTAGAAAGCAGAATATTAACTGGAATTTATGAATGTAACTATGTTAAATTTATGCAAGAACAAATATGGGCAAGAAGAGAAAGGTCAGAGGCGAAATGAAAGGGTTGAGATGGGTGGCAGGCTGTGGATCGCCTCCAGTGCTATTTGGACTGAGTCACCCTGTAAGTGACCTGAAGAGGTCCCCTGACTTTGGGATTTCATGGCCAGCATCCTTTTCACCAGGCAGTCCAGACTCTCTGCATCTCCTGCATTCAGGCCTCACCACTGATTCCTCAAATACATTTTCCAAAGATAGAAATGCATATAATTGCCTTTTGTCTGGCTTCAGAAAGCCAAATGGCCTTTACTAGGGATTTTTGGGAGGCCAAAGCACTCTGATCTTGACTGGAAGGTTCCCCATGAGTGCTCTTCAGCATTGATCAGCAGGAGCTGATCTCGCTCAATGGCTCCTAAGAGCTCTTTTCATAGAAACAAAGAGCTTTCATGATGGGGAAGCCATCTTAGGCCTAATGAGGCTGGTGGGAACCTCGTTAGTTAAGTTAGGAAATTTGGCTGCCCAAGAAATATATGTGGGAATCATGCACTTTGGCCTACAGGGTCATTTTCAACTTTAGACAAGGCAATATCATGGATGGAACCATTCATGTCTGAAAGGAACTGCAGAGGGGCCTCTGCAGGTAGAAAATTCCCAGCTCTCCAGCCACCCCACAGTCTCCCCAGAATCTTCTTTAGCTCCATCCACAGATGCAGGCTCCTGTCCTATGCTTCCATCACAGATAGCCCCGCCTTTGCCCAGCTGCTGAGAACAGGCGTGCACTGCCAGTCAACACCCAACCCTGCCACCAAATCGCACTATTACAACCTGAGTAACCTGAGTAGGCAAAGAGAAGTGCTTTGGCTCAGTAATGATTTTACCTTTACTATTGTTCATTTGTTCATTCACTCATCTGTTCTTCAGTTATGAAGCACCACCTGCTCTATGTCAGACACAGACACTGTTCTAGATCATGGGGATATGCCAGGACCATGGTGGCCCCAAGTGAATAATAAAAAGCCAAGAAAATAACATATTTACATGAGTTCTATAAAAGAAATCAGTGGGGTGTTCTTTTCTGATGCAGAACAATGGGTAGGGATGAGCAGGGCAGACCTTCCTTCCATTGGGGTGGCTACTGGGGAACTTTTTGAGGTAGTGTCAGTTCAGCAAAGGCTGGAAAGGGGAGGAAAAGCCAGCTATGCAAGAATCTGGGGGAAGAGCCTTCCAGGCAGAGGGAACAGCTGAGCAGAGTGCAGGCAGGGAGGAACTGGTGTGGTCCAGCGTGCTAGAAACATGCTTCCCTGTCTCCTTTCACTCCTCTCTTTCTGTCTGTCCCTGCTCTCTTGCTCTCCCTCTTTCCCTCCTTAGTTGATCATTTTTGTCCCCATCCGTATCTTGGTGTCTGATTGACTTACTTCGAGTCTGGCCATGTTTGTCTCTGTCTCTTTTATTTTCTTCCCCTTCCTGACTCTTTCAGTCTCCCTAACTCCGAATAGCTTTTTCCCAGCCTTTGTCTTTTTTTGCACACTCCCACCCCTGCCCTGTGTTTTCTTAGTGCCTCTCACTTTCTCTCTCCCCCTCCCCTTTATCTCTCTCTCTCCACCTGACTTTGGTTCCAGTGCTATGTCCCTCTTTCCGCCCCTTTGCCTGATGTCTCTTCTGTTCCTGGGCAGAGGCCGCTGGGAAGCGCGTCTGATTGATATTGCTACTGACAGTCAAAGCCTTTAAATCATTCCCACAGTGCGTCTCTGGGAGGTGGTAAGCCGGCAGTGTTTTGTCTGTACCCGAGAAAGACAGGGGTTTCTAAACAAATATATACATTCTCAGAAATCCAAGTGATTGTATTTCTCCATTGATCCATGCTGAGTAAGTGTAAAGCTTGCCTGGTGTCTGCAGGGAATCACAGAGTGAGCGGGCTGTGCTGGGTGAGGAAGGAGGAGGGGGCTGAAACTGGCCCAATGGGGCCCAGGCTCCAAGGACCTGAACAAAGTGGCTTACTTGTAGAAGGGAAAGGGATTACTTCCTGTTGGGAGAATCAGAGAAAGCTTTATGATGCTTGAGCATCATCTCTTTTGTGAAACCCTTCCTGACCACCTCTCTCATCCCTAAAGAGAAGTGACAGCTCCCCTCACATGTGAGCTCCACTGTGTATGGATGTCTGGCTCAGCACCTAGAACTCTTTTTTATTTTTATTTTACTTTAAGTTGTGGGATACATGTGCAGAATGTGCTGGTTTGTTACATAGGTATAAATGTGCCATGGTGGTTTGCTGCACCCATCAACGTGTCATCTAGGTTTTAAGCCCAGTATGCATTAGGTATTTGTCTTAATGCTGTCCCTCCCCTTGTCCCCAACCCCCTGACAAGCCCTGGTGTGTGATGTTCCTCTCCCTGTGCCCATGTGTTCTCATTGTTCAACTCCCACTTACGAGTGAGAACGTGCAGTGTTTGGTTTTCTGTTCCTCTGTTAGTTTGCTGAGGATGATGGTTTCCAGCTTCATCCGTGTCCCTGCAAAAGACATGAACTCATTCTTTTTCTAATGGCTGCATAATATTCCATGGTATATATGTGCCTCATTTTCTTCATCCAGTCTCTCAATGATGTGCATTTGGGTTGGTTCCAAGTCTTTGCTATTGTAAACAGAGCACCTAGAACTCTTTAGGGTCATTATTTGTTCATAGGTTTTTCTTCTTTAGGGGACTATGCACTTCCTAGAAACAATGATCCAGGGGTACTTAATTCACACCCTCCGTGGCCATCCTGCAGCCTCTATCCTATCTGGCTGAGTCTGTTTCCAATTCAGTGCTCTTTATGGGGGTCTATGTAAGTAACACTCACTCAGTAGGTTGGTGGCTTTGGGAAAGTGCCTCAGTTTCCTCATCTCTAAAATAAGTGTATCAATGAACCAGCGCAGGTGAAGTGCTTGGAATACGATAGAAAATGCTCAGTCATGTGAGCTCTTGTAACTGCTATTACCATTATTATCACTGTTGTCATCATCATCATACTCTTCAGGCTTGGGTGCCTTGTAGTTAATTGGCCATAGAATCCTAGCTCTCTTAGTTATGAATGGATAGGACACTATAATTTTTGATGCAGAAGGCTAGTTATAATCCATGTGGGCTTTTTTATTCTCTGAAATATATTCTTTCACATCCCGAGTCTCTGTGCAGAGATATTTGGAGAACTCAGGGACTGGTTTGGGCATAACAGATGTTTGAGGAGTATTAGTTCCTTCTCCTCTCTCTCTGCTTGTCTGCTTTGCCTGGAAAGGCCTCCTCTGTTGTGTATCTGCCTCCCTACTTCCAAGCTGATGCAATTGTTTCTTCCCAGTGGTGTCTTGCCTGATGCCTGGCCCTTGCCAGCTCTTGGGAAGGTGAGATGATTCCCTTCAGTTGGTCATAGCTACACAGCATAAGCTCTGCCTGAGTGTTTGCCACAGTAGTTTAAGAGGCTCAATTTATTTGATTCCAAAACTTTTTACTGCTTCTTTCTGAGGTTTGGCTTATTCTAGTGTAAAATGGGAGTATCATGTACTTATACCTTAAATGAAGATTAAATGAACTAATACGTTCTCCATCCTTACCCTAGTGTAAACTATCCAAGGGCAAAGGCTATGTCTGATTCATCTCTGAAGTCCTAGAGCTGTGCTATCCAGCATGGCAGCCATGAGCCACATGTTACTATTGAGAGCTTTATATATGGCTGGTCTGGATTGAGCTGAGCTGCAAGTTCAAAATACACAGTGGATTTCAAAGACTGAGGGCAAAAAACATGCAAAATAACTCAATGTTTTTTATATTGATTGCATGTTGAAATGATAAGATTTTGAATATGTTGAGTTAAATAAAACGAGTGAAAAAAGTATTAAATATTAATGGTATTTGTATTTTATATTAAAATAAATATATACTATGCTACAATACTCACTTTATAATAACAAAAATAATTATTACATAGTAACTTTATTATTTAAATTGATTTTACTTATTTCTTTTTTATTTTTAAAAATATGGCTACTAGAAAATTTAAAATTACATGTGTGGCTCACATTATAGTTCTACTGGGTGGCACTGCCTTAGGACACAGTTAACAATCTGCTTACCGCAAGTGAGCAATGCATGTAGATGGGAATGGATGGGTAAATAAGTAGAGGAGGAAAAATAAAAGTAAATGAATGGATAGATAAATAAATTAGTAAATTAATAAAGGGTTAAACGAACAGATGAAAATAGATGAATAGAGAGATAAATGAATAAATAAATAGAAGGATGGATAGATGGGGCAGGTGAATAGATGAATGGAAGGAAGAATTAATAGAATGAGGGAGTGAAAGAATGGCTATAAATAAAAATGAATAATTAGTAGATAAATAAATTAAGAAAAAAGTTAAATATGTAAATGCCTACATACAAAAGATAGACACATAAAGAAATAAAGAACAGATGTCCGGAGAAACCAGGACTTGACTTTGACAAGAAGGTTTGTTCTTGTTCCTGGGCCTGTGGAGTCTAAGTCTTTGACCAAGAAAAAAGGTTTACCCTTGATCTTGGGGAATTTATTATTTTAATTGTTAGCCTTCATCAGAGGTTATTGGAATTTCTTCCCCCTCAGACAGTTTATCACTTGTAAATTATTTGTCACATCGTTGCAATTCTATCCAGATCCTTAACTTTCTAATCATGCATCTTTTATGGGGTCTCCTTTAAAGAAGCACTATAATTACGTGCCAAGGGTCTCAGTAAATTTTATCAGGCCATAAAATATTATACTTTAATTATTTGAAAGGGGAATAAAGGCAAATGTTCCCTCTGCAATACTGGTGATCAATACTGCAGGGCCCATGGTAGCCCAGGCTGGTGCAGACGCCCTTCTTGGGGAGTCCAAGAGCTGATGCTTCCTGTCCCATGCAGAGTCTGCACACAACAGTGGGGCCTGGTGTACTGATGGCCTTTCTTGATTCCCCAGTGGACATTGGGCAATAATCAACTCATAAGTATACATCCTTGAAGTGGTTTCATTAGGCGAAGCAAGTCTAAGCAGTTGTTGGGGAGAATGCTGTTATTTCACCTTTTTCACAGATGAGGAAACTTAGACCCAAAGGGCAATTAGACATGGGATTCTAACTTAGGTCTCCTGGCTCCATGGTGGTTTTCTGCCCCCCTCATCATGTCACAACTGCTATTATGAACTTGATTCAGAGGATATATATGAGTTTACTGAGTGGATTTTTTTTTTTTATTCTCAAGGGTTTGGAAGTAGTAATACTCTGGCGTCAGCACTTTGCCTCCAACATTTAATTAGGTTGTTTCTTCATGTTAAACCCTGGTGCTGGAATGAAGCAGTAAACAAGGCAGACAAGCCCATGTTCCTCTGGGGCTTGTGGTCTCCCTGGGGAGACAGGCATTGGTCAAATTATCATACAAACCATAGAAATTGCACCTATCATGACTGCTAAGAATGAAGGGTACATGGGTTTTGAGACCTTAAAAACAGGAGCCTTTAATGAGTTGAGGGAGGTCATGGAGGCTTTCCAGAGAAAATAAGTGATCTGAGATCTGAAGGATAAGTAGAAGTTAACTAGGTAAACAGAGGAAGGGAGAGTGTTCTAGGTAGAGGGAACAGGATATGCAAAGGGCCTGTGGCAGGAAGAAAATGCAGGGTGGCTGAAGCCAAGTTACCAATGACAGACAGAGTTAGTAAGCCATGTTAAGGCCTTTGGTTTTTACCCTAAAAGCAATGAAGTTTCAGGCAGAGGTTTAGTGAAGAGAGACTTCTTTAAAGGCAGTGCAGGTAAGATAAAGCTCAGTGCAGGAGACGAGAGGAGGAAGGATTGTGTGTACAAATGAAAGTCAGAGGACTCGTTTACTCTAAGCACAGAGGTGAATTCAAGAAGAGGAGGAAGGCAGGAAAGGATGACTAATCCCCACTCATCCTTCTGGTTTTGGCTTCTATGTCATTTCCTTAGGGAGTCCTTTTCTGACCCCCAGTTTGGCCAGTCCCTTCACCCCCACAAGTGGTTCCCCACCCTTCACTTCCCTTTTCACAACACACACACTATTACTGCCACATCTTACTTAATGGCCTCTTCCCCTCACTGGCTGTGGGCCCCATCCGTGAGGGCAGGGATCAAGTGTGTCTTGAACACTGCTAGTTGCTCCACTCCCAGCCCAGGGCCTGGTACATGGTTGGCAGGCGAGACATATTGCTAAATGAACAAATGAATGATTGGGACACCCATGAGTGGTGGAATTTGTAAGGGGCATGTTTCCTCCAGACTCTTTCCCTCATTGCCCCTCCCATCCCATCTCTCTCTCCCTCCTTATTCACTTCCCTTTTTTGCCCTAAAGCTGAACTCTTCCAAACTTCCTGTTTAAGGGGCTCTCATCTGAAAGATGTGGTTGACATATGAGAAAATCTCTGAGCTCCGGGTCTGAAATATCAATTTCCCCAGAAAGGGTTGTGCTGTGTATGTTCTTTATACAGACAAATTACCTTGATTGTTGATTCAAGAGGTAAAATGACTTACTTGGTCATGATTATGTAGAAGGAAGATGACAGAGCAATTTATGAAAATCCTTCATGTCACCATCTCAGAGTGACTCATCTTGTTACTAGGTTTGCTGCTAATTATCTTAGGGTGAACGGTGAACACTTTTTGGTAAACCCTGTTGTCACCAAACTGGCGAAATCCCTAGCAAAACATTTCTGACCAAAGACAGTTTTATATATATATATATATATACACATGTATATATGTGTGTGTGTGTGTGTATGTATATATATATATATATATATATATATATATATATATAAATACTTATGATGATGGTAGCAAGCATTTGTTCCAGGAACTTTCCCAACTCTATATCAGGTGTCTACCAGTCCAAAATGCTGAATTTTCTGGCAGGATTTTCTTTCTGGGCAACTAAGTATCTGTTATTACATAAAGATACTCTTCAAATAATAACTGGAAACAACGATCATTTACTTTGTTCCCAAATCTGCAATTTGAGCAGGGTTTGGAAGTGACACACAATACTCCACACAGCATCAGCTGAAGCAGCTCAAGTGAGGCTGAAGATAAACTGCCGGGATGACCCACTGACAAGGCTGGCGCCAGGGTTCTCGCTCTTGGTCCCCTTTACAGGAGGCTCTCCACAACATACCTTGGGCCTCCTCACAGCATGGTGGCTGAGTTCTAATCATGAGCATCCTAAGTCACAAGAGGTGGAATTCACCAATTTCTTAAGGTCTTGGCGAAGCTTGCAGGAGGTCACTTTTGCTATATGTTATTGGTCAAAGTGTCATAAAGCTGCCTAGATTCAAGGGAAGGGACGGAGACTCCTTCTTTCAATGGGAAGTGCTGCATTTTAAAAAAGTGCTATATTTTTAAATTTTTAAATATAAAATTTAAAAATTTTATATTTGTAAATTTGCTATTTACAAATAGCAAATATATGTAACCATCTCAGGGGTTCCTTGAACCATTACTTTGATCCAGTATCATCTATCACTGGTTAGGGTGACCTGATAATTTCTTGTCCAAACTAGGAGACCTTAAAAGAATAAAATGGGATGCTAGGAATAACAGGACCAGCCAATGAGTGCAAAACAATGGTCCCAGACAAACCAAGTATTCAGTCGCCCTGTCTCTGGGGGCAAAGATTAATGCCTTTTAGGTGTCCCCAAGCAATTTTGGAAAGATTATATAAAGACCACTGTGTTCTGTTTAAGTATGGAATCCACTTAAGAAAATCTTGGTAAATCCTTTAAAAATAAAGAGTAAATAAAGAGTAATGTCTTACCTGGATATGAAATCATCGTTTATCTGGACATCTCATTTAAATAGAGCTACTGCTTTCCTGAATCTTCCAGTTAACTGTACTGCTCCGTGAGTTATGCCACCATTAGATACAGAGCACCCCTAAATGCCACTGGCTGTGGCTGTCCTGGCCTCTACTTGCTGAGTGTTCATTCTGTACTTGTCTCTGGGCTAGATCCCGAGAAAGCAGATGTGGGTAAAACATGAACCTGACCTCTAGGTGCTTGTAACTTATTAGATAAGACAGTCTAGAGCCAATAGGCCATTGTAAAATTCAGTGATAAGGGCCACCATAGAAGTAAAAGTCAGATTTTGTGGGAGCAATAAAAATCAGGTAAATGGAAAAATTCCAGAAAGATTTCACAGAGGGAAGTTACATCAATTTACTGTTTTAATTACCTAGAATGTCTCAGGCACTTTGCTAAGCATTTTATGTCTATCATCTCCTTCAATATTTAGAAAACCCCCTTTGGGGTAAACATTATTACTATCTGTAAGTTATAGATGAGGAAACTGAGGCTTAGAGAGAGGAAGTAATTTGCATACAAGTGGCAAGCAACAGAAGCAGAACGGGTACTGGGGAAAGTGTGACGGAAGATGAGTAGGAGCTTCCAAAGCCTTGAAGAAGGGCATTTTAGGCAGAGGAACCAGCACTGGTAAGGATGGGCTAGTGGAATAGAGCTTGACTAGCCTGGGATAAATCTGGCCATTTGTTGTGCTTGGAGCACAGCTGCGGGGAGGTGGCGGAAGGAGGGTGAAGTAGGGTCTGGCTGGGAAGGAATCTTGCAAGGTAGAGAGTTTGGATATTCCCAACAGGCACTGGGCTCCTTCTGTGTGTTGAGGCAAGGAAGTGAGTAGAATGTTAGTCTTAGCCAGCGTGAGCCAGCTCCAGCCTGGGCCCCTTGCTCTTCCAGGAGTAATCCGTGGACCAGCAGGATCACCCAAAAGTTGCTTAGAAACATAGCATCAGGTCTCACCTCAGACCTATCGAATCAGTGTCTGCATTTTAGCAAGATCCCCAGGTGCTTTGTCTGCACATGAAACCTTGGGAAGCACTTTTCTGGCACAGCGCAGTTCCCAGAGTTCATAACTTTATCTTTGCTCACAGTCAAGACCTTCCGCTGATAGTTTCCAGTATTGCAAATCCAAACAATGGTTTGCAAAGGTTTTGAGAAAAGGTCAGAGGTGTAACATCAATAACTGTGATCCAGCCATTAGATTTCCTTCTCCTGGTTGTTCTAGTGACCTGCACACTCTGCAGTGGAACCAGGCCCAGCTCTGGTTCCACCCACCCCCTCCAAAAACTTGGAGGAAGTCAGCTCAACAATACAATTTTGTGGGCCACTGGCAGGTACCACTGGTCACTGAGTTCTTATATCATGAGTCCATTGTTGCTACTCCCTGGGGGCAAGTATAGATATGAACAGATCCCTACTCTGCCTGGCTCATAGAACAGCTAACCAAGGCTGAATGGGAAAGTGACATCATATTTTACCAGGACAGGGGCTTTCTCTGGTGAAGCTTGGGGGTCTGAGGCCTGAAATGGCTCCCTTTGGCAATCATAATCTCTGCTCACCTGGAGACGCTCTGGGGCAAGAGTGAGGGCAGATGGTGGGGATATCAGATACCAGAAGGCTTACGTTGCAGAGATGTTGACTCTTGCTTCTGGCCATCAGGGAGCCTTAACTAGTTCCTAATGTCAGGAGGGGTGATGCTGGGTAGAAATGCATCTTCCTGGACACTTCCATTTTTCCTCCTTCCCTCTGTAAGCCATTTCATAGGTACTTCCTCTTCCATGCCAGCCTGTGCTGACCTCTGGGATGAGGAGTGCAGAACTAGTTATTGACCTGCAAGAGCACTCAGGATAATGGAGAGAGAGACAAGCAGTGCAGTGTTTTAAAGGCTCTGAGGGAGGGAAGCAGTTGGTGCTGGGAGCACAAGAGGAATGGGTCTCTGGTTCCACCTGGAAGACGGCTCTGCCATTTGCCACCTTTAAGTCTTTGATCCAATGTCACAGCCCCTTGGATCCTTAAAATCTTAGCCATGTATGCCATGGCTACACTAGTTTCCTCTTTTAGGTTGAGGTGGGGACTAAAGAGCCTATGGGACAGTGCCCAGCTGAGGATGCAGCACAGGGTAGGCATTCACAGAATCTTGCCCCCTAACCTCAGACTCCAAGCAGGACCAACCATCCTGGTCACCAAAGAGATACATTGAAAGGGCTGGTTTCATTTCCAAGCCACAGTTGCCCAGGGTTCCTCCCTGTCTCGTAGGGAAGTGACCTCCCTCACGTGCCTGAGAAGATGCATGTGATGATGGCGTGCCCCAGGCAAACAAAGGGCTCTTGCAAAACCTATGATTCTCTCCTTGTTGCAGAGGAATGAAAGGGAGGGAGGAAGTAGGCACCCCTCCTTCTTGCATGGCCCACAAGGGGTCTTAAGGCTATTTTTATGAAGATGGACTCTGGGTGATTCAGGGACTCACCCTAAAAGCACTTCTTTCTTGCTTTCCTTTTCCTTCTCCTCCTTCTCCTTCCTCCTTTTCTCTTCCTCTTCCCTTTTCTTTTAATAACATACCTTCTATGCATTTTCTTGAACTTTCTCCCATAGAAGGTAACCCTCAGAAAACAGTGAACTACTCTAGGCTCCAAGGGGCTTAGTAGGAGAGCTTGTTCATTCTGTGGTTTGCACCAGCCTGGCAGCTGGAGAGCACAAGACAATGCTCCCAGGAGGGCGGTAAGGCATAAACCTGGTTCACAGAACTCAGAGAGGCTTCAGAGACCTGGAACTAATAGGCTATAATGTCAATGAGAAGTTCAGGCCCAGCAGAGGAGGTGAGCAAGATGGGACCCTGCTCTTCCTCCTATTGGTCAGACTCTATCCATTCTTGCATGCTCGGCTAGAGACATTTTTCTCTTGATAATCTGCTTTTCTTGATGCCCCAAGGCTTTTGGTCTTAGCAGTAGGTGATGACTAACCCCTTCCTTTGAGCAGCGAGAACTCTGTGTCCTTTGAAGGTAGTGTGAGTAATGGGTCCACTTCTGCACTGTGGCTTAGCCTCTCTTCCTAGTCACACCAGGAGTGGCCCATGCTATGCGATCTCATGGGGTCCACATATATGCATACTCCCTTGCACACCACTAGTGTGTGTACATTTATTTACACCCATATATACACTTATGATTTAAGTGTACTTGGCTCCACACAACTCACAGGTGCAGGCACCTGCAGCACAGGGCTCATACTCCCCTCCACAAGCACGTCCTGCCCACTGACTCCATCAGGGAGCTTTGTTGCCTGAGCCCCCAGGTGTTTGCAGACCTAACATTGGCAGTGACTGAGTGGGTCTTTTGGTGACACATTCATAAAATCTCATAAATCGTCTCTGTGCAACGTCGCATGAACATTTTTATTTTCTTCAATAAATACACACATTCTTATTTCCTAACAGCTCCAGCATTGGCAGAATGCCCGGCCAAGAGGTCCACTTACTGTGCACTTGGCCAGGATGCACAGTGGATAGGAATGGGGCCACTCTGTTGGTTGTTTGAGACTGAAGACATCTTTGGGGACCTGGGATAATGGAGGTCTGATTTGGATGGGACAATAGGAGTCATCTTGTCTGGATACATATTCTACCTCTCCCTTGCAAGCCATTCATCTTTTCATTTGTTCATTTTTTTCTATTGAAACTCTCTTACTGAGGTTTAAAGCAAAAGTTACGTCACGCCTCAAAACTCAAAAACTGAGGCTCAGAAAAATTAAGTGATAGTCAAGGATGGGGCCTGAGGATCTGCATTTGAACGACACTCCAGGTCATTCTGAGGCAAGTGGCTCCTGGTCAGACTTGAAGAGTGAAGGTATTTTGTGATTAGACCTCAGGGCATAAAACGTATTTTTCCCTTTTTCAAAATAAAAACACCACGAGTTCAGGAGATTGAGACCATCCTGGCCAACATGGTGGAACTCCGTCTCTACTAAAAAAATACAAAAAAATTAGCCGAGCGTGGTGGTGGGCGCCTGTAGTCCCAGCTACTCGGGTGGCTGAGGCAGGAGAATGGTGTGAACCCGGGAGGCAGAGCTTGCAGTGAGCCGAGATTGCACCACTGCACTCCAGCCTGGGTGACAGAGCAAGACTCTGTCTCAGAAAAACAAAATGAAGCAAAAACCAAAACCAAAACAAACAAACAGAACAAAACACCTTGGACATAATAACTCTGAAGAAGTGAGGAGTTACTCTAAGGACAAACATTTTTTACCCAAAACTTAAAACTCTAATAACTTTGGAGTTGACCCTCCAGAGAGGCTGGTGGAGGTGGGCTATTTACCCCTTTCCATGCCAGTGCAACCTTCTCCTGGCTTTGCTCTAACTTGAGTGTCTGACTGTCACTTGCCCCACCTTAAAAATGATGACATTACCTTATAAGGTGATACCTCTTTACCCCTTACAAAGTTCTTCCACAAATATCATCTAATCCCCACAACAGTCACTCAGCGAGCTGTTCCCACCTTCATTTTACAGAGTGGGAAGCACAGGGGTCAAGGTGAAGTTTCACTACCAGTAAGGGTCAGAGCCTGGACTATGACTTCAGCTCCCCAGCCTCAAGTACAGCTGCTAATTGCCATGAACTAACAACCGTTTGCTTGATGTCAGGGGGTTGAGCTTCCTTCCCGTGAACTTCCAGGTGGCCATTGTGATGTGTGCTAGGAATTCCAGGGCTGTGGTAACAACAGTCTCCTGGAATGGAGAGAAGGCAGGAAAAAGGGAGATGAGGGCTGAGGGCAGGGACTGGAGGGTCCTCATTCAGCATTGCCCTATTTTGTGCTATCAAGTCATGCTGATTGGGTGCCATGTCAGAAGTGAAGGGGGACATGTAAAACAAAGGAGACATCTTTTCTCTGAGGCTTTTAAAGTTAAAAGCTTGGGTAAGGTGGAAGTGAGGGAGGTATAGAACTCTTTGCTTTGCTTTGGTTTGTGTTCTGGGAGGTCCATTATGAAGGAGCCATCAATGGTCTATGAATATCACAAAGGACATGGGCCAAAGGGGAGCTCCATGAGCTCTGATGTACCAGCCTCTTTCTGGGTCCCCCCAAAATCCTGCCACCAGTGAGTGGGGATGGGGCAAGTTCTCTCCTCTGGGGCACATTTGCTGAGCAGGATGTCAGAATAGATCACACAGTTAATCCCTTACAGATTCTGTGCTCATTTGAGATGCTTCCAGAATACAGAGGAAGATGTTGATATTATCTTGACTCTTCTGACCCACCCATGGGAAATCATAAATTCTGGTCACTTCAGCCTGTTCTCTAAAGTCCCGAGTCTTCCGTATTCCTATTAGCCCCGTTTCCTACTTCCTGCTTTGTGCTTGTGCTCACAGAACAACGAGATGTAACTCAGGAGTCTCTTGGTGCCTCCTCTGTCACTTGTATGTCTATAATTCATCAACTAAATGGCTTTGGTGGCGGGGATGGAGGTTTTGCATGGGCTTAGCAACATGGACTTTCACTCCTCAAGGCTGCTGTCTCTGGCTATGACAACTGCTCACTGCTTTACCTACTAACAGGAGTGACCCACTCTGATTCCTCAATATGGCACTTTTCCCCTGGGGATCAGCCTGGTGGTAGGGTAATTACATTGAATTATTTTTATCATAGAAGGAGCAGTGCTTTGTTCTCATGGGAACTGACACTTACTCTAGAAATAGACTTGTTTTCTCTGCCTGAAATGCTGCTTCCAGGACCACCACGGATCTCAGAGGGCCCTCTTTACCATCAGTGTTCCAGGAGCATTTCTTCTGACCAGGGGACTCATCTGACAGCAAATGAAGATCAGCCATTGGCTCATGCTCATTAAATTCACTGGCCTTTCAATGTCCTCCATCAGCCCAAAGCAAGTGGCTGATAGGATTCTGGAATAAGCCACTTGGAGACTTTATGGCACTGACTGGGTGGTAGCACTTTGTGGGGCTGGAATAATCAGTGATGGTTTCGCCACAGCCAGGTTTCATAGGTCTGGGAATGAACTCCTCTTACTATTACCCTAGTAGTCTGAGAGCAAAGTTTTTGCATCCTTCCCTGTGAATTTAACCTGTCTTTCCTCATTTTTTGAGATGAAGTCTCACTCTATCACCCAGACTGGAGTGCAGTGGCACAATCTCAGCCCATCGCAACCTCTGCCTCCTGGATCCAAGTGATTCTCCTGCTTCAGCTTCCTGAGTAGCTGGGATTACAGGTACCTGCCACCATGCCTGGCTAATTTTTGTGTTTTTAGTAGAGATGGAGTTTCGCCATGTTGACCAAGCTGGTCTTCAACTACTGGCCTCAAGTGATCCACCTGTCTTGGCCTCCCAAAGTGCTGGGATTACAGGTGTGAGCCACCGTACCCAGCCTAACCTTTCCTAACCAAGAAGACTTAGACCCCCAGGGGAGAAGTGCTCCCCCAAAAGGGGCACAATAACAGTTAATTAGAGGGAAGTTGAGACTGCTTCCTGGCCTCCTTGGCCTCCTCATGTCCCTGAGTGGACCCACAAAGAAGGGAGTTACTGTGCTGGCTAGGGTGACTGATCCTGAATACCAAGGAGTGACTGGGTTGCTACTACGTAATATGGGTAAGTGGAGTATGTCTGGAATGTAGGGCATTCCCTGGGGCACCCATTAGTATTTCCAAGTCTGGTGATAAAAGTTGAAAAACCACCATGACCAAATACAGGCGGGACAGCTGACAACCCAGATCCTTCAGGAATGAAGCTTTGGGTCACTTTATCAGGCAACAAAGCATGATGAGCCAGGCTACCTGCTCATTGCAAAGGGAGTGTGAAAAGGATGGTAGGAGTGCACCAGGACTACCAGCCATGGCCACGTGACCAGTTGAAGAAATAAGGCCTATAGTAATTATGAATATTTCTTCATTATTTTGATATAATTATATTTGTATTAACCAAGTCTTTTCTTTTTCTCCACTCTCATTCTCTCTCCATCAAATGCAAGACACATTAAGAGAAGTAAACCTTGTAACTCTGCATTTAACTTACAGAATATCAAAAGGGTGTGACTAGGTGTGGCTTAGCTGCAAGATGAATGAACATTACCCAGAGATGGCTAAAGTGACATGTGGGACTTTGTATCCTCTTTTGGGGTGATAGCATGTTTTCAACTGTTTGAAGAATAGTTGGATCATGTTAAGCAGAAATATGACTTTGCTGGTGTCTTTATTTGGGTATTATTAAAAGAGTTATGCACGGATGCCAAGTTGAGCAAAGGGTAGATGGTGATGGTTTTGAACTGTGCCAATTTAGCAAAGATGGAACTATGTTTCCCCACATTCCCCTCCTTGTATGGTTCTAGGTTAGGGTTGGCCACAAGAGAAATTTACCTGAGACGAGGAAGGTGGAAAGGAAGCAGCTCTCATTTTACTCTGAAGATCATTAACGCAATCATGGAAAGTGTAGGGCTCCACACACTGCTACAGCCCTTGTATGATTTTGCTGATCAGCTCCTTCCACTGGATCTTGTTGATCAGTTTCTCTGAGCCTGGTTCAGGTATATGTGCAGCTCTATGACAAATGGTGTCTGCTTCTTCTGAAAGTTACCAGTTGTCAAGGTTAGACATGGAGAGAGAGAGATGTGGATCCCAGTTCCTTCCTCTCCTCTTCTTCACATCATTTGATATCCTGATTGCCAACCCTGCTAGCCTGTAGCAACTTCAGATCCACCACCAGATGCAGAGTCTATAGCCTTCTGTACACTTTTCCACCAGCTCCAACAGTCATATTAGGGCTAATTCCTATTATAAATCTTTTATTTCATACCGTTCGTGGGGTCCTGCCTACATATTCAGAAATTTGTTCATGGTAGAGAAATATTTATTAAGTGTCTTCTACATGTCAGGCATAGTCTGGGGGTCTGGGATGTATCAATGAACAGAAGAAAAATACATACTTATGCATTCGGGACATGCTTTTATACCCCACATTTTAATAATTCATTGCCTATTAGAAATAAAATCTAACTGCCCTGTGTTCTTATTTGCTACTCCTGGCAATCCTACCCATCATGGGCAGTGAGATACTGGTGGACTTCCAGCCCTGTGTTTGGGACCCAACTTTGTACCATTCACATTGCACTGATAGCCTCTGCAGTTCCACAGCCTCAGCACATTTGAAGTGACTCATGGTGAGTCTGAGTTTCCTCCAACAACAGTCTTTTTATTAGAAGCCCAAGCTCTCGTTCACTTTTTTACCTTTTTGGAGACCAAGGTAAATTTATTACCTTGAAATAAGTGGTGCGATGCTATATCCTCTTTAATTCTCACACCAGCCTTGTAAGGTACATATTATTACTAATTACATCTACAATGTAGAAAGTGAGGTTCATAGAGATTTAGTAACATGCCCCAAATCCCAGAGCTGGGAAGTAGTAGAACCAGGATTTGAACACCAGTCAATCTGACTTTCAGTGGGCTTTGTTCACCTACCTTATTTATGTCATAGATGCCTCAGTTTCTCAGCAAGGGGAAGCATACCTATGTTGAATCAGTTAGACTCATCTTTAGCAAATAGTCCAATCTGCTTGGATATATAGCCTTGGGCTTCTTTTTGGGAAGCCCAAGCATGTTGATGACCATGGGGTGATGGTGATGATGATCTCCAGGCACAATGAAGGCTGAAGAAGAATGAGTTCTCACGCTTACAGAACACTGATGGTGGTGACCCATTCAGTTGACCTGTTTCTCTGGTTTCCCAAGGCCAGGTGCTCATCTCTGCTGTAAAGAACTCCATCTGTGACAGGGACTGTAGAGGCTTGTTAGGCTGGTTCTCTTCCAAAGTAGAATAGAGGATGTCACGCATCGTTGGCACCAGGCTGTGGTCTTGGGGGCAGCTTTGGGGAACAAGCCATTGGCTGAGATGAGGGAGCCAGAGCAACAGCTCAGCTTGTCTTCAGGTCTCTTTCTATTGACCTCTTTTTAGAAGCAGAGACAGATGTTGACAGAGACACACACACATTTGAGATGATATTGCATATAGTATTTTGTATCATGAATCTTTTCCTAACCCTATATTACAACTTTTTGACAAGTTTTTAAACATTCTTCAAAAACACGATTTTTAATGACTGGGTAGTATTACTTATGGACACACCATAATTTAATAGACAATCTCTTTGTCATCAGTTATGTAAGCTCATTCTTTTTTTTCCACATTTAGTAATTAGCTTATTTCTAGATGATTTATATTTTAAATTACATATAGGAGGTATTAAATATTTTTAAAGTTACAAAGATGATAGATTTCCATTAGTTTTCTAATATGTTATTATTGCAATTTTGAAAAAATGTATATTTATTTTATATCAAGCCCTTATACTCAATCTTCAAATTAACACATTTTTATTTGATTGTCTTAGGATTTGAGATGTGTGGTAATGTCATGAGTAAGTGTTCATAAATTCATTTTCTTTTTTCTAATAGTTACATTTCAATGTTCTTCTTGTTTTATTGCTTTAACTAGAATTTCCAGAGCAATTATTAGTGATGATATTGTAGGGAACATTCTTGACTTGCTCCTACTTCTAATAGCAATGCCGCTTATATAGTGCCATTAGGTATAAAATTGACTATTGCTTTCAAGGTAGACATTTTAATCATGTCATATTAGGTTTGAATTTTCCTATTCCTTATATTCTATGATTTTTTTTCCTAAAAAATGGACATCAAACTTACCAATTACTTATTAATATTTATCCAGATAATTGCACTTTCATTGACCTGATACATATATTTGTAATGTATCATTAAATAATAGCATTAAATAGCTCTCATTAATAGCATTAAATAATCTCTTTATTAGTGATTTTAAATAACTGTTTTTAATATTTTAATGAATTACATTTGCTGGTGTGCTTGTAGAATTTTTGTAACAATCTTTAAAAGCAAGGTTAGTTTATAGTTCTGATATCCATATAGTACATGCATACTGACATAAAAGAGATGGGAATAAAATACATCAAATTGTTAGCAGTGGTCTCTTCTATGTTGGATGGTGGAATACTGGATTCATTTTACTACTTTTCCCTAAAATTTAATATACATTTTTATGACAAAAGTGAACATTATATCAGTTATCTACTGCTATGTAAGAAATCAACCCAAAACTTAGTGGCTAAAATAACAACCATTCTATTGACTCATGACTCTGAGGGCCAATAATTTGGGCTGTGCTCAGCTGGGTGTTTCTTCTGTTGGTCTTGCCCACAGTTACACAATTCTATTGCAGTCAGCTGGTGGATTTGCTGGGGGCCGGTTGATCTAGAGGACCCTAGCTGAGACACTTGTTTCTGTTTCCTGTCATGTCATTCAACTTGATAGAAGGAGCAGCAACGTCAAATTGCAAAGGAGGGGTGCGTGCAGCAATGAGAAGTACTATTGCAGACAACTTTGCCAAGTTAGCTACAAACATGCCTTATAATTAAAAACAAAAAATAATATTTTAAAAAAGGATAATATGCAGTGATGAAAAAGATGGCAAAGTGAGTTTTTTACACATTGCCGATGAGGCTATTAACATTGTAACAAAAAATGATTTGGCAATGAATTTCATGAGTGGTAAAGTGTTAGTAGACTTTGACCTAATTTTTCTATAACTTGGAGTTTATTCTAAGGAAATAATCAGTTTAATAAAAATTATGTATAAGAATTTTTCTGTATAGCATTATTTATAAGTGAAATATTAAACACAATGTAAATGTCAAATATTAGAGGATTTAGTGACAGCAGATGGCATCTCCATATGATGAAACATGATATAACCACAAAAATTATATTTTGGGCATGACAAAGTTTAAAAAGTAAGATTTGTGTGCTTTCATTGAGTCTAGTTTTGAAAATTGATTGTATTCATATATGTTAATACAATAAACTTTTCTTCATATGAATACAACACCATACATGTATGCATATACAGAAAAATAACTGGAAGACCTATATGAGCATAATAATGGTAATTATTTCTGGGTGGTGCTTGGGTTACTGGTGGTCTTTATATTATTAAAGCCACAGGTGTCAGTTTGGGGCCAACCTGCCACTTTTGAGTTAGACAGTGCGGATTTTAACTGCCATCCCATGTCCTGTGGAAAGTCCACATCTTCCTAATGAGTTGTGTGGATCCTTGAGGACTTGCATTCTCATCATCACCTCTGATAGTGACTTCTTATCTTTAGAATTCCATTATTCCATTCTCTCTTTTGTGTGTGTGTGTGTGTGTGTGTGTGTGTGTGTGTGTGTGTGTGTGTGTGTTTAAATTATTTTTGTAGAGACAGGGTCTCACTACGTTGCCCAGGCTGGTCTCGAACTCCGAGCCTCAAGCGATCCTCCCACCTTGGCCTCCCAAAGTGTGTGGTTCTTATATCTCTGATCTGGTAGCTTAACCAATGCATGGGGCATAGTTCCTTCTCTTTTATTTCTACCTCCAGTCCTCCTTCAAACAATCTGGAATATGAATCTCTTGCATGTACCATACTAGACTCTTACTAAAGATCTATGGCTTAAGAGAAGGGTTATTATCATATACCATATAAAAGATGAATACATCCTATATTATATCAGAGATACTTAAAGATTTTCTTTTTTGTTTTCATGGACCCTATTGGCAGTTTTGTGAAAACTATAGACCCTTTCAAATATTATGTTTTTAAATTCATGCAATAAAATGTACAGGATTATAAAGAAAATGAATTATGTTGAAATAAAGTTATCAAATATTTAAGAAAAAGCAAACTGGTAATACAGTGATGTAAAGTGCTTCTTTATTAATAATGCATTCAGTAACATGATACACAGGTTAGACAGAAATTGAGTATAATATTAAAGTAATGATAAGTATAAATGATATCTTGAAATGTATTCAACAACTACAATATGACATGAGACCATCTGTGATTTCTATTGATTGCAAAGCCACAAAAGTTACCAATAACTATTGTGATGTGTTGCCTACATTTATAATTGAAGAAAATGTTAATTTTTAGTTGGAGGTTGGTGAAACTAAGCTGTAATTTTTCCCCCAACTCAGTTCAAGGACTCCCTGAATTTTATCTCCATATCAATTGGGATCCATGGGCCCTGGATTAAGATCCCTTGTATTAGATTCCTGTTATTCAAAGTCCATTTGGCTCTCCACATGGGTAACACTATACCATGTTAAGCTTCCTTCTCTTGCCATACTACTTTTCTCTCTCTCCGTTTCTCTCCTCCCAGTTTGTTCTGGGAAACTTGGAATTCTTCTCTCTTTGTTAATTGGAGTGAGTCTATAATATCTGATTCCTAATTTTAAAGGTATCTTCTGCCTTATCTTTGAATGTCCACAATCCTTCAGCGTGTTTTCAATCAAAAGAACTGGTCATCTACCCCTTTTGTATTAATAATTATGTTAGCCCCTGCTCACAGAGTGTTTTCCATGGATGAACATTGTTCTGAAGAGGGCCTTATTTCTTTTTATTTTTGCAAGGGGCAAAGCTTACCCAAAGTCATGCAGCTAGCAGAATGTGGAGTCAGCTCTCATCCACCGTACTAGGCTGCTTTCCATTAGTAGCACCCAGAAGAAAATGAAATGGAGCTATTTGGGTCTTTCTTTTCATAGGGTTGGCCATCTTTAGAAGGCAATTATTTTAAAATAGCATTTTGTTTCCTCTGGTGGTACATTTCTAAATCTTTCACAGTGGTTTTCAATGCTTTGGCTGTCTAGGCTCTGGATCCTCTGGGAACTGCTAGGAGAAAGCTAGTGCATAGAATGAGAGAAGATTGGAGCAAAAGACTCTGAGAGAAGCAGAAAGAAGGGGCATATCTGGGACTTCCTGGGTCCAGTCTGTTTGGAGGACTGGCTGGAGCCTGCACCTTAGGTTCTCAAGTAACTCCTATGGCCTTCTATCATAGGCCCCTTCAAGGCTTATGTTGTCTTCAGTTGGTTTTTGCTACTTGTAAACAAATGTATTTAACAAATACATAATTGACATACATTAGTTTTAAAACCAGGAAGAGAGTACATGTTATCAGCAAGCATTATCAGTTATGAGAAAAGATGTATCATTCTTCCCAGCCTATGTCCCAGGATTGTGCCATTCTAGTGGTAGTAGAAGTGATGAGAATGGTGGTGAAAGTGATTTTGGGGAGGAAGGTACAAGAAAATGAGAATGCATACATATCCTTCTTTGTGTTTCTACTGTGGTTTTTAAAGCATTGAAAAGCAGTACCATTGTGGAAGGTGTAGAAATGTACCACCAGAGGAAACAGAATGCTATTTTAAAATAATTGCCTTCTAAAGATGGCCAATCCTATGAAAAGAAAGACCCAAACATCTCCAAATGTATATTAATGTTCACCTCGTATCTTAGCCACTCTTTTGGGGACAAATAGCTTTTTGTTGCTTGTGAAAGTTTATTTGTTGAATTTGTCTTTCTGTATTTCCACCCTGTGGGAATATATACTCCTGCAAAGTAGAGGCCCTTTTTGTATCTGCTGAATTCTAAATGCCCAGTAAAAGATGAAATGCAAGACAGCCACCATGATGCTGTTGATACTTGGTGGACTGTGATGCTGGTGAAAGTGGTACCTTCCATCTTGGTTTGTATTTGCTAAGTCACCCTCCTATCTTCACTAACCAAAATGCTAGTCCATAAAGGAAATTTCCTGTACTCTGTTAGTGTCGGGAACAATTATCTCAGGTCTTTTACTCTTGTTTTAAACTTGGTGTTATCCTAATTGTTCCAGGCTTGAAGTTTGTGTTTAGTCTCCTTGGCATGAAGGACTTGCTTTCCCTTAAGAAATGTAGCTTCATCTTTAGGCTTACTTAGGTAGGAGATCATAGTTATCCCTTAGAATCTCAACCCCAGGCCCTGGCTTGCCAGCAAACACTTTGATATGGGATGCCAAGCTGGAGTGTAGTTGGAATAGAGGTGGGAAATATGAACCAGGTAACAGGGAGGGTGGTTTTAGTCAAATCCTTTCATTTTTATGCCAAAAGAAACCCAATTCAAAGCAGTGTAAGCAAAACAATTAACATTTTAAATAACTAAAACTATGGGCATGGCTGAATCCAGGTGGCTCAACAATTTTAAAAGAGCTTCTCTCTCTTTTTTTCCCCCTCTTTTCTGATTTGCTCCCTTCGGTGTATATTTCATGTTAAATAAGCTCTTTTTCTCCTGTTGGCAATTAGTAATCTCTAGCAATTTTAGACTTACCCAGACCAGCCTTGTGATTCCAGTGACAGAATAAAAAAAGAGTCTTTCCCAATATCAGTAAAACAGATGTATTCGTATCTTGGGCTCAAATTTTGGACCAGTGATGGAACCACATGACATGGGGAAAGGGAAGGAAAGAGGTGTGTTGGGAAGATGCAGACAATAGATTATCCACTGCAGTGGGAATGGCCAGAAGAATAATTATGTGGGAAAGACAGGCAAGGGAAGTGACGAGGGTGAGAGTAACAGTGGTGTTGTTGTGAATCCAGTCATGGAAATGGTGACGCTGGTTATGGTAGTGGTGGGGTACTGGTGATCGTGAGAGATACTCCTTTTTGTTCCAGATCCTACTAATTCTAAGAGCACAGTCCAGGAGGATGGTGTATGCAACCCTATTAGTAAAGACACATGATTTCCTGCGGTTCTTGCCTTTAAGGGCAGAAAGGGCTACACGTTTGTCCTAGAAAAAAATTCAATGGTTCCTGAGTCAGCAAGCTCCCTATGCTTGTGGAAGCAGATCACATGGTATCTCAGAAATATACCTATGCATGTTAGCAAAACAACAGAGAAAAACAAGCTTCTACCACCAGGATGGCAGGAAGTGTGGTCAGCTTTCTTGGAGGTGAAGCCAAGATGAAAGGTCGTTGACTTGTACTAATGAAGAGGCACAAAAACTGCTGATTTAAAGAATAATAATAAAAAAAGCACCCTGGGGGACATTTTATTGCACTTAGAAAATATCCAAGTTCATCCTTCATATAAAAAAGTAAAAAAAAAAAACATTTTGACTTTCATAAAAACCAATAGATTAATACAGAAAGAAAAAGTTCCCAGCCAAGAACTAAGCCACAGTTGTGTTCATGTGTATGCCTGAGCTAACTCCTCTGGCCTCATGTGAGCCTCTGCATTTGGCATGCAGATCCCTTGTTCTGTAAAAACTATTTCAGGAACACTTTGAAAAGGCTGCCCAGTGATGGCTGCCTCATTTGGGATTTATTATAATATCATTAGAAGGGGTTATATCACTTGGTATAATGTCAGACACATTGTAGCCTGTGGTTTTATGATGTGGACAAATATCACACTCAGGAATAAGATGGCTCTGAACAAATCAGTTCCATCTGGGTCCTACTGTAAATAGAGCTTTTCCCTTCTGCCATGGAGGGTGGATTTTCATCCTCATCCGGTCCCTTGACCTTCCATTCTGCAGGGTCTTTCTTTTCCTGACCTCCTTGCTCCCCAGTCTCTGGGGCCTAGGAGAGAGAGAGAGAGAGAGAGAGAGAAAGAGAGAGAGAATTTCTTAACACCCCAAAGCAAAGATGCTCGTCAAGCTCAGGGAATGCAGGGAGACTTGGGAATTTGCTTTTATCCAGTGCCTGCCACATGGCTGAACCTGTGCTAGATATTTTCACCTGTCTCACCTCACTTCATTCTTACAGCAAGCCTATAGAGTAATAGATAATGTTGCTATTTTACAAAGAAATACTGAGACTGACATGTTTAAAAATAATCTATATATATATATTTTTGAGACAGGGTCTCACTTTGTTGCCCAGAATGGAGTGCAGTGGCATGATCTTGGCTCATTGCAGCCTTGACTTTCCAGGTCCAAGTGATTTTCCCATCTCAGCCTTCCAAGTAGCTGGAACTACAGGTGTATGCCACCACACTTGGCTAATTTGAATTTTTTTTTTTTTTTTTTGAGACAGAGTCTCACTCTGTCTCCCAGGCTGGAGTGCAGTGGTGCGATCTGGGCTCACTGCAAGCTCCGCCTCCCAGGTTCACACCATTTTCCTGCCTCAGCCTCCCGAATAGCTGGGACTACAGGCGGCCGCCACCATGCCTGGCTAATTTTTTGTATTTTTAGTAGAGACGGGGTTTCACCGTGTTAGCCAGGATGGTCTCGATCTCCTGACCTCGTTATCCGCCCGCCTCGGCCTCCCAAAGTGCTGGGATTACAGGCTTGAGCCACCGCGCCCAGCCAATTTTTTTTTTTTTTTAGAGATGGGGGTCTCATTCTGTTGCCCAGATTTGTCTTGAATTCCTGAATTTAAGCAATCTTTCCACCTCGGCCTCCCAAAGTGTTGGGATTACAACCATGAGCCACCCACCTGGCCTAAAAGTAAAATTTTGATTCAAGTCTGTAAACTAGTGAGTGGGGAGATTGAGTTTTGAAGCTTATCTGAAGTTCATTCCAAAGCCTGTTGTGTTCTTTCATGGTATCCTGCCATCCCCAACATCTGTATGTCCATGAATAAACTATTCACAGGAGGTAAGGAAACAAGAAATGTGGATATAAGTTGTATTTGGTCAAAACGTAGTTATTTTAAAAGCAAATGACAGCATGGTACAACCTCCTTGCAGAACTCTGTGGCTTTTTTGAATAAAGTTAAATATCTGCCTATCCTATGAACTAGAGAAATCATTCCCAAGAGAAATTCATACATAGGTACATGTTCACAAAAAAGACTTGTACAAGAATGTTCACAGCAGCCGTTTCATAATAGCCCCAAATACTCATCAGCAGGAAAATAAACAGACTGTGGTGTGTTCATATGGTAGAATACTACACAGCAATAAAAATTAGTAAACTAAGGATATATGCCACAAAATGGATGGATCTTATAAATACCATATTGCGCTAAAGAAGACAGACACAAGAGAGAACATAATGTATGATTCCAGTAATATAAAATTTGAGAATGAGGAAAATTACTAATATCTAAAAACTCAAGCTCAAGAGATAGCTAACAATCTAAAAATATTAATATTAAGATAAGTATCTGAATCCTATAGATTATAATTAAACTGTATTAATCTTATAGGTCAAGGTATTTATCAATATCCAAAGGTAGTAAAATTGCTAATATCTAAAGAAGTCACCTTCTTTCACTTTTGTTTAATTTTCCTCTTACTTGAAATTTATATAATTGGAATCATACCTTACACAACAACACCGCTGTCACTCTCACCCTTTCACAAAGGTGAAAGGAGTTACTCTGGGGTAGGAGGTGGATATTGCCCAGTAAGGAGCATGAGAAAACTTCCTGAAGCTATGGACGTGGATAGTTACTTATAAATAGACAAAAATTCATTGACTTCTGTATTTATGTTTTTTGTTTATAGACTAAATAATCAAAAAGCAGAACATAATATTTAATCAACTGAAGTGATAGGAAAAGGTGATCAAATTTGTCACTCTCAACGCTTTTGTTTTTATAAATTGGCTATTTGGTTAATTTTGACTCTACTCTTTAAAAAAGGTAGTGTGGACATGTGGAAAGATATATGTTATGCTATAATATTGGATGTTGGATGTTCAGGAAGAATAAATAAATGGTTTATTGATTTATTTCTAGCTCTTCTTAATATAGACAATGAGGTGTCATTCTCTTCCCTTGATAAATTGTTACATGCATCTCCTGCCTGCTCCCTGCCCATTTCCTGTTACCTTTATTCTTCCTCTCACAACTGCTATCACTAGCACATTTGTATTACACAGTTTAACAGGTCAGAGGACTTTAGGTGAACAGAGAGAAAAGGAAAAAGAAAAGCTGACTTCTTTAATTTTGGTGTTAAGATATATTGAAGTACTTTGCATGGCTTTTATTTTATTATTTTCAGAAGGGCTCTTGTAACAGGTCAACTCATAAATTGGCATGGCATCCTGTTTGTTTCTGCCAAAAATCAGTCAAAGTGAGAGTATTAATTTATTTGCACAGATATGTGTCAAATTCACTTAAACAATGCTGGGTTGTTAACACTGATGCATGCTATAAAGGAATGCAGACTTGATTTTATCACCATCCCTCTAAGGAGAGCAACCATATATTGGGAGGGGTTTCTATGATATTTATTTATGTTCCATGGCTTTTTATTTATTTCATGACTTCAATGAAGCCTGGAAGAACAATTCTCAAGTAAGCTGAGGCTGTGTAGACAGGTACTCTGAGTAATTTAGATAATTCATCTACATGTCTTACATCATGAAGTAGCTGCTCAGTTCCTTGCATCTCTTCGTGTAGCTGTGGGTTATTTGGGCCAGAGATCCTGTTCCCCTGAATCTCCAGGGGCTTTCTCTTCACTTTGGTAGCTTGAGTATGATTTCCAAAGGCTGCCTTTGGCCTCCCTGCTCTTCTGTGTGGATGCAGCTAATGACCTCAATGGCTAGCTAATGGCATCTTACTCTGCAGTGATGGCTGTTCTGAACACAGAGTGGGAGAATGGTGGTGGGTCAGGATGAGTGGAAAAGTAATAGTTTGATGATGGAAATGCAGACAACTCTTGGATTAAACTCAGTGCTCTGTTCCTTCTCCGTATGGATCATGACATGTTCTCTACTTCTGTAATTGAAAAAAAAAGTGAGAGCACAATTTGTATAATCACTGGTAGAGCATTAAGTTGTCTGGGCTGGCACAAAACAGTGGACAGAAGAGCCAACTGCTGACCTCAGTAACACATGCCTAACTCCTAGTGCAAGGTTTGGCTTGGTAATAGGATCTTGGTCATAATTACTCATGGATGTTCATGGTTATCTGGACTGGGACTCACCCTCCCTGTCCATGCAGGCAGTCAGACCCTGCTGAGAGATGTGCAATTCATAAAATCCTTCTATGTGTCTAAGTCCGTGGTTGCTATTAGTCTGCAAAACATGAGAATAAAAGGACTAATTAAAAAAATTTAAACCCTTCGACTTTTATTTCACTCTGTTCCTTATGAAATAGTTGTTTTCTCAGCTACATCGAGACACTCAACATAGTAATCTGCTTAGTTTTAAACAACGTCCAAATGTTTTCATGTTTATGTACTCCAGTCATTCTTGGCTTGCTTAATAAATTCTACAGATATTTACTGAGTACCTACTCTGTGCTAGACATAGTTCTAGGTAATGGGGACCAAGAAGACAAAGGTGAGAAGTTTCCCATTATTACAGGGCTTATGTTCTAGGGAGGGAGGAAAACAATAAGGGGATAAACAAATATACAATGCTAGGTGACAGGGTTAGGGGGTGGAGAAGGTGGGGCAGGGGGTATGGCTGTAGTTAGGTGATCAGGAATGATTTTCTGTTAGAACAGAGACCTGATTGAAGTGAAGGAGAAGGCCATGTGGCAACCTGAAAGAAGAGTTGTGGTGATGAGAATAGCCATCTTGGCCTACCCTCATGGAGAAAGGTGCAGAAATGTGCAATATAATTTGGTCCAGAGATCAGGTGAAATCTCTACTCTCTGGACCTCTTGATCAATGGAGGTCCTTGCTAAGAGTGGGAATCCCCATAAGCTAGTATTTCCATGGTTATCTTGGGCCCTGAGGTTCACCTCTGAAAGAGCACTTACTGATCCATGCCATATTAACCCAGGCATGGTCAGCTCCTTCCTTGATTGTCTATTCCCCTGCCTTACACGCATACAGAAGTAATAACTCTTTAGACTTCAACGATGGCTTGGCAATTAGGAATACCAAGATAGCACCTACATCTCAGCTTCACAGCTGCTTCAGAGTAAACATTAGGTAACCTCCTTGTTTGAAATGTCCTTGGGTCCCAGGACCTCTGGAGAAGCATCACTGGCCTGTTCCCCAGACAACACAACTCCCAACCTCCTGATATCTTGATGGCTCTTTGATTCCTTTCCCCCTTCCCTACCTCTCTTCCTTATCGCCTCTTTCATGGGTTGCTCTTGGAATCTCCAAATTCCTCTGGCTTTATTGTGTATTGGCTCTTTCCAGCTTCAGCTCCATCTTTGGCCAATATTTGTCTATCCAAACTTATCAACATGCTCAGCATAACATGAGCCTTTTGTTAAACAGCATACCACATTTTCTTTAGAAGGCAGTAGTGATTAGAGAGAGAAAAATGCCGAGAATGAAGCACCATATGTATAGATCTTATACGGATACTGGGACAATATGTTCTGCTGGGTTTGTCTAGTGGTTAAGTCTAGGGTTGCATCTTCAGGAAGGGAAAGGACTGGGTGCTATGGATAAGAATAGTATGAAGAAGAGACAGACCCTACAGAAAGAAATGGGAAAGTAGAAGGTGGACTTCAGACCAGAGACATTCCCTCTTCAGGCTTTGTTCTCTTGAGCTTAAGTATTCAGAATGTGTTCATGGGCTTCCATAAACAGAGATTTATGTTTCATCTGGGGAGTGCAGCCCTCTGACTATATGAGTTGATAACCTGGAGAGACTTTTAGGGGAAGAGGGCATGTACAGCCAAAGAACCAGGCTGGGCACAGTGGCTCATGCCTATAATCCCAGCACTTTGGGAGGCTGAGGTGGAAGGATCTCTTGAGCCCAGAAGTTTGAGACCAGCTGGGACAACATGGTGAGACTTCATCTCTACAAAAAAAAAAAAAAAAAAAAAGCCGGGTGTTGTGGCACACACCTGTAGTCCCAGCTGTTCAGGAGGTTGAGGTGGGAGGATCATTTAAGCCCAGGAGGTTGAGGCTACAGTGAGCTGAGATGGTGCCACTGCACTCCAGGCAATGTATCCATCAGTATTCCATAGGCATATTCTCTTTGACCTAGTGTTTTCACTTATGGAAATGTGACCTAAAGATACACTTTCATGTGACATATATACAAAGATTGTGATAACAGATCACTAGAAACAACCTTAATGCACATCACTGGAAACTCAATGTAAAAAGTGATACATTGATAGATGCTTCTAATTGTAGCCATTGAAAAGAATGAAGACCCCATTACTGGATGGACATAGAATGATATCTAAGATATGTTGTCCAGTGGAAAAGACAGAGGGCCGTGGAACGTATGCAGTAGGCTTTATCAAAGGAGTCTTGAAAAAATGTTTCTATGTAGAAGGCGTTGTGTGAATTAGTGTTAGACTGAGCTGTATCTCACCTGCTTGGCATGGTTCCTCCTAACTTCGGTGATCTGGTTCCCTGGGAATTTTATGCAGATCCCTGGCATGGTTCCTGGAACATAGCAGGTCTCCATCTCTGCTTGGATTCCCCTGGGGATGGAGCTTATCACTTCATTTTCCTTTGCTGGACAATTGTAATTCTCAGGGAGAGTGAGCTCCTCTGCCTCTTTTTAACACCCAGTGGGGGTTCTGGCCTGCCTCTGAGCAGGGTCACTCTTGTTGACAGTGCCCAGACCTTGCTTGATTGAGTCAGTTCTCAACCAGATTTTCTTCTAGATTCTCAGTAGCTCCCACACTGCCTTTAAAGCTAAGGAGAACCTTCCACACTTTTTTTTTTTTTTGAGACGGAGTCTCGCTCTGTCACCCAGGCTGGAGTGCGGTGGCGCGATCTTGCTCACTGCAAGCTCTGCCTCCTGGGTTCACGCCATTCTCCTGCCTCAGCCTCCTGAGTAGCTGGGAGTACAGGCAACTGCCACCATGCCCGGCTATTTTTTTTTGTATTTTTAGTAGAGATGGGGTTTCACCGTGTTAGCCAGGATGGTCTCGATCTCCTGACCTCATGATCCGCCTGCCTTGGCCTCCCAAAGTGCTGGGATCACAGGCGTGAGCCGCCGCACCCGGCCAACCTTCCACATTTTTGAGATGAGCTTTGCTCCTAGAGCATGGTCAGCCTGCCTGGGCACTGCTGCTAACGCCTCCCAAGATCTCTGGGAGCTGGAGCCTCTCTCCCTATCTAGTGAGTGCTTCCTTGCTGCGTTCTTGGACTCCTACGGTAGTTCTGGCAAGTTAGGGGGCCAAAGCTTTAAAAAAGGCTTGTCTGGCTGTCTCTTACTTCGAGGCTGTCAGCCATCTCAGCTCAGTTGTATGTAGTTTAATGAATTGTTACTCTCTTGTGCCTGTGCCCTGAGGTGATTTCTTACCACAAAGGGCAAACTTAAGAAAATCAAATAAATAAATACTAATAAACAGGGAAGCAAGGTTTGGAGAGGTTATTTGCTTTTCTGGGGTTGCAAGGTAGTGAGAGGGGAGCTGGGCTGGCTGCCACCTCTTCTGTGCTCCGGCCACTTTGCCATTTAACTGCCCCAAAGAGGACCACTTAAAAGCAAACATATAAATGGAAGTAACTTTTTCAGCAACTTATTGGGTCTTTTCCCACTTAGGAATATTGATTTTTCTCCTCACTGAGCCTGGGATGGAGAGGAATGGTTGAGTCTGAGTCTGAGCACCAAGTAGGTGGGCATGGTCCCAGCTTGAGTAGGTGTCAGTGACTGTACATCAGAAGTGGTTTCCAGGAGCCCATGTCCTCTCTGTGATAGACGGATTATGTAAAAGGCTCCAAGACACCATAGAAACCTGGCCTGGTTTATACCTGAAAGGAGGGAGGTGTACGGCGTACATTCTATTGTTCTAATCACGCCACTTTAATGAGATACAAAATTGTGCCAGTTTCATAATTATGATATATATCAGGGCTTAATTATATGTACAGGATGGCACATTCAATTGAATACATGCAAATGGAACAGAGATTTTCATTTCACATGTCTCTCCTACTCTCCCTAACAAAGAACTTTCTAGGGGTTTTAGGCATATGGGCATAGTGGAGAATCAACTTGTACCATATGCCAGCATCTTCTGGCTTTCAAAACAACAAGGAGACACTGAAAACCCATGACTAGTGAGCTAAGGACACTGAATAAATAAAGATGAACCTGATAAAAGTATAGTGGCTTTTGATAGCCCATGTAAACATGTCTGGCTTCAATTTGTGGGAATTTTCTTATTGTTAAATGACAAAAACATAAGAAAGAGCTAATAAAAATTATGTGGCTAAAGGTCTTTTTAAAAAGTACTAGAAAAGCAAGTTCAGAGTCATGGCTGCATTTGTTACTGATTATGAGCAGAAATGGGGAAAAACATTGACCCCTGTGACTTGGCTCTGAACGTGCTGATGAAGCCCCTGGGATCTCCCTGCATATCACTTTCTGATGCCCGTAGACTCTGGGACAAGAAGCAAGGAGGGAGAGCTCCATGCCAGGCCACGTTTTGTTGTAGGAATGGCTTTGTGAAGGGCTCTTGTGACACTCCAGGATCCACTTCGAGAAATTTCTCCAGTAGGCAAACACTATGAAAGAGAGACCTTGTGGGAGGAGGTAAGGTTGAACGATCTATCATGTCCCTGGCTTTGTCTTAGGTATTGGGAACACCTCTGGCAGGTAGAGAGGGAGCTGATCTTAGGGACTTTCTTCTTTCACCCAGGGCTACCTGATGACTCTCAGGAAAATCTGTGGAGCCGGGTCTTGGTAGCGAGCTGGCTGCCCTTTGTTTATGTTCTTGTAGAAACACTGACTCTAGAGAGAAAAACTGACCCATCTGTTGAGATGTTACCCAGACTTGCTACTGTTATTTTTCCATTCATTCACTCATTCATTCATTTATTCATTCTTCTCATGAGCTACTAATATGTGCCTGTCCAAACACTAAGGCCCTAGGAATGAATAAGATGGATGAGTAAGGCCTAATTCTGTCCTGCAGAGGCTTGCAGCCCAGAGGGAAAGGCATACAATAAAGTATAGGATATCCTCTGGTGGGTCCTAGCATAGCAGAGCTTTCCCAGAAGCAGGTGTAGTAAATGCTGCTCTGAGTGGGAATGATTTTGCAAGGAGATGACGATTGAAAAGTGTCAAGAGAAGTTCACCAGGTGGATATATTGGAGAGAGAGATTATTTCTGGTAGAGGGATTTGGGTGATAAAAGTCAAATTAGCCAGAAGCAGCTGAGGATTTTGAGGAATCTGCAGGTTTGCCATCTAGATATAGGTTTCTAATAAAGTTCCTTGATCATTCTATCCAACATAACTCATTTCAATGCTTGCTTTTTGATTTACATCTAGGGCTCTGTCCAGGTTTCTGGCATCCTCCATGATAATGAGTGTGAATGGATGAAAACTAATATGAGAAAGCCAGGTTTGTCCAGGAGGAGTTTCAAGTCTAGGAAAGGTAAAAGCATGCAGATAGCCTGTCCAAGGCATGCAGTGGTTAGTGCATTAGAGAGGCACAAGGAGATAATTGTAGGAAACAGAGGAGATACCACATGCTGGATAAACAGTCCAAGAAGGCTTCCTGGAGAAGGTTAAATTAGAATTGGGCCTTCAAGGATGGAAGACAAAAGACATCCTCCTTTGCATGAACAAAGATGTGGGAATTCCCTAGGCTAGTGAGATTATTTCTACTATCAAACGTCAACCTAACTTCCAAAACGTTAGTTTACAAACCAGGTTCTGTACCAGAATCCCTTGTTGAGGGCAGGGAGGAATTACATAGAAATTTCTGGGACTGACTCCTAGAAATTCAGATTTCAACTGGAATGCACATTTTAGTGAACTCCTCAGAGGACGCTGATACCCAGAACACAGATGGGATTCCATCTGATGGCGGCAGGAGGGAGGGGAGGACTGACTCTGGGTGTACACAGACATGGGTTCAAATCACAAGTTTGCCTCTTATTTGCTCTGTCACTTAAGGCAATATGCTTAGTTCCCTTCAGCCTCACATTACTTGTTTCCAGGAGGTGATAATAACAGCCCAGAAGGGTAGTTGTGAAAATAAATGAAATGACATTTGTCACAGTGCTAGCATAACTTCTGGCTAATAGTGGGTAGGGGATAAATCTGAGTTTTCTTCCTCTCCTCTATTCAGTAAAAATGGCATATATCTTCTGGGGTGGTCAAAATGCCCAAGAGGCATAATTCTTGGCTCCAAGAAAACACTGGTCACAGACAGGCGGGCATTTGCTATTCTCGAATAAACTGTTAGACACAAGGGAGTCTCCTGGACCTCAGCATCTCTTTCTTGTCTTAGACAATGCCTAGCATTCTCCAGCTATGCCCTTTAAACCTGGGCATTAAACAGTTTTTGTGTCCAGTGAATACACAAACACCCCTAAGGAATGTTAGTGGATTAAGCCACTATGAACTCACACCTTAGGGTAAGTGAAGTACTCGCTAAATGCTAACCTGATAGAGGAGTGTCAGCTCTCCAAGCCTGCAAAGTGATAATCAGGTCTAGTGGTTATAAAATTCTGCTTCATGAAGCTCTAGAGGTGAGCACACAATATTTGGTTGTGCTCTGGACAACTCTAGGGGGAGCCAGCCTCATAGTCTACAACATGCACTGTAGCTCCTAAGGCTCTGGCCAGAGCAACCTCCCAGATAGGACAGTCTTGAAGAAATCAAGCCTCCGTTCACAGGTGGAGCCTTAGGCCTGCCTCCAGGGAAGCTCAATGCTTCTGCTAAGCAAAGGTATCAGGAACGAAGGCATTTTAGGATTGCCTGTCATTCAGGCAGGCTACGGCTAATGGAGGCCTGCCTAGGCCAGAACCCGGGCCTGGGACCATGCATTTGCTCATCAAGGCCAGGAAGAGGCTTTGAAGAATCCACTTCCCCTTTTCCCTGCTGAATTATAAGAAATGGAGAGAGAGGAGCACTCGCAGCCAGGAAGGCAGGCCAAGGCAGCCCTTGAAGGAAAAGGAAAGTGAGATGAGGGTGTGGGTGGGTGGGGCGGGACATCCCTCCCTCCGCCTCGTCCTCCTCTGAGCTTCCTGCTGGGGGCACCTCTCAAAGTCTCTTGGGGAGCCTGGGCCTGTTCTCTGGCAGGGGCCTGAGCCGGGCCTGCGGTCAGCCTTCCAGACTCAGGGCACCTCCAGGCCTGCCTGTGGGTCTGGTTCCCTCACCTCAGGGCTCTCCTGGGAAAGCAGAGACAGGCGGGCCCGCCTGGAGCACTTTCGGGCAGCAATGACTTCAGTACTTGTCCCCAAAATAAATGCACCACAGACAAGACAATGTGGTCAGGGGCTGAAGAGTTACTGTAAATACCAGCCCGGGCTTCCTATTTCTGTTCCTGTGACTCCCAGGGGGGCAGGCGCTGGCCAGCCCGTTCCCAGTGCACTCTGTTCTTACTGCCACATCCAAGGAAAAGCTTTGGCCTGGAATTCCTCATCCAACTGTCCCTGGGACCCCTTTTTGGGTTTGCAGAAGGGACCTTACTCTCACCCCCAAGCAGGGCTTGGACTGAATCTGGCTTTCCGCAAGAAAGAGATGCAAACACTAAGTGTTGGCACTGTGCCAACTACTCACATGTTTTTGGCCTCACACCAAGCCCCAAATTTTGGAGAATCAAAACAAGTAACATCTTATCCTTAAGAGCACTGTCTTAACCCATGTATACCTAGTATTCCGTTATTGGAACACTAAGCTTGTGGGAGTTATTTATATCCTACTCCTCAAGGTCATCGCCAAGGTCCAATTTTTCACAGAAAAAATTTGCAACCTCCATCATCAGTGGGTTAAAGGCTTTACATGGTTTAGTACATATGGTCCTTACCATAGTCACAGGATGTAGGTATGTCTATACCCATTTTATAGATGAGAAAATAAAAGAAAGAACACAAGGTGCTTGCCCAAGGACACCCCATCGGTAAGCTAGGAGTCAAACCCAAGCAGCCTGACCCCAGACCTGTATTTGTAGCTGATAGGCTGCACAGGGCAATGGTGTCAATCACCTTCTGCAGATGAAGGGAACAATGTGCAAGGAAGGGTTCAAGGTCAATTGGCTAACAAGTTAGGGGGCAGATTTGAATCCAGGCTTGGTGGGCTCCAAAGGTCCTCCCACTGCACCGGGGCACCTTCTAGGGGCAGGACAGCATCACATCATTGGAACATTTGTTCTGACCTCTTTCCAGCTTCTGGGCAGCTGACACTCTGGCTTGTAGCTACCTCCGAGGGTCAGTGCTTAACAAGGGTTGAATCAACATTCATACACACCCGCACGGAGGCTTCTAATTTGAGTAAGTTTGCTGTTTCCAAGGACAGATTGTCCCTGCCTTTGGGAGGCTGCTCTGGTTGTGGTGTTTCTTGCCTTTCAATTATTGAGTGCTCTCAGGTATATCTCCCTCAAAGTCTTCTCACTCTTGAAGAGGCATGCTACATTTGTGAACTGATCCCTGCCAGGAAATCTCACAGCAGTCTCAGAAGGTGTCTGGTCAACCTAGGAAATGGGCACATAGCTCATCCTATTCAGCACCTCTGCTGTAGAAGGGAAAACTATGGAAGCCAGGCATTTTCCTCCTAAAGGGAACTAGTTATATAGGCTTGCATGTAGAGAAAGAAGAGAAAGTGGACTGAGTCGACCACATGGAACAAAATTTAAATGCTGTGTCATTTCTTTCAAGCAGATCTGCTGAGGCCAAGTGGAGCCATAATACCTTCCTGTTCACCCAAGGTATCTGATAAGATATTAGCATTGGGTGATAGTATACTGCTTTCTGCATCTAATAGAATTGTGACATCTCATCTGGTTTACCTCCTTGCTTTTGCTAATAAGAAGCTCATAACTTAAATTTATACTCAATTGTTATAACTCTTCTCAAAAAGAAGTTATTGGAATACTTCTATTCCCCTTCCGCATACGGGCTCTTGTGTTTTGTTTAGGATAGGTCAAAAATTTGTTCATTTTATGTGAACTCATTTATCATAAGTCACCTGGCATTCAGAGTCTAATAAAATAAATTTTATAAGTACATTTTGTGACTAGTATGTGCCAAGTACCATACAGTTTAATTTCATTCACTACCCATTTGTTGTTTGCTTGTTTATTTCTCAAATATTTGTTGAGCACCTTGCATATGCCAAGGTGCCTGTCTTAGATTGCTTGCGTTGCTATAAAGGAATACCTGAGGCTGAGTAATTTATGAAGAAAGCAGATTTATTTGGCTCATAGTTCTACATGCTGTACCAGGAGCCTGGTATCGGCATCTACTTCTGGTGAGGGCTTCAGGGAGCTTCCACTCATGGTGGAAGGTGAAAAGGAGCAGGTGTTACGTGGTGAGAGAGGAGAGAGAGGTGCCTGGCTCTTTCAAAAATCAGTTCTCATGAACACTCATAGAGCAAGAACTCACTCATAATCTCCAGGAAGGCACCAAGCTCTTCATGAGGGATCCGAGGCCATGACCCAGACACCTCCCACCAGGCCCTGCCTCCAACACTGGGAATCATATTGCAACATGAGATTTGGAGGGGACAAATATCCATACTGTATCAGTGTCATTTTTGGTACTGGGGACACTCTGGTGGGCTAGTCAGGCAAGGTCCCTACTGTCCTGGGGCTCACCATATAGAGGCGAAGTCAGACATTAAACAAAAAGTACACATGTGTAAACACACAATCCACACATGCACTCCACATGCACTCCACACACTACATACACCACACGCACACACTCACATACACACACTCACATAATGGGCCAGCTAGTGTTACGTGCTATGAGAAAAAATTAATAGAGTAAGAAGTAAGAGGATGTCTGGGTGGTGGGGCAGGGAGGCGAGACCCTGCTGTTTTGCATGGGTTACCAGGGGAACCCTCTTGGTTGAGCTGACCTGTGAGCAGAGACCCAACCAAGCAAATTACAGTCATGTGATAACCGGGGAAATGCAGGCAGTTCCTATGAGCTTTACAACAATCGGGGGGGGCATTAATGGAATCAATGGCTTTTAAAAAATTAATTTTCTTAATAGAGAGGGAGTCTGAGGCTCAGAGATTTAAAATACTTTGAAGCTGAATCAGGCTTCTATCCCAGGCCCTATGTCGTTTCCCTCAGAGTGCAGCACGAAGATGTGTGTGAAGGGTTTGGGGTCAGACCCACCTAACTTTGCATTTCACTTCCTCCATCTCACCAGCTCAAGGCACCAGAGCGAACTTGAGCAAGTTGTAACCTCTCTGTGTTTACTAATCTTGTTTACTAATCTGTAAAATGGGGATAAAAATAGTCCCTACCTCACTGGATTGTCATGAGGATGAAATGGTTGGCTTAGTATGTGGCCAGAGGTTGGGGCCCATTGATGTAAGCCATTATTCTTATACATGTTGTCTGTCTTCCTTCGAAGGAGACAGGCTGCAGACTTCCAAGTCACTCTGGCTTATATGTAATGCCCTGCTCTCCTTCGTCTCTTTCACAGGCTCGAGGAGACTTTTCCTGCCGCAGCACAGGCTGTTCTTGCATGCTGAGACAAGCAGCCTCAGGGTGCAGGGTGGAATTGCTACACCATCTCCCTTGGGTGTCTGTTATCAGGGATTGATGGCAGACCCAGCCTAGAGCATTTGGAGGTGGTCTGAGTGGGGTATGGGGTGAGGGAGTTTCCCAAAGAGCCAAAGAGTGACTTGCCCTTCCTGAAAACTGTGCCATAGAAAACCTAAGTTTTGCCTTCCATCCGACAGCAACTTCCTTTAAAAGCATCAAGGAAGGGAAACACACAGAGGAGGCGGAGCCAGTTGGAGCTACAGCTTAGGCCCTGAACTGGGATGCTGGTCCCCTGGGATCCTGTCTGGATTTACAGAGGCTGTTTTTTTGATCAAAATAGAGGCCTTAATGGCTTCCTGTTTAGACGTTATTGCTTTACCATGAGACCCATGGGAGATAGTGTAGCAATTCTACCCTGCACCCTGAGGTGGAAGAGATGAGGACACCAGAGTATTACCTTCTGAGGGTTGGCTGCATCCTGCCCTGCCTAGTGCTTCTCTGACAACCACAGCTACTCTCTCCAGGCTCTTCCCTCCCCTTTAAACTGAGGGGAGGTAATGGCTCCTCTGTGTTGCCAGCCCCCGGATGCTGCACCAACTCTTCTGGGTCTCCTTAACCCTGCTCACACCCTTGTAAATGCTCCCTATAATAAACTCTCCTCGGTTATCCCCGTTCAGGGCACCATCTGTTTCCTTCCAGGACGAGCACTCATATAAGTCGACAATGCATCTGCATTCTAGAAAATAATTCAGTGTTCCAGACAAGAATATTGTTGATTTTTGAAGAAATTTCCCATACCTACACTAAAGGAACACCAAATTTATTACTGTATCAGTGAGGTGAGTTAACATAAAACAATAAGTTGACTACTAAGAAATGTAAATGGCTAATAAACTGAAAAATCAGCTCAACTGTAATGAAATAAGTCACAAATAAATAAAAAAAGAGTTCTAATTTTTACCTTCTCAAACCCTGTTGTGGAGATGCTAAGTGGGTTCCTTAGGGAAATGCATCAAGAGCCTTAAACATTTTTATTCTTATGAGTCAAACAACTCTTTTGTGAAGTGTTCACTTAGGGAAGTACTCAGAGATGTAAAGATCTATGGACAAAGATGTACATCTCAGGGTTGTTCAATAGTGACGAATTGGGAACAATGTACATGTGCTACAGAGGAAGGTTGGCTTAAGAAACCATGCTCCATGTAGAAGTAAAGTGGTTAAGCACATAGTCTCTGGCATCAAACCATCTGGTTACACATTGTGCCATGGTGTGTGTCATCTAACCCTCGCCATGGAAGCTGTGCTTGGCAGGAGACACCTAGGAAGTGCTCAATGAACATGAAATTTATAGATAAAAAGTTATTTTCTAGGAAGGCCCCTCTACAGCCATTAGGTGGATGCTTCTGAAGCATATTTAATGATATGTAAAATTATTTGTGGCATAACATAAAATAAGGATAAATAAAAGAATAATTTAGAATTTAGATATAGAATAATCCTCATTATTTCAGCATGAAGGTATGCTAAAATGATATGAGCCTTTAGATCTAGATGGTATGATTACTGTTGATTTTGATTTTCTTTAGTTTTCAAATTATTTAAGATTGATTATTAACCTACTCCTTTTCCTCTTTCTCTCTCTTACTATGGAGACACAGATGACACCATAATAAGACAAAACGAAGTGGTCTACAATCCCATTTCCCAGATATCTTTTTGACACATACACATGCACACACACACACACACACACAATTTAAAACAGCTCAAAAACAAAATCCAAAATCTTCCTTCTCACCTACAATCTTCCCAGATGAAACCATTGGTAATAAATCCTTTGATTCATTGCAGAAGAAAGGATGTGCACATACCAGCAGATCCAAGTTCTTTTCAAATAAGCTTGTATTGATTTTATAATCAGAAAATTGTAGCATGTACACATTTAAAATGTGGGCATTTTTATTGTCAATCTCTTGAGGAACAGGCTTGGGTCAAATGGCCTGTCCTTGTCCCATTGGGGGAGGATCAGGAGCATAGGCACTACCTGTGGGGGAAGGGGGACAGAATCGGTTTTGTGGTCATTGGCCTGGGATGGGGAGGGGCTCTAAAATGCACACCTCTTGTTGGTCCTTGGTTTCCTCATCATTGGAATGGGACAGATCTTGAACACTGCACACCTTACTTACTTTGGGACAATAACCAGCATTAAGACACTAATGTTGATCCCCGAGATCAAGTATTGCTGGTCTCTGCTGGGCCTCCAGGAGCATTGCTACGAGCCATGTTTCTATGTCCTTGAAAACATCCGTCTTCAGTTTTTCCAAGGACCTCAACTCTCTTGATTTATCCAGTTCCCCAAACCCCCACCATCTGGATCCAGCTTCCGCACCCTTCCTCGGAACCAAACTGAGCACATTTTGTTTTCTTTTGCTCTTCCCTGTCTTCTCTAGTTCTACCCTAACTTCCCTAGAATTTAGGTCATTGATTGCACAAAAAAACAAAACAAAAAAAAGACAAAAAAAAAAAAAACCCAAAAAAAACAGGGAACCATGGGGTTGAACACTCATATTGGGCAATGCATATAAGGTTCATAAAATTAACTGGAAGCTGTCTCTTGATGCAGTTCCCTACTCATTGAACTCATGTGACTTGAATAAATCACTAAGACTCTTGATGTTCTGTTTTGTTCTTTGTGCAAAAAGAGAACACTCTATTGTCTTTGGTTCACAGTGGTCAACTCTAGAGAGTCTTCCATCTCCTGAGTACAGGGGAGAGGCATAATGGGCAGTCCACAGCAGCACTGAATCCAGGAGTCCCTGACTCATGGGAAGGGTTGAGGAATTTCTCAGGACCTGGGGTTAAATGGCAGCAGCAGTCTGTCCCATGGCCTCATTTTGGACGCAATGCCAAGCTTTCATCCACAAACTCACAAGTTCATGCTTTTATTTAGAGTGTGGGCATAGCACGGATTCAGGGTCAGAAAGGTCGAGTTGGATCTTTCTTGCTCTTTATTTACCTGCTAAATGACCTTATAAAGGTCCTCATGTTGTCAAGTCTCAGTGTATTCTTCTGTTACATGGGTCTAATCTTCCTTTCTTCTTTAGACAGCTGTTGTGACAGTAAAGTGAGACCCTTGTAGCAAAAGCACTTTTCGGACTCCATGATGTTAGGAAACTGCAAAACACCTTCTTCTGAGTCCAGAGACTGGAAAATGAACTCTTGTGTGGTGAGAATGAAAAGATCCCTTTCTTTTATTTATTTAGCACACATGAAACATGTATATGTATTCATTATACGCCAGGGACTCTTCTAAGTACTTGACAAATATTCACATATTTACATTCTCCTAATCACACGATGATAAATATACAACTGTTGTCCCTGTTTTCCAGATGAGAAAACTGTGGCACAGAAAAGTTAAGTAACTTGCCTAAAGCCACATAGCTAGTAAGTAGCAGAGCCAGGATTCAAACCTAGGCGCTATGGCTATAGAGCCCATGCTCTTCACCATTACATCATGTTAACTTCTTTGCTTGGGATGTTTGGTAGAGCAAAGATAACTTGAGAAGTACAACAGACTGATAGTGAATCTTAGTCCTGCCATTTAGCTGTGTGGCCTTGGGAAGGTTAATTAAATTCTCTGAGCCCTTACTCCCTTATCTATCAAACGAGAATACAAATGTCCATATCAGACAAGTTTTGCAAAGGTTAAATTGAGGCACATTGTCTGGCACAGGCACAATGAGGTGCACAGGTAATGTGAGTTGGATTTGTAGGCAGGGCCTTACCTGAACTCGGCCTTAGCCATTTACTTGATTATGGTTGATTCGGACTTTTCCATGCTCTGCCCACCAGCCTGCTGGGTAACCACATACTTCAGAGTGTGAAGGACCCTGCCCATACCAACTCTAACACTCTCAGGGTGTCTGCCTTGCAGATTGGGGTAGGGAAGCTCTTGTTCACATGCCTGGGCTTGTCTAACAATTACAATTTTTCAGGCCCAGGGTGTCAGCTCCCAGGCTCCTGTTTCCTTTGGGCTCCAAAGAGCAAACAGGGCCCTGCACTTCTCTGTCCACCTCCCCTTCCAAAAACTTACTGGTTAATTTTAGGGTTGGGGAGAGGCTCTGACGAGGGCCTGCCCACGTGGGGTTAAGGTTACCAGTGGCCTCTGCCTCTGGTCAGGCTCGCTGGGAACAGCCGCAGTCACTTCCCGAAGCTCAGTGGGGGCAGGAGCTCGGCCAGGGCAGTGGGCAGTGGTTGGGCACAACATTTCCAAGATGTTGGGAGCCCTGCCTCAGCAGACCAGACCCACAGCCCACATTTTTGCAAAAGAGACACTGTCTTTTATCAGGCATAGCCTGATGCAGTTATATTTTTCATATCATTTTAACTCTAGAAATGGCCCAGCATTTACTACTGCAAAAACTTAATCATGTCTGCCTTACCTGAGGCCCCTTTAAAAGATAAATGCTGACAGATTATCTCAATAATAAGGAAGAAGTCTAGTCACAGTTCTTTACTCTCCATTAAAGGTCTCGCAAACCACGTATTGATTTTTTTAAAGAAAAGAAATTGGAAGAAGCATGTACCAATTAAGAATAAAACTAACAATTTATTACCCTTAGATCTTTAAGGCAAATAGGGAGTAGAAAAACACTTGCTTTTTTTCCTTCCCTCTATTGAGACATAATAATTAGGTAACTATGTAAATAACCTTGTATTAAAACCTGAGACAGCCTGCGGTTACTCAGGCTTCTGTACTGGATCATAAAGATCAGTTACTGCTCCTGGGTTCTCTGAGTTTTGCAAAGCTTTTCTCCCTTTTCTGAAGGGCTCTTAGAAAAATTGTTTCCTTCCCTTTTCTTTTGCTTTGAGCAGGCTGATCATAAGCTCATCTTCTTACTTGTTTGTAAGTTTACTGAATGAGCTCTTGGAGTTTCTTGTTTGTTTCTGTATTCCACAAGCTTTGATTGAGCACAAACTATGTGTTTGTGTTGCTCTTTATATTAGATGATGAACACTGTTACAGAGAAACATTGAGCAGGCAAAGAGGACATTGAGAATTTCCAGGACGGTAACACTAAGATGACGACAAATTTTTCATTGAAGTAGAAACTAAAAACAAGGAAAATATTTTAGAACTGATCTGTCATGTACATGTCTGGCCAGGCCACCCCATCTTTTTTGTGTGTGCAATGATTCTCTGCCGGATAAATATTTGTTAAATATGTAAATAAATGTCTCCCTCCATCTGAAAAGTAAGCACCACCAGGGTAGGCATTTTATGTTTTTTACTGATGTATCCCACACGCTGAGAACTATACCTGACACATATCAGGCCCTCCATTAATATATGTTGAATAAACAAAGAGTTGTCCTCAGTTCATGGATTTGTCTGGCATTCAAAAAGTTTTTTCTAATACCTACTTTAAGTCAGGAATTGGCCTAGGTGCTAGGAACACAAACACGATTGGCCTGGGGCTGCCTTTTTTGATCTTTCAGACAAGGGGAGGAGAGTGAGTTGATCAAGCTAACATAATACTATGTTGTTAAGTGTTAAGCTAGGAGGATGTTGAGATACTCTCTTGCAGAATATGGTAGGATACTTCAGCAAAACCTGTGGAGTGAAAGAATCGTGCTTAGGTAAAAAAAGGATTGAGATGGAGTGAGCAATTGAGTTCCAGGAACTAGAAGAGGAGGTCTAATGATTGAAAGTGACAGAAAACAAGGAGCCAGAGAAATGGAGGCTGCTGCTAGGCCTCGGGTGAGAAGCAGGGAGTGGTGAGATGAGGCTGGAAGAACAAGCAGAGGCCGAATTGTGCAGAGCCTCACATGGGGTTCAGATTTAATTTAAAGACAGCATGAAGCCATTGATGGGTTGCCAGGGGACCAGGGAGGTCAAATTTCTGTTTTGGAAAAATCCCTCTGGTTTCTAGGTATAGGATGGATTTAAAGGAGAGAGCCCAGGCCAAGAGGCAGCTAAGAGCTTCTCCTACAACCCAGGGGAGATGTGGTGGAGACCTGGATGAGAGTGGACAGGCTGTGGGCTGGAAGAACCAGAGAGATTTATGAGAGAAAGACTAACGGGTTGGGGGTTAGAGAGAGGTCAGAGTAGTGGGCGACTCTGAGGTTTCTGGTTTGGTCAACTGGGAAGATAGTTTGAAATAGTTCAGGTGCAGTGTGGGAGAGAAAATTGACATGGAGTCCATATGTATGTCTTGGGAGACCGAGAGGTTTATGGCTCCACTGAAATAATTCTTCAGTTTACTCTGAAGACACATGAGTGAGAAGGAGGAAAAAATGCAATTTAAAAAGTTGTGTTGACATGAATGCACATCCACACCAGATATCTGGAGACAAAGGGCATGGATGGATTGATGTCCTGCATTGTGCAAACTGGTGTCTACTTTGTTCAAATTCAAGAATTTTATCCAAATTTCTATATTACCCTGGAAGAATAATTTAAAACACAGTTGGACCAGGTGCAGTGGCACACGTCTGTAATTCCAGCACTTTGGGATTGCGAGGTGGAAGAATTGCTTGAGCCCAGCAGTTCAAGAGCAGCCTGGGCAACCCCAGGCTTTTGATAGTGAGACCCCATCTCTCTCTCAAAAAACATAAAACTCTCTATATCCATAAGTTTCACATCTGTGGATTCAACCAACTGTGGATCAAAAATATTGAAAACAAATTTAAAAAAGGATGGTTGCATCTGTACTAAACATGTGTAGACATTTTTCCTTCTTATTATTCTCCAAACAATACAGTATAACAACTATTTAGATAGCATTTACCTTGTATTAGGTATAAGTAATCTAGAGAGGATTTAAAGTATATGGGAAGATGTGCATAGGTTCTATGCAAATACTATACCATTTTATATTAGAGACTTGAGCATCTGCAGATTTTGGTTTCCACAGGGTGTTCTGGAACCAATCCCCTGAGGATACTGAGGGACAACTGTATTGTCTTGGATGGTCTCTGATGCTGTAGTATCAGTCCTCTTTCCGTGGCTGAGAGTGGGGTGGGTGAGAAAGGAATTGGGCTTACTGTATTTTTCAGCACACTGAACCTTTCCTTGCTTTTTGAATCATTTCCTTTTACTCTAATAATTTTGGAAGTATAATATTATGAAGTACAATATCAATATTGCACAAGGAATAACCCCACACTTAGAATTCATTCATTCATCCATCCATCTATCTGACCACTCACCAGTAATCTTTCCTTCCTTCCTTCCTTCCTTCCTTCCTTCCTTCCTTCCTTCCTTCCTTCCTTCCTTCCTTCCTTCCTTCTCTCCTTCCTTCCTTCCTTCATCCTTTCTTCCTTCCTTCCTTCCTTCCTTCCTTCCTTCCTTCCTTCCTTCCTTCCTTCCTTCCTTCCTTCCTTCCTTCCTTCTTCCCTCCCTATCTCTCTCCCTCCCTTTTTTTTTGACAGTCTTGCTCTGTCACCCAGGCTGGAGTGCAGTGGCATGATCTTGGCTCATTGCAACCTCTGCCTCCTGGGTTCAAAGGATTTTCATGCCTCAGCCTCCCAAGTAGCTAGGATTACAGGCACCCACCACCACACCCAGCTAATTTTTGAATTTCAGAGAGATGAGGTTTCACCATGTTGGCCAGGTTGGTCTTGAACTCCTGGCCTCAAGTGATCCATCTACCTTGGCCTTCCAAAGCGCTGAGATTACAGGCATGAGCCACTGCTCCTTGCCCGAGTTTTTGATCTGTAGCTTTGAAGACTTGGCTCCAGAACTTCCCTTTGCATCCCTGCAATGTCTGGTCCATGCCTGTTTATTCCTTCCTTCTACTCCTCATCCTATGTCCCTGTTGCTCTGAACCCAGAAAACTTGGAGGCCCAACATTCCCAAAGTGCAGAGAGGGCTGCCACAGCTCCCTTGACCCACAAGATCATCGAGCTGATGCAGCAGGAGTTTATTTCACTTGACTTCAATTTAACTGTCCTGAGCCCCTTCTTTATATTGCCAAGAGATTTCCTAACAGATATGTAACCCGGCGATTCAGGCAATTATTCACGTATTCCCCCACATCATTAGTTTTATGGAACACTGCCAGGGGGCATATTTTTCTTCCCTAGGACTCCTGAGAATAAAGGAAATAGAACTCTTACCATGAAGTCATATTAAGGAGTTTATTTCTCAGAAAATACCCCATAGCACTTTTATAAAATCTTGTGCAGATAGACTGCATTTAGGAAAAGTATTATTTTTACCTCACCTGCTGCCATGAGAATTGCTGTCCAGGCCTCCTGCCTTCCAGGACATGGCTTTTTAAAAAATTCTGGGGTATCTACTGACCACAAAGGGGTGCCCATTGTTAGTGTAAGGAAGACATGGTTTAGGCTGGATCTTGTTGGGCTTGGCTAGGGTGATATAATTTAATCATCCAAACCAGGATGTACTTTTGGACAGAAGGGTGCTATTATTAATTATATTGGCATAACAGGTATAAATTAGGGCCATCCAGGCCCATTGGGACATATGATTACCCTAGACTTTGTGCTCTACTCCTCCCACTTATTGAAACTTTTCTCCATCGGCTTGATCGATAAAGTAAAAACCCAAAGCATTCAGCCAAACTGGGCAAAATATTAGCATTATAACCTAGAGTGATAGTTTTCTTTACTGACCTGGAGAACCAGGGATGATGGGGTGTATCAGCTAGCTCTTGTTACAATAATGCTGCACAAGGAATCACACCAAAACCCAGTGTCCTGAAGCAGCGTTTATTCTCACTTATCTACCTGCAGGTCAGTTGACATAGGCTGGACTTGAATCCATGCTACAGGTTGGGTCCAATTCTGCCTCACACATCTCTCCTTCTCCACAGATCAGTGGGCCAGTTTATGCGGGCTCTTCCCATGGAAATGGCAGAAGCAGAGCAGAAGCTTGTGAGTGGAGACATGTGATGTCTTCTAATACCCAGGCTTGAATCCAGCACACAGTTCACATAGTTACTTCTACCCACATTACTTTGGCCAAAGCAAATCCTATGAACAAACTCATGTCTCCACTCATAAGCTTCTGCTCTCCTACCATTTCCATGGGAAGAGCCTGCATGGAACTGGCCCACTGATCTGTGGAGACGGAGAGATGTGTGAGGCAGAGGTGGACCCAACCTGTAGCATGGATTAAAGCCCAGACTATGTCAACTGACCTGCAGGTAAATATACCCCTCCTTTGGTGGGGAGTATGCCAAAGGCACAGGCAGAAGATAAAGGTACAGGAAGACATAAAGAATAGGAACAATAATACAATCTATTACAGGGAACATTCGGCAAAAGGGGGTTTGCTTTTTCTCTCCCCAGGCCTCTAGTACTAGGATGGCTGAGTTTCTTCAACCTGTTGCATGCGAAGAAAGTGAAGCAAAGAGAACACAGGCCCTTTTGGTCTGCAAAAGGCAGGTAGCTGCCCTCATGACCTGACCACATAGAGGATGCCAAAAAGTGGGCTCCCTCTGAGAATAGCAATGTCCAAAAGAATAGAGGACAGAGAGATTGAGAGGAAACCTCATGATTCAGAATGGCAACTCTGCCCTGGCAAATATGGTGCAGTGAATGGAAAACTCTTTTCACTCACCAGTCAGACCAATCATTTCTCCTCTCACAGAATGGAAGGAGTGAGGGAATGAAGAGAGGAATAGCAAGTGCTCAGACACAAACTGCTCCTTTCTGAGGCGGGGAAGCAGAAACCCTTTATCTATGAGGATCAAAGGAAAAACGTCCCCAAATCACAGGCATTTCTGCGGGATGTGCATGGTCCCACAGAGCCCCACCAGGTGGATATTTTCCATGTTGTGAGTACCGGCCTTCCCATTCCTTTGTTTCTATAGTTCCTTTTGGACAAGTGCTGCTGTGAGCTTTGTGCCCTGTGTCATTCAATCACTTTCTACTCTGCCCCCCTCCCCACCCCGCCACAGTGTCAGGCCCTGAGCCTTTGCCTACCTGCTGTCAGAGCCCTGTGTGGCTTCCTCTCAGGTAGGTGATAATGGGGAGTGAGAGCTTTTAATCAGACAAATGAATCATGCTGATTATCCCTAGTTCAATCATGGATTACCCCTGCCAGGGAATCTCCTGTCTAGTGTTTAAGCCAATTAAAGGGCTCTGGGGGAGTCCTTGGCTGGGGGTTCAGGATCAGAGGAGGGCAGGCTAAGGGGAGGCACTGGGGAAGGGGATTTCAGGGCAAAACACATCTCACCCTGCAGATGATGAGGGGTTCTTCCCATGTTCAAGGGTGACTGAGACCTTGGTGTGTGGGGTTAATCACACAGATGGATTGCTCAAAGTCCACAGAGCAACCGAAGGGATAACCCATGGTCACCAGACCTTGTAAATTCACCATTATCTTCTCCCCTGCTTTTTTTTTTTTTGAGATGGAGTCTTGCTCTGTTGCCAGGCTGGAGTGCAATGGCGCAATCTCGGCTCACTTGCAACCTCCGCCTCCTGGGTTCAAGCGATCCTCCTCCCTCAGCCTCCTGAGTAGTTGGGATTACAGGCGCCCGCCACCACAGCCAGCTAATTTTTGTATTTTTAGTAGAGATGGGGTTTCACCGTATTAGCCAGGATGGTCTCGATCTCCTGACCTCGTGATCTGCCCACCTTGGCCTCCCAAAGTGCTGGGATTACAGGTGTGAGCCACCGTACCTGGCCCTCCAGTCCCATCTTTTCTAACTTGAGCTCCTGCAATAACTTCCTAGCTGGTCTGCCTACTCCACTCTCTAACTTCTCTATAGGGCAGCTAGAGTTGTCTTTTCTATGTTTTTATTATTTACATAATTAGGAAAAAACATTTAAAAATATAGAAAAGTGCAGAGATATTATAGCTAATATCCATATATTTGCTACTCCAAATCAACAGATGCTTTTCCTCTATTCTTTCTATTATCTATCTATCATCTATCTATCTATCTATCTATCTATCTATCTATCTATCATCTATCGTCTATCTATCTATCTATCTATCTAATCTATCTTTATTGAAATAACACCCATATGGAAAAGTACATATATCTTAATGTACATCTGTTGAATGTTCACAAAGTGAACAGTCATATAACTGTACCACAAAAAGAAAAGGAACATTACCCGCCTCTCCTTTTGCCCATTTCTTGTTATTCCCCCACCCTACCTGATCACAGGTAACCACTATCCTGAGTCCAATAGCATAGATTAGTTTGCCTATTTGTGAACTTTACAAAAATACAGTCATACAATGTGTGTTTTTTTTGTGTTGTGTTTATTTTGAACCTTCTTTTTAAGAAAGACATTTTTAAAGATAAACGGGAAGTCACCTGCATTCTAATTCTTCTAATTCTTTTTCCTTCCCCAAAGGCAACCAGAATCATAAATGTGATAACATATTTAGTTGATGTCTTTATATGTTTACATATTTATATAGCATTACTTTGGATGTGTTTTGTTTGTATTCAAATAAATGGTTTTGCAATATATGTTGGTTCTACCACTTGCTTATTTCACAGAATGGGCTTTCTAAACCACACAATGGGTTATGTGACTCTCTTTCCTTTTTAAACACCCCCACCCATGCCTTTCCAGACTGTGGGTTCCTGGAAACAGGAGCAATGTTTTGATACTTCTTCTTATTCTGTGAGTCCAACTCTGCGGCTCATGCTTCATAAAGATGTTTCGGGTGAATGAATGCATCAATTAACAAATGAGCAAAGTCTCTCACTTCATAAAGAACTTGAAAGTCCTGAACAAATACACCCTTCTCTACTGACCACCTTTTGGAGAAAGGTATCCTCTTTTTATCTTTTCTTTTACTTTTTTTTCTTTTTTCGTTTTGGCTGCTTTGTCTGTAAAACTGCCCAAAGACTTAAGTCCATCAGCAAGCCCAGCACAGAAATTTGACTTTATAAAATGTTCCTTCAGAAGAAGTAAATATTTCAGAACTGTGTACAATCTTTGTAGCTTTGCTCCTGATCTGTTCTTCTGGAAGAGGAGATAGTAGTATTCCTCCTAAGGTTTTTCTAACTATAAACAGAGAATTATCATAGTGATGTAAGGAGATTACAACATTAAATTCATATTTTGATAAATTGGTAAAACATCAGTCATCCTTCAAGTTAGCCAGCCCTGGGGTTTCTGTTGAATTCTGTTGGTTCTTCCAGGCTCCCCAGAGGTGAGATCATGGCCAGAGGGAGATGGGTCACTGCTGACATTCTGAAGGGACATCTCAGAGCTATGCTGGGTAAAGGAAAACTGGTCCCATCTGTCCAGCCTAACTACTGCTGATAGCACCAAGACCCAGGGCCTTATCCTCTCTCAGGACCCAGATTCATCCTTCCTATCTCCTCCCCTCCCACAGAGCGCAGCCACCACCCTCATTAAGCTAGCATAAGGGAAACATATTCATTTTAGATTTTGATTGGAATCTTGGTTATGCCACCAACTATGGATGATCTGGACAAGTTCGTGACCTCTCCAACCCTCAGTGTTCTTAAGTGTGCTGTGGGATATATTGTTACTATTTCATAGATATATTGGGAGAATTAAACTATTGAGTGGTGCAGGATGTGCAAATAATACTCAGTATTTTTCTACTTGCATATACAGGTAGACAAAAGGCTAGAAAGAAATACAGTAGATGTGTTAGTACACATACATGCATATTATATATGTTCTTGTGTCTAACTTTCTTTCTAAATATTTTATCCTAAGTATTTTCCAATCTTTTAATGAGATTGGAAGATACTTATATTGTTTTTCTTTTAATACTATATTTGTTATTATATTTGTCTTAATACTATATTGTTTTTGATAGTTGCATAATATTCTAACATCTGGTTGTACTGTAAGTACACCTAACCATTTCCACATTGTGAGCCATTATGTTTATTTTTAATTTTTCATCAAGGAGAGTTCTGAGGTCAACCCAATCTGATTTTTTTTCTTTTTAATCTTTTGCAAACAATGTGGTTTTTATTATTTTTGCTTTGCTTTGTTTTCTGCCTGGGATACTTATAAGTTATTTTTTCCTTGCTATCAAGCTGTGGGTTTCTTTTTTTTTTTAAATCAATTATGATTTGTGCAGAGTATACCATTTTGTTTTGCAATTTTAGATCTTTTATTTTCAGTTCAAGAATGTTCTAATATAGATTTGATTGGTGTTTCAGTGTCATTACTTTTTTAGAGACTTTTTAAAGGAACACTATTTTCTTTTTGTAAATTGGATCACTTTTCTCTATTCTTCATATATGCCATCTGTTTGCTCATTATTTTCAACTCCAGATTCTAAAAGATATGTTTCAAATTTATTATTTCTCTGAAACTTAGTTTTCTGCAGTATAAGTTCTGCTCTTTATTGCTTCTAATGTAAACTATAATTCTAAGAGTGTATTAATTGTTTCTCTGCCTTCTTTGATATCTCAGCAAGACTTTTCTTCACCTTAGCCTGCATTTTGCTTTTGCATTTTGTTTCATTTTTTATCTCCTTCTCTTCCTAGAAGCCATACATTCTTGCAGTTTATAGAGAACTACACACACACGTGCACACACACACACATACTCACACACTCACGTACATATATATATATATATATTTTCTTCTTTTTATAGTAAATAAATTCAGAGGCATGCATTTTTTGGCATCTTTAGGCAAAGTACAGTCCATGGACCAAATCCAACCTATTCCTTGTCTTTGTAAATGAAATTATTAGAACACAGACCCACTCATTCATTTATATATTGTCTATGGCTACATGCTTTTACACTGCAGTGTAATTACAACAGAGACTGTATAGCTTCCAAAACCCAAAATATTACTCTCTGGGCTTTCGTGAAAAACATTTGCTAACTCCTGTGCTATTTTCCTTTGTTTAATCATTGTTAAATGGAAAGACATATTTCTAAATCCATGGTCTGCCCCAGGGGACTATAGATTCTGCGGTCTCTGTAGATTTTGATAAAGTCATTTCCTCAGACTTAAGTTAGAGCAGAATCTGACCCATCAGGGTACTCACTCAGGGGAAACATAACATCCTCATAGTAGGTAGTTGACAAAAGATTTATTAAGGGATCATTTCCCAGGGTGTGGGAGGAGTTTAGGAGCTCTAAAAAGGGATAACACAGGCCGGGCGCAGTGTCTCATGCCTGTATTCCCAGCACTTTGGGAGGCCAAGGTGGGTGGATCTCCTGAGGTCAGGAGTTTGAGACCAGTCTGACCAACATGGTGAAACCCCATTTCCACTAAAAATACAAAAAATTAGTCTGGCATGGTGGTGGGCACCTGCAATCTCAGCTACTTGGGATACTGAGGCAGGAGAATTGCTCGAACCCGGGAGGCGGAGGTTGCAGCGAGCGGAGATCATGCCATTGCACTCTAGCTTGGGTAACAAAAATGAAACTTCTTGTCTCAAAAAAACAAAAAAACAAAAAACAAAAAAGGGATGATGCAGTGCCCCAAGTCGAGTCGCTTGTGAGGCATTTTTACCTACCCTCAGCCTGAAGGATCAAGAGGAGGAGGGAAATGTTACCAGAGCCCAGAGAATAGTTATATGGAAAGCTGCCTGCCAAGAGTGACAGCTTTTAACAGAGGGACATCTAAATCACAATGACCAGTAGGGAGGAAGTCAGAAACCAAAGCAACAAAGGCCTCACTTCACTCTCTGGTCCTATAGTGTCATTCTAGTGCCCTCCTATCGCTGAAGTCAACCAGAGACCAAAGAACAAGAATTCCTTCAGCCTAGGTGTGCTTCAGTGGTGTTTTGGATAAAGAAAATGTGGTACACATACACCATGGAATACTATACTGCCATAAAAAGGAACAAAATCATGCCTTTTGCAGCAACATGGATGCAGCTAGAGGCCGTTATCCTAGGCAAATTAATGCAGGAACAGAATACCAAATATACAGTATTGGCTGCATGTTCTCACTTATAAGTGGGAGCTAAACATTGAGTACACATGGACACAAAGAAGGGAACAGTAGACCCTGGGGCCTACTTGAAGGTGGAGGGTGAGAGGGGAGAGGACTGAAAAACTACCTATTGAGTATCATGCTCATTACCTAGATGACAAAATTATCTGTATGCCAAACCCCCACAACATGCAATTTACTCATGTAACAAACCCGCACATGTACCCCCTGAACTTAAAATAAAAGTTAGTTGGAAAAAAAAAAAGAACAAGAAGTCCTTTACCATATGCCATAGAGGTCTGCCTTCTGGGAGCATGGGATAGAGTAGGGGAGGATGAATAAGTGAAAGATATCTGTCACTTGGAGTTTATGTTTTCAGGCTTTTCAGGCTCTAGATCAGAGCTATCCAATAGAAGTTTCTATGACAATGGAAACATTCCCTATCTATGTTGTCCAATATGCTAGCCACTAGCTACATGTGGCTACTGAGTCCTGGAAATGTGATTATGAACTTAGGAATTGAATCTTTAATTGTATTTAATTTTAATTAATTTAAATTTAAATAGCCACATATAAGTAGTGCCTGTTATGTTGGACAGCATAGCTGTGGATGGGTTTCTATTTTCCTTCATGCATTGACTACAATGTACTTTGCTGGACTGTTGTGAGATCTTTTGTTCCCTGATTCTTTGAGTGTGAAACAGATCATTTATTTCTGGACATTCTGAGATAGTCTTCTCTCTACCCTTTGGTAGAAATAATATCTGAAACCTCACAACCTCTAAGAAGCATAGCTTCCAGGCCTCCTTTTATGACTTTGCCTAATGCCAGCATCATATCCCATCTTGGATCTCTTCCACTTCCCTCCATGTGACATTGCAGTCAGATGATAGTCTATAAACTGAAGTAGAAAACCATTCCTGTTCATCTCCCACTTATGAGTGAGAACATGCAGTGTTTGGTTTTCCATGGACACAGAAGGAAACAACACACACCAGGGCCTGTTGGGGCATGGAGGGTGAGGGGTGAGGGGAGGGAACTTAGAGGACGGGTCAATAGGTATCCAATTTTTTTTTTTTTTTTGAAATAAAGAAAAAAAAAAAGAAGACCATTCTTGGTAGTTTCAGGGAGGATGGGTTTAGGAAGCTCTTGGAGCATACCAGAGAGGAGGGTGTCTGCTTTTTTAATCAGCAAAGATCTGGAGTCTCTGCTTGTGAGCTAGGGCTCAACAGTGCCTTCCAGCCTTGATACTCTGGTTCAGATGTCAGTACTCACCATCAAGAATATTATTTTTTATCAGTTTCCTTTTATGCTATAGCTAGTAAAACTTTTGCTTATAATTTGACACTTGGTTGATTACTCTTCTTAGTTCCAAGAGTGTTCGTATATATAGTTGTCCCTTGGTATCTGTGGGGAATTGGTTTCAGGAACCCCACAGATACCAAAATCTGTGGATATTGAAGTCCCTTACATAAAATGGCATATTAGTATTTGCATATAACATAAGCCCATCCCCTAATATACTTTAAATCATCTGTAGATTACTTATAATACCTAATGTAAGGTATTATGTAAATATAATAGTTGTTATACTGTACTTTTAAATGTGTTTTATTTTTTATTGTTGTTTTTATTTTTTCCTTTTGAATATTTTTCGTCTGTGGTTGGTTGCATCTGTGGATATGAAGAGCTGACTGTATTTTGTTGGGAAGCTGGGAGAGGTCATATCAAGGATGGCTATGTGGATTCTGTTAACTCCAGAGCCTCCCCTCACCATTTCTTCTTTACAATTGTCACTGTTGCTGTTGAAAACAGATCATGATTTTGAATGTGCATAATCTCATGTCTGATGCAGAATTAATAGAAATTGCTTGATTTTCACACAGAGACATTAATTATTATTTGTTTTGCATTTGCATTCGCAGGTATCTGTGGAGGGAAATTAGCATACTTTGTTGATAGGCCATTATTAAAATGACAGTTGGGAAAATATTTGAAAAATATTGTCTTTCTTTTTTTCTGTTTTCCTCTCTGGCATTGCTGTTATTATTTTTTAAAAAATCTTGTCTGTAACTTACATTTGTTGCATGATTTTGAAATTCCAGATAAGTAATGGAGAGCATTTTGGGATGTTGGTACTTAGAACAAAATCTGCAGTGTTGGAACTGGGGCTCCCTAATGGCTTTTGCATTTGCGTGTAAACAAGCCAAACCAGTCCAGCTATTCAGAGCTGGTGAATCAGAGGCACCTGTGAAATAATAATTCATTGCTTAAACCTTTGGAGGGACACATCCAACTCATTTAGCTGGATGCTTCCTGAAGTCGGGATCTGCTTATAGTTGAGCTGAGGAGGCGAAACAAAGGAAAATTACAGTCTTCATCATTATACTAACAAAGAATCCTGAAAATGAAGCTCGACTTGACAACCAGGATTCTTGGCCTGGTGATACCCCTGAGGAGCTGAAGAAACTTGGTTGAGTCACTTTATCTTTTTATCTGTCAAAGTGGGACTCACTCCATTGTCTTGGATCAAATGGGATAAAGAAACTTGATAGCTCTGAAAAATCATATAGATTTGAGAGGTGGCTGCAGCTACAATTTCTAGTTTTGTTCTTATTCAGTCTTTTGCTGTAAGAGTAATATTTGTCACCACTTTTCATTTGTACCCATACTCCTACAGACAGACCATGTGCTGGCATGAGTGGACACTGTTAAGAGTCTTTTCTGCTCCTCTGTGTTTCCCCTGTGACCATGAGCTCTGTTAAGAAAGACAGTCTTTCTAGGAAAAGAAGAGCCTTCCTTTACATCGATATTAGGGAAAACTAATTAATTCACCAAGTTTATTGAAAATCTATGTTCATGGTTCCCATCCTTAGGGAACTCACATTCTAGTACAGTTCAGGATATGTGTATTTTCCTCAAAGTTGGGAAGATATGAATTGGTTAACTGATTGATTGGTTGACTGATTCATTCATTCAATAACCATTTGTTGGACCTCTTATATACTAGGTCCTATGCCAGGCACTGGTGATTTGAAGTGAACAGGGTAAGATACCTGTCTTTAGAGTTACCAAACTCTTCATATGCTGTGCATATGAATCCCTAAAAAACTGACACATATTCAGAGTTCAGGATACTCCCTGCTCTGGTCAGGTGTCTATGTTTAGAATCTGCATTTTGAACAATCTGGAAACACTGCTCTAGGGAATGCATATGCAGCAAGGGACACATACGCAAACACACACATGAACACAGACACACACACGTACACAAACAGACACACATACAAACACACATGCATATATACCCAACCACACAGAAACTCACAAATGCACACATCCACACAACATACACACAAACACACAATCACAACCACCTACATACACATGCACATGAACAGACTAAATCAGTGTGGGATAACCAGGAAATATTTTTCAGAGCAGGATTTCATCTGCTTAGGGGAAACAGCCTCCTTAATTCCATCTGGCTTCCTGGACCCCTCCTATATTCAGCCAAGAATTTCCTGTCCCCACTAGTGAAATTTGGACATAGATTAAAAAAAAGTTCCAATAAAGTTCCAATAAAAAATTAAGTTCACTCCTCACTATAAATATGCACATTTTATAGGAAAAACATAGATACATATTATTATAAATTATACCATAAGCTTGGTCCCCTTCACTGTAAATCTCTTTGGAAGGAAACCTGCTTTCAATTGCTTAGTATTTCACACTATTTTTTGGCATGTCACCATTTGTGTAACTGATAAATTATTTTTGGATGCAATTTTAGTAACGGCTACTTGCTACTGGCTATTTACTAAATGCTATTTACTAAAATTGAAAATTTACTCTATGGCAAGTACTATGCAAAGCACTTTCTGTGCATTATCTCATTTAATCTTTGCAGCAAATTCATAAAGTATTACTGTTTTTCCCATTTCGCAGCTGATGCAACTGAGGCTTAGATAGTGAAGTGTCTTGCCCAGGGTAGCACAGTAAACAGAGGCATTTCTTTCTATTTTTTTTTTTTTTTTGAGACGGAGTCTCACTCTGTCGCCCAGGCTGGAGTGCAGTGGCGCGATCTCGGCTCACTGCAAGCTCCGCCTCCAGGGTTCACGCCATTCTCCTGCCTCAGCCTCCCGAGTAGCTGGGACTACAGGCGCCCGCCACCACGCCTGGCTAATTTTTTTCTGTTTTTTAGTAGATACGGGGTTTCACCATGTTAGCCAGGATGATCTCGATCTCCTGACCTTGTGATCCGCCCGCCTCGGCCTCCCAAAGTGCTGGGATTACAGGCGTGAGCCACTGCGCCCGGCCAAGCAGAGGCATTTCTAATTTTCCTACTCTTAGGCATGGCAGTAAAATGCCCATCTTTGGACATAAGTCGTAGTCCCTGTGCTTGATTATTTTCTTATAATCAGATCTTGAAAGGCGAATTCTGTGTGATTCTGTGCCCCATCTTGGGCAGACCCTGCTTCCTGACATTTTCTCCTTCCTCAGTTTCCCTCATTGCCCCAAGAGCCCAGAATTTTCCAGGCTCCACAAAGGCTGTGTTCTTTCCTTCCTGCATTTCTGTGACTACCTTTCTGCTGCAGATATAGGGAGGTGAGTCTGGGATCCAGGGACCACCCCGCCCCCACTTAGCCTCTGACATCTCCTGATGTCTCTTTGGGAAGCAACATGTAAAGGCCAATAAGACCAGGTCGGGGTGACACAGTGACAAGGTGTCAGCACCTATGGCTGTATCTGGATTGTGACAGGCACCTGGGCAATCTTTCTCCATGACTCCCCTGGGTGGTGACTGACAAATAGCATCAGTCACCAGAGCAGCGGGGCATAACCAGAAGGAAATGTTAAAGGCAGCTGTGAGAAAGCCCCCAGGCCTCCTGCCACTGTGAGCCCCTGGGACACTGGCAGTAGGGAGACTTTCACAGGCAGAGGCAGTGGAAACTGGGATCGCTTTGCAGAATAAGAACCAAGTTAATGCTAAATGCTCGTCCTCCCCTCTGGGAAAGTGATGTCTCACAGGGCAGTTTGAAGATATTTGGTTCAGAGCCAACAGGCATTTACTGAGCACCAACTGCATGCCACTGCCACTGTGCCCAGGATTAGGATCTGCAGCCTCTTGTGGGACACTGGGGAGGAACAAATGAAGGAATGGAATATGGAGGCCTCTGGAGCATTTTTTAAATTGGGATCATTTGTCTTCCTGCAAGTCTCAGGCCCTCATTTGGACTTAGCTGGGGATTGTGTGGGCAGGGGAGAGGGATGGGTATTGGGGGAGGAAGTCATCATGAAATTAATTCTCTGCCTCTCCTCTCTGGAATGTCAATAATGTGCTGAGAACACTGGGGAGTATAGTTTGCTGTCTGCTCCCTTCCCAACCTGGGCTCAGAGCCTCTCAGCCTCCTGGCAGTTTTGGGGCTTCTAGGTCCCCAGTCTTGTGACATCCCACTTCTTGAATGCTACTCCCATCTTGGAGAATCCAGTTATCTTCCCTGCTTCCATCATCCTCCAGGAGGAGCCATGGTCTGCCCATTGCCAGGGTGTTCAGCATTAAGACTCTTACAGGTCATTGGATGGGATATCATCTGTTTGTGACAAAGTCCATCTGCCTGTATTCCAGATGACAACACTCTGGCCAATAAGGGAGGCCAGGAGCCCGGCCACCCTGCCCAAAGCTCACTCCAGCCACATGTTCATGCCGCCTTGTTCTAACTCCACTGCCCTCACTTTCTCTGCTGCCAGCCTCTGAACTGGCAAGGCAGCTGGGCCTTTATGTTACCATGCACTGGAATGCTCGACAACAGCCTTGAAATAGTTCCCATTTAGATTTGTCTCAAACTCATGTGACCTTATGTGTGTACACTCTCATGGCAGGAAAAGAGCCTTCGCATGCTCAAGTCAAACATTCCCATTTTATGGAAGGGTCAGCTGCAGCTCAGGTGACTTACCTGAGATCACACAGCCAGGTGGTCAGTATAGAGCCAGGAGTGTCTCATAGACCAGTGCCTTATCGAATTCACCATGAGGGCAGGCACTCCCAGCTTCGCCTGATTTTCCTGGGAGCAAGCATGGGGTTGTCGGGTTCTAGATCCACAGACATAGATGGAGGTGCTTTCCCCTATGTCTGATGCTTATAGAAACCATAGAGAAAAGTGCGTGACACATGGGGCACTCTTTATGTTGTGTGGAGGACAGTGTTCCAGTCCCAGTCTTCTGCTCCAGGCAGTTCTGAGCCGATGGCTTAGTGAGGGAGGCACTCAATAGAGAGTGAGGGGAACTCCTTGGATAGTGGGACCTACAGGACTTTGAGGACAGGGATGACAAGCTGGGGACAAAGAGGGCTGTTCTCATTCTGTTTGGTGTCTATAATTGTTTACAATTGAGATGGTGAGGGCACCTTCAAATTTACATATACTAAGTAACAGAATGAATCAATCAATATGTCTGTATCAACATATCTATATCTATCTATATAATTTTTAAGATTGTAAAAGTAATTAATATATGCTTGGAAAATGCAGAAAATAGAAAAGGAAACATGTATACTTTTTGACACACAGAGGAACATTAGTAACCTTGTAGCTACATGCCCACAGTTCTCTATATATTGTTTTACTCAGTGGAGCTCATAGAGAGTCTATCCTTTTATATCGTACTTGTTTAACTTAACAAGCACATTTCTTGTTATTGTAAGTTCTTTATCAACAATTCCCCTTTTGGATGCATAATATTTATGCATTATTATTGGGTTTTTTTGTTTTGTTTTTTTTTTTGAGATGGAATCTCGCTCTGTTGCCCAGGCTGGAGTGCAGTGGCGCCATCTCGGCTCACTGCAAGCTCCGCCTCCCGGGTTCACGCCATTCTCCTGCCTCCGCCTCCCGAGTAGCTGGGACTACAGGCGCCCGCCACCGCACCCAGCTAATTTTTGGTATTTTTTAGTAGAGATGGGGTTTCACCATGTTAGCCAAGATGGTCTCAATCTCCTGACCTCGTGATCTGCCCGCCTCGACCTCCCAAAGTGCTGGGATTACAGGCGTGAGCCATCGCGCCCAGCCTATTATTGTTTAACAATTCAATGAATATCAGACATTTTGGTTATTTCTAATTTTTTCACATGATAATGTGGTAATAAAACCCATGTTTGTACCCAGAGCTTTTATACATCAATATCTAATAATTATTATACCTCAGTAGCTATCAGAGATCATAATGCTTTTAAGTTCTTTTCAGGAGACTCCTAGAAATGAAGAACAACTTGGTCACAGGTTGATCAAGTTCCTAATATACTACCAAGTCATTTTTTAAAAGGTTGGTTCCAATTTTCCATCCCACCAGCACCGTTTCAGAGGTGCCTAAAGGGACACCTGAGCAGCTCCCGAAGAGATACCAGGGCATAGTGTTGAGGAGGGTGGGCTGGGAGCTCAGACTGTCCGGGTTTGCACCGCAACACCTCCAGCTTAGCAATTTTGCAGCCTAAGGCAAACCATTTAGCCTCTGTTTTTTTCATTTATAAAATGGAGATGTTATAGGACCTCCCTCATAGTGTTGCTTCAAAAATTAACTGTTATTGCACACAACACGCTTACAGTGGTGCACATAGCAGGCACTCAACAACAACAAATACTAGTAATAATAATATAGGAATTGGCAAGGTCTCAAGGACCCAAGCAAGTCCTTGGTTCATGCTCCTAGAAGACATGTGGAGGAAGGGCTGACCCTGTGCTCAGATGGAGTCGGAGCGCGTGCCCTCTCCTTGTACACGCTGCTGAACAAATTCTTATAATTTAATCATGACTTTTAATGTTCGAAATGGTGGCTTTTACATTTTACTGAAACGCCATTGCCAGCTGCTCTGTGTTCTACTCCCTGTTTATATTGCAATGCAAATTATTCCTGGTGGAGAGTTTACAAACTGCACTTCCATTATTAATAGGGTTATGATTTCCCCCCATTCCACTCTTATCTCTATTGCTTGTGTAATACATAATTCATGCTCACTACCCTTCTCTGGTCTCAGTGCCAGGGCACAGCGGTCTCTCTGTCTCTTTTCCTGATGACGGCAATTGGTATTCAGTGAGAGTATAATGACTATGTCCCTAGCTTCAGCTCTCTCTAAAGGTGTTCTCTAGAAGGGTTCAAATGCAGAGGGAATGGAAACCCTGGACCATTTATAGCCGGTCTTGAGTTCCAATTCTATTTGAGCTTTGAGTCCTAGGCAGACACATGTAGGACTTCCCAGGGTTCTAAAATGGAATTTGCCATTCAGGAAAAAAGTGGTACCTTGGTTGAGGATGGGACGGAGGATTGCTGATAGGACTGAGGTGTCAGGGAGAGGGATCAGTGCAGCCTGTCCCAGCTGGCTTCTCACTAGCAGGTCTGAGAGTGTTTCTGGAGAAGACAGAGTCTTGGTCCTCACCTCTTACATGTTGAATGTGTCTTTTTGTGGATAGGCAGGTAGGCAGTTTTTTACAATCCCAGCTAGAAATTTGAGCCTCTACTCTATCCTTTACCACTAAGACTAGACACTGAGGGTGAATCCCATAAGAAAGACCCAGAATGGGGTGGGACAGCCATTTGCTTAGGAGTGGGCCTCATTTGCACATGCCTGAGCTTGGGAACTGAAGACAGGGCAGACTTCTCTGGAAGCTCTGTGTGCTTGGTTGGAGTGGGTGTGGTCAGCTAGAGGATCAGGAAAATCTCAGAGAAAACTGACATGAGGAAGTGGAGGCCACTGCACAAGCTACTTATAGCCCCCAGGACTGCGGAATCTGGTGTCCAGGGCGATTGTCTTTGTAAACTGCGAGGCCAGGCCCTCTCAGCTTGGGGGACAAGCCCGGGGTAATTGCACTACCAGATAGAAAGAAAATATTCTTTGATGAAAATTTCCCAAAACGTGGAAGCTCTCTGTTTTCCTAGAGGCGAGAGTCCTGAAATGTCTGCACATTCTTTAGGAAACTGTTCTTTTTCACCTCACTGGTCCTTGCCCCACTAGCGCTGACCCTGTCACTGTCTTTAGCTTAATGCCTAAGTTCCCAAGAGGCACCCCACTGATGGCAGCACCTCTGGTGGTGTCATTTCCCTATGTGAATAACTCATTCTCTTCTGTGAAGCCTGGGCCCAGCTCTCCTGGGGTGAGTAGGGGATATTAGCGATCCGCCGTGTCAGCCACGGAGCTTCTCCGGCTGGTGAGGGACAGTGAAGGCCCAGGGTGTGGGCTGGACTCACAGGTTATTCTTTCCCAGGATCTCCTAGCAGTGCCCAGAAGCTGGGAGCAGCCTTCATTCCCCTCCTGTTGGAAAGTCATAATTCCCACAGTCCGGGGCTGACAGTGGGGGCTCATGATTCCCCTTTACTAAAAGTCTTAATGTGTGCCACTTGATGGGCCAGATCCCCTGGGTGGGGCTGTGGAGGAGCCCCTTGGAGATCTTGCTGGGCTGTTGTATGCCCACAGAGCCACCTTATACCCTGACATCAGAGCAGCCACCAGATCAGAGAGAACCCAGAACCCATTCCTGGAGGCTGTGGTGGGGCACTCTGGGTCTGTTTCCTCACCACATCCCTGACAGAAATCTCTCAAGAGGACTCAGCACCTACTCCACACTTCTCCGCAGGCTTTGAACCCCATCCTCTCCTGGCTCAGGTCTTTTCCTCACTGTCTTTGCTTTCTCTCTCCTCTTCTGCTCATCACAAAAGCATGCCTGCAGTTATCCAAGCACACAGACATAGACACAAGCAAATACAGGTGCATACAGCACACACACACACACACACACACAGAGAAATGTGTGTGGAAATTATAAACCCAGGTCCTCAGGAGCAGAGGCAAAGCCACATACAGGCACATATTCCCACCAACCTGCATGGGAGCACACACACTCACACACACACCTGGACACATGTGCACCCACTATACAAATGTACAGAGGCACGTGTTAGCATGCACTGTACCAGGGACATGGGCATAAACAGACACAGACTCAGGCCATGCTCACTTTCAGGAAACTGGGCTTCTTCCCCAATGCTGGGGTGCTCCGTAAACCACTGCCGACGTCTTCAGGCACACTCACACTTCCAGGGCCCCGAGTAACCCACTGAATCATGAAGCACTTTCCTGTTTAAGTTTATTTTCTTCTGGAAAAAAGGAGCTACTTATTTCCAAGAATTGGAGCCGGGGGAGTCTGCTGAGCCACTCTGTGGCTGGGGACACATTTTGGCATCCTTTCCTCCTGAAGCGCTTTGTTTACACAGCTCCTGTCTGGGCTTCAGGGCCCTAAGAGGCACTGCCTCTGCCTCTGTGCTCCCCCAGGGCAAGTTGGGTATTACAGTTGCAATTTTCACAGCTTCTATTTATTAGCCATTTACTATACCTCTTTGACCATTGCACAGGATCTGGGGATGACTTTTGCTACCTTCCTTGCGTGTCTTAATTTCTAGATGCAGGAACTGACAGCCAGCTTAGAGATTGCTCTTTAAGGTCCATCAGGTCTGGATATAAAGAGTCTCCTTTGACCACCTGAAGCAATGACTCTGTGCTACGGACTCTGCTTTACATGAATTAACCCTCAAGACAGGGTTTTGTGCTTGCTTTCTTTACTGTTAACTCCCTGGCACTTGGAACAGTACCGGGCATGGGTACACAGTAGGAGTGTAAGGAATATTTGTTGCATGGATGATCTAACCTGATGCAACAACTCTTGGAGTTAAGCAATAGTATTTTTCTCAGCTTATAGATGGGACAACTGAGAATCATAGGGGAAACAAGCCCAAAACATAGTTAACAAGTTGAATAAGGAATTGAACCCAGGTCACTGGCTTTGCAGTGCGAGCTTGAGATTACTGTTCTATACTCTTAAGGGACCTTGAATTTGCTGGTAAGAGGGGTCCTTAATCTTTGGAACCATGCTGCTTGTGATTTATGCCACAGCTCTTTTAATGTTAATGGTGAGATAGCCTAATGTATAGAAACTGAATCCCATAATCTGGGTTACTGGGTGGCTCCTCTGGCTGGTTTCACTGGCTTTTGAAGTTTCCCTATTATCTCACCAATCCTGGCTCCTCTCTACTAAGGATAGCCTGGGATCACAAGCTGGAGTTCCTCAGAGTGGCAAAAATGTACCTGAACCAAGCCCAGCTCTGTATCTGCACTGGCCCACCATGCAAGTCTCATCCTTGGGACCCCAGTGATTGTGTGATGATGAAGATTCATTCATTCATTCATTCATTCAGCACATATTTATTGAACATCTCTTGTCATGGGTCCTATGTCAAACCCTGAGGAAAGTTAGTTGAATTGGATATAGTCACTGCCCTTGAGGGGCTGCAGTCTCATGGAGAAGACAGTCCTGGGATCAATAAACCCTGGGCCACAGAATGCAGATGTTAAGGAGGTCTGAATGCCTAGAAAAGAAAGGAATTCGTCATCTAACCCAAAGATGATCAACTACAATGAGCAACAAAATTGCCTTAAAATGTAGATTCATGAGCTCCAGATATTATACTTCAGCCAGTCTGGGAAGAGGGTCATAAATCTACAAATTCAACTATCTCCCCAGGTGATTCTAGGACAAGTAGTCAGGGTGGGAGGACAAAACTTTGAGAAAACCTGTACAAAGAAGTCAGAGAAAGTGTCATGGGGAAAAGATTGCACCTTCAAGGATGTCTAAAGTTTTGTCAACAAGCAAGAGGAGAAAAGACCTTAATAAGTTGTAATTAAAAATACATTTTTTGTAGGAATAATCAAATAATGAAGAAATAAATGATACAAAAAGTAAGAACGAGGCCGGGCGTGGTGGCTCACGCCTGTAATCCCAACACCTTGGGAGGCTGAGGAGGGTGGATTGCTTGAGGTCAAGAGTTCAAGACCAGCCTGACCAACATGGTGAAACCCTGTCTTTACTAAAAATACAAAAATTAGCAGGGCATGGTGGCAGGCGCCTATAATCCCAGCTACTCCGGAGGCTGAGGAAGGAGAATGGCATGAACCTGGGAGGCGGAGGTTGCAGTGAGCTGAGATTGCACCATTGCACTCCAGCCTGGGTGACAGAGCAAGACTCTGTCTCAAAAAAAAAAAAAAAAAGTAGGAATGACTCACCCAGGTAACCACTGTCCTTAGTTTAGTTTGCGTCCTTTCAGGAATTTTTCTGTTAACATCAAACATATGAGTAAAATTCCCAGGTGCATAAATCTGTATCTCTAGCTATGGCTACATCCGTAACCCTGTCTAGGTGTTTACAATAGAGCTCATGGGCACCACCATCACTGTGGGCTCCACTCATGCTGGGAGGAAGGCTATGACCCCTGAGATGCCCAAGTAAACAAAAGAGTCCTCTCATTTTGCTCTCCTAAGGTCCAAAGAACCCTCCCTCCTTATCTGCTATATCTTTTTAAGAAAAATGATACAGTGGAGATTGAGGGACATTTAATTTTATTAATAATTTTTATTGACTATAGTATGCATATGTGCACACATCCTACGTGTACAGCTGTTGTTGAATTTTCTCAAACTGAATATACCTATGCGACCAGCACCCAGATCAAGACAAAGAATGTGACCAGCACCCCATTCATTCTAATTCTTCACACACCCCCTTGGCTCAGGACTCAGGCATGAGAACTGAGGGCAGGACAAAGGATATATGAGGTCCAGACAGCATACTAGCTGAGGTCTGAACTAGCTCTAGCCTCTCTTCCTTTAGAATCATTTCTCTCTTGAGATATTCGTCTTACATTTGTTTCTGGTGGATGCTCCCACCAGGTCATGTGAACAGAGACAAGGGTTGGCCCCAGCAGGGCGCCAGGTACAGAGCTGATGGCTCTCAGCAATGGCCAGACAACTGGTCCTAGGAGATCAGCGGTCCTGAGTGATCCTCACAGGGGCTCACATGCTGTTCACCTTCTGATCTCAGTCAGTTCTTATAACATGGTCTCCCAGCTGCCACTTTGCACAAATAAGGCCCTGGAAGTGTCTGCTCTGAAGCCTGCTTTGAATTTGGGGTCTATGTGCAAATGGCCTCCCTCTTCTTACTTCTACCTCCTAAACCACCTCCTTTCAGATCTTGGGGAACATTCTTCCATGTTCTTCGAGGCTTGATTCTTCTTCAACTATCAGCAGCAATTGCCCTTGCTAACTCATTGTCCTGTGGCTCTTTAAAAATTTTTATTAATTATTATTTATTATATATATCTTCTTTTAATTTCAAAAGGAGTGCATGTTTGTGAAGAAAATATGTTAATTATATAGCAATGTACAAAGTAAAATATGAAAGTCTTTCCTATTTGCTCATCATTCCCCACTCCCACTGCCCAGGGGAACTGCCACGAGAGAAATGATGTGCATACTAGATTTCTCTCTTCATTCTTTTCTTGTTTTTTTTTTTTTTTTTTTTTTTTTTTTTTTGCCAAAAACTGGATCATATAATCTGATTTTACAGCTATTTTTTCAGCCTTAACAAAATAACATACACATCCCTCCAAATCATTTCATATGACTTCACCTCATTCTTTTTAACAACTTCTTAGAATTCACCACTTAGGATGTGCCATAAGTGACTTAGCTGCTCTGTTTTTTGGAGCCTTTAAATTGTCTCCTATTTTTGCTATGACAAATAAGGCTGGAGTAAACATGTTTTATGTATATATTTGTCCAAGTAGTCTGATGGACAAGAATTCTGGAAGTTTGGTGGCTGGGGTGAAAGCACATCTGCCTTTTAAATGTGTGCAGGACTTTAAATGTGACATAACTTATGTGTTTACCAACAGATTAATAAACGGCTTTGGCCAGATTTGGTGGCTCACGCCTGTAATCCCAGCATTTTGGGAGGCCTGAGGTGGGTGGATCACGAGGTCAAGAGTTCGAGACCAGCCTGATCAACGTGGTGAAACCCTGTCTCTACTAATAATACAAAAATTAGCCAGGCCTGGTGGTGTGTGCCTATAATCCCAGCTACTCAGGAAGCTGAGGCAGGAGAATCACTTGAATCCGGGAGGTGGAGATTGCAGTGAGCTGAGATCACACTATTGCATTCCAGCCTGGGTGACAGAGCAAGACTCCATCTCGAAAACATAAAAAATAACAAAAAAAACAGCTTCTTCCCCCTCTCTAACCACTGAGTATTTTAAATCTTCAACAATTTTTACCAATTTATAACTGGAAAAGATTATCCCATTTTAATCTGTGTTCCCCAAGAACTTAGCATCTCCCCATATTATTTTCTTTTAAATATTAACTAGCTCTTTCAAGCAAAGAATTGAGAAATGAGGTTGTAGCATGCTCGGGGAACAGAGAGAAGGTGTATTAGTCTAGAAGTCAGGGTGTATGAGTGGAAAAGTTGTTAGAGGCCAGATCGTAAAAGATATGTGTGACTGGTTTGGGCTCTACCTTAAAGACAACAGGAACCATCAAGGAGTTTTAAGAAGGGAGGCAGGATGTTAAGATTTGCATGTTAGCGGCCCTGCAGAGGACAGCTTGGAAGGACTAAACTTGGAGACTGTGGGACAGAGGTAATGGCTAGTTTTGGGGACAGATAAAATAAGCCAAGTTTGGGAGTCTTATTGGCTTTTTTGATGGCACATTTGCTATGGGACAGATGGGTTGATAGTAGCAGTTTTTCCCCCAAAAAAGAGGGATTAGGCGTTCTGTGGGATTTCCTGAACCTTTCGCAGTCTCCATTTGACAAAGGTGGCACCAGGCCCAGCACCATTAACAATGACTTCTGGATTTGCTCATTTGGATGCTGGAAGCAATGCCCGTGGGGTCTTTTGAATCCAGTGGGTTGGGGAATTGGGCTTTCTTCTGTCCGCTTGCCAACGGCCAGGCCCATGCTTCTCCTAGTGGATACTGATCTGAGCTCAGGTAACTGCTTTCATTTGAGATCCCATGAGCTAAATCTGTGATGAGCCCTCAACTCAGCCACTTACCTGTTTGGGGAGCATATGCTATGGTCCTGAGGGTTTAGGAGATTTAACATTCAGTCTCTGCTCTTGAAGAGCCTAGAGTCAAACTGTGGAGAAAAATACTATCCCCATGAAACAGAGTTGTTCTGATCTCATGGCTATAGACAGACATTGCCCACAATTCTGTGAAATTTCGGCCTAAAGCAGGGGTGATGGTAGTTTGGGTCTCTGTGCAAGTGCACGTAAACACAGACATTTCATTTCACAGCCCACCAATTACTCTCCTCTGGGTGATTCCATTTTGATGTCTCTTGCCTCTTAGACCTCTACAACTTAATATGATTAAAGCCAGACTTTTGATTTTTCTCCCTATGACCTCAATCTAAACCTACCTAAGCCTTCTTCACTTTTGGTACAATGGCACCATGACCCACCCACTAGGCCCAGCCAGAAAGCTGACCGTCTCTTGATCAGGATAGATGTCTCATAGATCATTCCTCCTAAATATATACATAATCTTTCCACCTCTGCCTATTTTTATCATCATCCTGATCCAAGCCACTATCATCTCTCAGCTTAAAAAAACACAGCAGACTTCTAATTTGTCTCTGCTCTTCCATTCTTTCCCTCCTAAAATCCACTCTCCAGGCAGCTGTGTGATTAAAAAACAAAACAACAAAACTGGCTGGATCCTGTCACTCATGTGCTTAAATCCTTTCAATGGTTTCCCATTTCTATGAGAAAATAACCCCAACTTCTTGCCTAAGAGGCTCTGTTTGATCTGGACTCTGATAACCTTTCCAGCCTCATCTGGGACCAGTCCCCCTAGCTTGCTGTTTTCACTTCCTCAAGCAAGTCTGCCTCCTTCCCTGTCCATTGTCAGTGCTCTTCCTTGTATCTGAAACCTTCTTTCACATGGGTTCCAGATACTCCTTTGTGGGAGTCTCATTGCTCCTAAGGTTGCAAGTGAGGCACTTCAAGACCGCCCAGTGTAAGGAAGGGACCCTCTTATTCTTGAATCTCAGCATCCTGTTTTCTTCATATTGTTTCTTTTTTTTTTTTTGTAACAGTCTCTCGCTCTGTTGCCCAGGCTGGAGTGCAATGGCGCAATCGTGGCTCATTGCAACCTCTGCCTCCCAGGTTCAAGAAATTCTCCCTGCCTCAGCCTCCCAAGTAGCTGGCATTAAAGGTGCCTGCCACCAGGCCCAGCTAATTTTTGCATTTTTTGTAGAGACAGGGTTTCACCATGTTGGCCAGGCTGGTCTCGAACTCCTGACCTCAGGTGATCCACCCACCTCGGCCTCCCAAACGCTGGTATTACAGGCGTGAGCCACTGCATCCGGCCTCATTTTTCTTTTTATTGAGGTACAGCATGCATAAAGTTCCTTAGGTACTCTAATTCTAAGTGTGCAGCTCAATGATTTCTACATACATACTCATATGTACACATTCCTATCACATCACCAGATCCTTCATAGCACTCATATGTTTATTGCTACTTAGCTGATTTGCAAAGACAAAAGATTTGATCACACATCATTAGGGTACAATTGCAAGGAAACAGATACTGACTGCTGGCTGGCTCGATAAATTCCTACAAGCCATTTGGAGGGCAATTTTACAGTTTCCATTAAATTTTAAAATGCATGTATCCATTGAGGCAACAAATTTTCTTTCAGGAATTGATCTTATGGAGACACTTTTACATATGTGTGAAGTAGAGACATACCTGTCTCTACTAAAAATACAAATATGAGTGTACAAGCTATGCATCACAGCACTGCTTATGGTGAGAACATATTAGAAACACCCTAAGTGTTGCTTTACAGGCGGCAGATGAAAGAAATTTCAGTTTATTTATGCAAGGCAATACTGTGGAAGCTGTTATCAAGAATGTGTACTGTTTGGGGGAAATCTTCAAGCTATATCAAATGGGAAAAGGCGCAGAATGATGCACACAGGGTCCTCTCATTTGTATAAAAGAAGGACATGTTTAGCTCTACATGCTTCTGCCTGGAAGGAAACCCAAGTAACTGGTAATAGTTGTTATTTCTGGGAAGGAGAATTCAGGAACTCATGTTCTGAGTGGGAGGGAGATGATGTTTTGATTTTTTTTTCCTCCCATGTATATGTAATACCTTTTCAAAAATAAAAATAAAAATAAAGTACTGGACTCCAAGGGAAAGTGTGTAGGGGGAAGATGCTCTGGCAGACCAGGTTAGGACTGTGGGGATAACTTGACCTGCGTTAGTCTTCAGAAGCACAGAGGGGACTGGTTGGCTGAGAACTTGGCTTTCAGGGGGCCCTTTTGGGGCCTGCCAGGGAACAGCAGCTGCCCACAGCTGCAGCAGAAGGCAGTGGATGTTCCACTGGACATTCGTGGGGATCCAGACTCCACCTTCCTTCCCTAGGGCTTGCTGTGTGGGGGGTGGCCCTGCCCACCTTCTCGGTGATTCCCTTTACCCCTTGTCTCAGATGGAGGCAGGGGCACATGAAAAGATAACCAAGTACCTGGTCAATGCCCTTCTTTGAGATGCTGACATTTGCCAGTTGGCAATTTTTAAAAATAAAGAGATTGAACTCTAGAACAAAAACATGCTACAACAGGCAACCAACTGTCCCTCAGAATGGCCCTGGATGATCTTAGCAAGGATCTTAATGAGGCTTGGGCATAAGCAAAAGATGGGTTTGAGTCACTGCTCAACCACCTAAGCTTTGCATCCTTGGGCAGGTCAGCAGAGTGCTCTGTGCCCAGCTTTCCTTGTTGGTGAACTGGCATCAACTGTTCTGCCTTGATTCCTGAGGACCATTTGTTAGTGGTTACAAACCAGTAATGTCTGTCTACCTGCTCTATGAAAGGCAAGGGCTGTGCAGAGGGGCCGTTTGCATTATAGAATATGTTGGTTTCCTAGGGCTGCCATAACAAATGACCACAAACTTGGCTTAAAACAGCAGAATTTTATTCTCCGATAGTTCTGGAGGAAAGAAGCCTGAAATTGTGGTGTGAGCTCGGCCCTACTCTCCCTGGAAGTTCTAGGAGAGGATTCCTGCTTTCTTCTTCCAGCTACTGGTGGTGTCCACATACTTGTGGCTGCAGCACTCCAATCTGCCTCTGTCTTCACGTGGCCTTTTCTTCTGTCTGTGTCTCTCCTCTGGATGTCTCCTATAAGGACACTTATCAATGTATTTAAGGCTCATGTGGATAATCCACGATGTTCTCATTTCAAGATCCTTAACTCAATTACGTCTACAAAGACCCCTTTTCTAAGTAAGGTCACATTCATAGGTTCTAGGGGTTAGGACATGGACATGTCTTTTGAGGGGCACCATTCAACCCACTGCATAGAATAAGCAAGGAAAGTAGGCACGGAAGCTCCCAGGTATGTGCCAAGAGTGCCACCTGGCCTGTGTCCTGTGCTGCGATGGTTCACAGAGGGGTCAGGTCAAGTCTGACTGTGTCTGAGCCACATGGCATGGCCATAATTTCGACCTCAGAAAAGACTGCTGCTTGTGTCTCCATTCTTCTCTCCTGACCCCTCTCTGTCTCTTGCTCTGCCTCCCAATCAAACTAACATCAGCCTTACTTCATGGGCCTGGGAGGTGGAACAGCACTAAGATGAGGTCCTGTAAATGCAAGCCATTTATTTAAAGCTTCACACACATTTGATAACTAAATAAGGAGTGTAACCTAGCTAACAGTGTTTTACAGATGTCAGTCTTCTGGTTTTTATATTGTATTACAATGATAAGATGTCATCATTGGAGGGAGCTAGGCAAAGGGTTCAAGGGACTCCATGTGCTATTATTGCAAGTTGAAATGAGTCTATATTCATTTCAAAGTTAAAAAGTTGAAAAAATAAACTCATGAGTACTTGAAACCCCTGCAAGAAAAAAATAACCTCTATAAACGTTTCTAGATTAGAAGGTAGAATAATGTAACCCCCTCAACCGCTAGCAGGATGTGGGCTAATTCATCCTCCCAAGGTAGCCCGGGACCTCCCATTTCCAGGGCTGTGGGGAAGTGGCCTCACCCTGGCCCAGCTTCATCCCCATCTCAGGCCTCTTGGGATCCTGTCCTGTGCAACCTCCTCCCTTGGAAGGGAGTTCTGCCAGGCCCTCCCCAAGCTTCCCCAGGCCAGGGCTGGTCTGGGTTGCAGACACATGGCTGAGCTGTGCCAATGTCACCCCACCCCACAGCCCAGGCTGAGCTCTGATGTTGCTGCCATGTGCAGACAGCTCTGGCTCCTGCTGGGCTTCTCCCTTGTGCTTTCCTGGCAGGCAACGATGGCCTCAGTGACTGCCACCCTGACTCAGAGCGATGCTCGGGGTGCCTAGGAGGTGCCGCTCTGGCTCGGGGCCATCCCACCTTACCCTGACTGTTGTGTCATTGATGCATCCTCCTCCTCCTCCCCAGGGCAGGGTGCTCAGTGCCTGCTTTCCCCCTATGGCAGCCTCCAACTGCCACTAGTCTGGGCAAGGTGGAGGCATCTTCCCTGAGCCGCTCTTCTGGTTTTTTTTCTCCTCCCACCTTGGCCACATGGAGTAAGTGAGTTCTGCACAGTGTGGCCGGGTGGTTTGGTGTCAGAGGGGTTATAAACGTGGAGTCTGTGAACAGACTTTGGGGGTTCCAAAAACTCCCTGAGTTTACAAACAAAATGAATAAGCATTTTTTTGTTTGTTTGTCTGGGGGAGAAATTGATTCTCATAAAGGTCCAAGATCCACAAACAATGAAGAGTCTCTGAGGACAAGAAGGGGCTATAACATAACCTTTAATCATTTTGTTTCTGCCATCATCCTGCCTGGCTAAAGTACTATTTCTACCAAATTAGCTCATCTCCTTAACTCAGTTTCCTCCCATGAAAAATGAATTAATTTACAAGATCATACCCCATATGACAAATACTTGGTGTTGTAAGCAATAAATGAGAAAATTATAGAAAGTTTCTGGTACAAGCCAGTAAGAACTCAATAAAGATGAGCTTTTATTATGATCTGCCCAGAGCATATATTATCTTACTGCATGCTTACAGCAGCCGGTATGAGACTGGAGTTAGCAACCTCCTTCGAAAGACCTCATTTGCCCAACATAAAAAGGCAGAGCTGGGATGTGAACCCACAGCCTCTTTCTTTTCCACCCCACTGTGTTGCAGTTTCTATTCCTCCCTTTGCCTGAGTTCTATCAGGTCCTCTGTCAAAACCCACCTCAAATGTCACCTGTCCTGGGAACCTTATTCCTGATCTTGTAGATGTTTGTTGTCTTTCTGCGTTTTGCATACCCTTTTCATGCTTATCTCCCATTCCTGTCTCTGCAACTAGGTAAGGTCTGTGTCTAATGCATCTTTTTGTTCCTGTGCTCAGTTTGGTGCCTGGAATATAACAAATGTCTGATGAGTGGGATATCTTCTCTTCATTCTTCCTTCCTCAATCATTTCCTGCCCATTTGTGGGGTATGGAGATGAGTGATCCATGTCCTCAAGGAACTCAAAGCCTGAGATGGGGCAACAATGCATTCCCTGTGGGTGTCAGCCAGTTTCTGTCTGGACCGCCAGTTCAAACCCACAATCCTCCAACGATGGCTAAGTTGGAAGCACCTAGTAGCCAATGAGGTCTTTTTGTCAGGCACCCCTTTGGCATTAGAGATGACCTAATGGGAAGAGTGTGAGAGTCCGGTAACTGGACATTCCCCTGGGGATGCTCTAGGTGACAGAAAGGAGTGGGCTTGACATTTCAGGACCTGCCTGAAGCCCAGGAGCACTCTAGCCAGTTTGCCCAGCATGTGCGCCCTGGCCTCCACTAAGGCTTCTTGGGTTTACAGTTTTCCTTCTGAAAATGGAAAGACAAAGCCTCCAGATGTTCCCAAAATAGCTGCTTAGTGACCTCAGACGGTGAGTCAGCACTCTGTATTCTGGTCCCCTAGGTGTGCATATGGAAAAGTTGGTTGCTAACTAAGGGTGGAATCCAGAGAAGGATGAAGGATGGGAGGGGCAAGGGGAACTCCACATGCAGTTCAGTGTTAGTTATTTTCTTTTCTTTGTTTCTTTTTTTTTTTTTCTTTCTTTCTTTCTTCTTTTGAGACAGGGTTTCACTCTCTTGCCTAGGCTGGAGTGTGATGGCGTCATCATGGCTCACTGAAGCCTCAAATTCCTGGGATCAGGTGATCCTCCCACCTCAGCTTCCTGAGTAGCTGGGACTACAGGTGCATGCCACCACGCCCAGCTAATTTTTGTATTTTTTGTAGAGATGGGGTTTCGCTGTGTTGCCCAGGCTGGTCTCCAACTCCTGGGCTCAAGTGATCTGCTCACCTCGGCTTCCCAAAGTGCTGGGATTACAGGCATGAGCCACCCTGCCCGGCCTTAGTTGTTTTCTAACTAACTAAAGTCTGCACCTGAGGGTCCATGTCCAAACTTGCACTCATGACTCTCCTCTCAATCCCATTACCAAAGTCTGGCTCATCTCAGACTATCCACCCAGAAACCAAAAGTCGACCTGACCCTGCCTGTTCCTCATCAACCCAAATCAAATTCATCATCAAGGTCTGTCTGTTTTACCTCTAAAACATCTTTTAAATCCATCCTCTTCTTTCTGTCCCAATGGCCACCACTGGATTTTCTTACCATCTTCTCCCTCTAAACTAGTTTTATAGCCCCTCAACTGATTTCTTTCATCAATCCCATCTCCCCATGATCCCCAGACATTAATTACCCAAAAGCTGGAGCCAAGTTACACCTCTGGTTAAAAAAAATCTTTTAATGCTCATTGAATAAGACACCTAAAATTTGTGACTTTCTGTCATGCACATGTTCCTTAACAAACTGTACAAATATGGAACTTTAAGTTCTTTAACTATGTAATGTCACTAACATTACATAGTTAATGACACGCATGCTGCAGAGTTTGGGGTAAAATGTACTTATGACTGCCACTTACTATAAAATGGATCAAAAAATAAGATAAGTGGATAGATGGACAGATGGAAGACTTGACAGATAATAGCAAAATGTTAGTTGTAAAATCCAGGTAGAGTGAGTATTTGGGAGTTCATTGTGTAACTCTTTTAACTTTTTTCTATGTTTTGAAAATATAACAAAATGTTGGGGAAATTTTCTTTAACAGCTTTATGTCAGGATTAAATCCAAAATCTTTACCTTGGTCTGCCAGATCCTGCCTGATCTCCCTGCCCTCTGCTATGGATGCATCTTGAGCCAACCTCTATCATGTCTTGTGCTCCAGACAAACAGCTTCTCTGTCAGTTTTTTCTTTCTTTCTTTCTTTCTTGTTTGTTTTGTTTTTTTGTTTGTTTTTTTTTTGTTTGTTTTTTTTTGACAGAGTTTCGCTTTTGTTTCTTAGGTTGGACTGCAATGGCATGATCTTGGCTCAATGCAACCTCTGCCTCCTGGGTTCAAGCAATTCTCCTGTCTCAGCCTCCCAAGTAGCTGAGATTACAGGCACCTGCCACCACATGCCAGGCTTTTTTTTTTTTTTAAATTTTAGTAGAGATGGGGTTCCACTATATCAGTCAGGCTGGTCTTGAACTCCTGACCTCAGGTGATCCACCCACCTTGGCCTCCCAAAGTGCCGGAATTATAGGCGTAAGCCACCATGCCCGGCCTCTTTCCTCTTGTTTTAGAGTGTTCATAGCTCTAATCACAATTTTAATATAGTTTATTGTGTAATTACAGGTTGAACTATATGAAATGCCATTTCTATAGGTGAGGTGGTCAAATATTGGCAACGTCATATAGCTCAAACAAATAATTGTTTGAGGATCACTGATATAATTTGGATATTTATTCCCTCCAAATCTCATGCTGAGATTGAATCCCCAATGTTTGGGGTAAGGCATAGTGGAAGGTTTTGGGGTCATGGGGCAGATCCCTCATGAATGGCTTGGTGCCCTCCCCATGCTAATGAGTTCCTACAACATTAGTTCACAAGAGAGCTGGTTGTTTAAAAGAGCCTGGCACCCCTCCCCTGTCTTCTTCCTTCCTGTCTTTCCTTATGACAAACTGGCTCCCTTGCCCTTTCACCATGATTGGAAGCTTCTTGAGTCCCCTACCAGAAGCAGATGCTGGTGCCATGCTTTTTGTACAGCCTGTAGAATTGTGAGCCAAATATACCTCTTTTCTTTATAAATTACCTACTTTTGGGTATTCTTTTATAGCATTGCAAATCAGACTGAGGCAACCACTCAACCCTAGACTCTGAGCTCAGTGCTTGGCAAATGGTAGATACTCCATATTTTATTTTGAAAATTATTTCAATTGATTAATTAATTGATGGTCTGTCACCCACCTATATTTTTACCATTGAATTCCTTGACTGTGCATATCCCGAAGTGCTGAGAGTTGCATAAGCATGCAGAATTTCACACTGTTTTCTGATTAAGCCAGTTCTTTGTTATAAAAGGGAAGTAAAGAATTATATCCCCTCAATAGAGATATCCCAATAAAGCATCTTACCCTTCCCAATACTCTGGTCAATGGGTGTAAGCTCTACTTCTGTTTTTCACAAACCTAGTTAGAGTAGAGCTTGAATGACTGACAGACTTCAGGCACTTTCCAGAGCACATCCCACCACCAAGAGAAGGAGAGACATTTTTAACTGAATCCCAGATGGGCCACTTTTAAGCGCCATTGATGGGCAAGGGATTGCTTCTCTGATCCCCTGTTTTTCCATGGGTAAATTTACATAGTCAAGTTCACTTTCCAGAATTGTGAAGACTAAATGAAGTAATATATGTAAAGAGCCAGAACAGTTAGATTGTTTTTTTTTCTTCAACTTTTATTTTAAGTTCAGGGGTACATGTCCGGGATGTTCAGGTTAGTTACCTAGCTAAATGGGTGCCATGGTGGTTTGGTGCACAGATCAGCCCATCATCTAGGTATTAAGCCCAACATCCATTAGCTATTGTTCCTGATGCTCTTCCTTCCCCCACGACCTACCCCATCCTGACAGGCCCCAGTGTCTGTTGTTCCCCCTCATATGTCCATGTGTTAGATTTTTTGTGCCTTTTTTTTTTGTATCCCTCTTCCATACACAGTAGTCATGAATGGGCAAGAAGTAAACTTTAGCCTTGAGAGTGTGGGGGAGCCACAGGCTGGAGATGCAGTATTGTGTGTCCACCTTGTGCCCTTAGTCTAATGTCCTAGTATTTCAGTTACTGTCAGGGAAACCAGTCAGGGGGGACTGGGCACACAGGACACTTCATTTCTAGGAGTGGAGTACCCCTTAATGTTCTAAATGGACTGACACTAGATCAAGGAAAGAAACCAACAGAACTCTTTTTAGATTAGAGTCTCAAAGACTCAGACCAATGCCATGTGGGTTCATTTAGTAAAGTTTGAGCCCTTTACTTAACAGGCTACAAATTGACCTAAGTATCTTAACAGCAAGCACAGGATTTACCCCAGAAAAAGGTTTTGATAAATGATCGATGTATAAAGAAGCACAAATAACAGAGATTCTTTAGTGATTATAGATGGAATTTTTTTGAACTAAAATTGGTGCCCGCTTCTTCAGAGTACATACTTTAGTTACTTGATACACTATTAGACACTCTATCTAAAATTGGAATCTTTTGTTCTAATTACAAGCAACCTCATCAATTGATTAGAGAAACAACTTCAAACAAAGCAAACACAAATGCAGCAACTTCTTAATTTGTCAATGGAAGATAATGGCCTTGTTGGAGGACTGTTTTGAAGAGGTTCTCAGACTTGAGTGTTCATAGAAAATACCTGGGGAACTTGTTGACCTCTACCATGCCCAGACCCATCCCTAAAGAGTCAGATTCTTAGCCAGGTGTGGTGGCTCACACCTGTAATCCCAGCACTTTGGGAGGCCAAGATGGGCAGATCACCTGAGGTCAGGAGTTAAAGACCAGCCTGGCCAACATGATGACACCCCCGTCTCTACTAAAAATACAAATATTAGCCTGCCATGGTGGCAGTCACCTGTAATCCAAGCTACTCGAGAGGCTGAGACAGGAGAATCACTTAAGCCCAGGAGGTGGAGGTGAGCCAAGCTCACACCACTGCACTCTAGCCTAGGTGACAAGAGCAAAACTCCGTCTCAAAAAAAAAAAAAAATTAGATTCGGAAGGTCTTGGATGTGGCCTTTGAATCTCCACACTCATCAACCTTACCCTGGTAATTCAGAGGAAAAATAGCCCAGGGACCACAATTTAGAGGCAAATGGTTAGTGATTGTGGTAGTTGGAGTAATGCTCCGTAGAGAGGCCCCACATCCTAATCCTAGGACTTGTAAAAATGTTACCTTATTTGGCAAAATAAGATTAAAGTTACAGATGCAGTTAAACTTGCTAATCAGTTGACTTTAAAATGAGATTACCCTAGAATGTCTTCATGAGCCCAGTATGATCAAATGAACACTTAAAAATGGAGAAACTTTCCTGGCTGTGATCAGAAAGAGATATGTCGAGGGAAGAGGATTCAGAAAGATGTGATGTTGCTGGCTTTGAAGACGGAAGGAGTTAATGAGTCAAGGCATGTGGGTGGCCTCTAGAAGCTGGAAAAGAGAAGGAAATGGATTCTCACATAAAGCTTCTAGAAAAGAGCACAGCCTTGCTGACACTTGAGTTTCAGCCCAGTGATATCTGTGTTAGACTTCTAACCTACAGAACTGTAAGATATTAGATACGTATTTTTAAGTCACTAAATTTAAAGCTTTTGTTAGCAGAAAACCGACACTTTCTTGTTTTTCTCTTTTCTTTTCCTTTACCTTCTCCTGCTCTGCCTCCTCCTTCCCCTCCTCTTACTTCTCTTTCTTCTTTTTTTAAGAGACATGGTCTTGCTCTGTCATCCAGGCTGGAGTCCATTGGTGCAATCACAGCTCACTGCAACCTCAAATTTCTGGGCTCAAGTGATCCTCCTGCCTCAGCCTCCCAAGTATCTGGAACTACAGGTGTGTGCCACCGTGCCTGGCTATTTTTTTTTTTTTTTTTTTTTTTTTACATTTCATAGAGGTGAAGTCTCGCTATGTTGCCCAGGCTGATCTTGACTCCGTCTTCTTCTTCTTCTTTTATTTATTTATTTATTTTTTGGTCAGCTATTCTCTGCTGAGCCCCAGGGAGATTGTCAAACAATGTGGTGATATGGTAACCCATGATTCTTCACAGACGGTGGGTCAACAGTGTTTATTTGGGAGCACCTTTATGGTTTATGCAGACCTAGAAGCCAGTCTATCATTGTGGCTTTTGTCTCTCACTCATTGGTCAGTTCAAACATGTGAGCCATTTTTTTCCCCCTCCAATCACCAGCAAGCAAGAGATGGGTGAGGAGGGCAGCTATTGGCTAGACTTCAGGCAGCAGAAAAGTATGGCATTGGCCACAGTAATTCTTCATTGGTTGGAGTCATAGCTGGACAGGGAATTAGGGAGTGGAGAGTCAACCTTATTCAAAGAAGAGTAAGGCCTCGTGGCATAATGCATACCTTACCTTGGATTTCTGTTGACATATCTCCCTGCTCTTTCTTTGGCCCCCAAACTGGACGCATTTTCTTGGTAATAAAAGCCCAGACTTCATGAGGCAAAGGATGGTGTGGACAAGACAGTTTAGTTTACGGTAACAAATGATGAGCCCTAAGCATTAGAAATGGGTCTTAGGGCCGGGCGCGGTGTTGCACGCCTGTAATCCCAGCACTTTGGGAGGCTGAGGCAGGCGGATCACGAGGTCAGGAGGTCGAGACCATCCTGGCTAACACGGTGAAGCCCCGTCTCTACTAAAAATACGAAACATGAGCTGGGCGTGGTCATGGGCGCCTGTAGTCCCAGCTAGTCGGGAGGCTGAGGCAGGAGAACCGCTTGAACCTGGGAGGCAGAGGTTGCAGTGGGCCGAGATTGTGCCACTGCACTCCAGCCTGGCGACAGAGTGAGACTCCATCTCAAAAAAAAAAAAAAAAAGAAAAAAAAAAAAAGTAATGGGCCTTGGAAGCTACCACGCCTTTACCTCACACCTGGCAGTGGGCTTGGGACAAGTATTCATCACCTAATTTCATCTTCACAACCCCTGAAGTAGAGGAAATGAAGGCTCAGAAATGTTAAGGAATTCATCTTATTATCATGTACCCAGTCACAGCCAGGAGTGGCATTGGGACCGAAGTCTTTATGACCAGAAAAACAGATGATATTTTTTTCTCTTTTGGGCTTCTTGTAGACAATAAATACTATTGCTTTTTATAAGATGCATTTCTTTTTTGGCCGCTAATCTAATGATGAATAAATAATGGATCACTGCTGTAGAGTCTGATTCTTTGGCTATACCCAGATAAATGTCTCATTGGCATCAGTAGCAATTAGCTTCAATAAAAGGTTGGCCTGATTAATAATAATACCACCACCTGCTATTTATAGACCACTGTCCTCCAAGGAGTCCAAAGTGCTTTGTAGACATGATCTAATCCAGTCTTCCTGTGTTACCGTAAGTTGGGTCTGGCCTGTGGTAGCTTTGCCTTTTCACAGAGAGGGCTGAGATTCTGAGAGGGCTATATTTTGGCACTCATATACAGAGGGTTGGCATCCTCTACTGGTGGTCCGTCAGTGACTTGTTCAACTTCATGTGACTTTGGTCTCCATGTCTATCCTCATGGATTCTGATCCATATGGGCCTTTGGCATTGCTTGGACCACAGGAGATGGACAGAATACTTCATAGGAATTTTCAAAGTTTATATGGACTCACTTCCAGGTGGAGGGACCTGTGAATTGCTTCTGGGAATAGCATCATCTTCCTTGCCTCCTCTTCCTCCTTTTTTCCTTCTTCTCCTTGTTCTCCTCTTCCATCTCCATCCTTCTCCTCCTCCTTGTCCTTCCCCTCCTCCTTCTCCTCCTCTTCAACATCATCATCATCATCATCATCATCATCATCATCATCACAACAAACACTTACTTGCTGTTCGCTATGTTCAAGGTCATATGTTAGGCACTTTATAGGGACTGTCTGACTTATTCCTCACAATATCCACCAATGGGTAGGTATCATTACTGATCCCATTTTACAGAGTAGAAAACTGGGGCTTGGAGTAGCTAAATGATTTATTTCATTCTTAGTTCATATTCTGTAAAATGGGCACACTAAGACTCAGAAATGTAAATAATTTGCCAAGACCACACAGTTAAGTAAAAAGTGGTGAAGTGTATTTTAGTTCACATTCATTCTATTTCCCAAATCTCTAAACTTAATCTATAAGATCCTTTGAATCAGTGAGGGGTTGGATGGATGAATGGATGGATGGATGGATGAATGGATGGATGGATGGATGGTTGGATGGAATGAAGGAAAGGTGGATAAATGGTTGGATGGATGAATGGTTGGGAGGGGGAAGAGTGAATGGGACCGGGGCTTTCCTTCTATGCCTGATGGTGGCAGGGTGCTGCCAATAAAAATACATACACAGCACAGTCCAAAACTTTCAGGGACTTATGTAAGTTGACCTGGAGTTGCTTACCCACAGAAGAAGACTTAACTCTAAAATGGAGCATTTTGAGAGCTAAGTACATACTAACTGAAAGAACTCAGATCCAAGCCCTGATGACCTCATGAGATTCTGGACGAGCTGGGCTCATGGATAAGAAGGATCCATAATTGTACCAGGTTGAAGGAGGGTAGACTGATGAGGATTTCTTTATCCTGTAAGATACCTCAGCAGCTTTAAAGTATGGGATGGAATTGGAAACATTTAATCTGGAGTAGAAGAAGCTAAGAAATCAGTGGTAGAAACATGATTATTGGCACCAGAACATCAGGAGTAAGAAATCAATAGCTTAAACTTGGGATGTGTGTGCAGAGGGGAGGAGGTGGAGCTAACAGAGCCTGGGAGCCTGGGAGCTAAATCCATCCTGCACCAATGGGAGCCAGGAGAGTTCCAGTCACTGGCCTAAGTCAAAGAATGATGGGGAAGATACTCTGGCTTCTCCCTTCCTCCTCTTCTTCAGTCTTCCACCAGTACCTCTGATTAGGGTGGGCCATCCCTAATCATAAGCCAGTTTTGAGAGATTTGGGGAATGTAATTTTAAGAACTCAGCCATATACAATATAGAGCTGAGCAGAGGAAGGGTCTGAGATCTGAGAACAAATGGGCAAATGACTGGTATACAAGTTGTCCTGGAGCATTTATTTATTTCTCAGCCTAGAGTCAGGTGTCTGGACCAGATGGACTTTTAGGTGCTGTTTACCACTCTAGAAATTAGAGACCCCGAGAGAAGAGTCTATTCTATCAAGATTTAATCACAATTCAAGGGCAAGAAGCATGCCGCCATTCAGATAAGCATCTTGCACAAGAATGCCACTTCATGGCCAGGGTCTAGCTTCCTTTGGTTGAATGCTTTTTGGCAGCAGGTCACCAGGGACTAGATTTGTGCCACTCAGAAGAGCTTGGCTGTCCCTACATCATCTCCTTTATTCAGTAACATGGTGATTGAAATTCCAAAATGGATGAAAAATTCCTTGGGTTTAAAATGACAAGTTTGAAAATTCCTGTGCCAGGATAAATAAATACACAGGAAAGTGCATAAACATAGCTTTTGCCTCTCTACTGTGGACATTGCTTTTGCAGTTGCCTGAAGAAATGCAGGTTTGCATCAGTAACTTCAGGCTCTTTACCAATCTGATTTTGCTGACAAGGAGAGCAGCCTCAGAGGAGCCTGATGCTGAGCTAGAACTGCACCCTTCACTGAGGCTCAGGAGTCAGGGTGCATTTGCTTACTAAGAATTTTACTTATTTATGCAATTTTCTCCATGAAATGATGTGACAAATACTTCTTCCCTTCCTCCCTTCCTCTTTCCCTCCCCCCTTTCCTTTGTTCCTCCCTACCTTCATCACTTAAAAAAAGGATACTATTTCAGTCATATATTGCTACACAACAAACTATACCAAACTCAATGGCTTCAAACAACAGTAATTTTTCATTTTGCTCATGCATCAGCAATTGAGGCAAGGCCTGGTGAGTCAGTTCCTCTCTGCTTCATGATATGAGCTGGGGGCAGCTTAACTGGGGCTGGGGCTGAAGTATTCACTTCCAAGATGGTTCACTCACAGGACTGACACTTTGGTGCTGGAAGCTGATCAGGGGCTGTCTGCTGGGGGACTCAATTCTCTTCATGTGGGCTTCTTCAAAGGGTGGCTTGGACTTCCTCAGAGTTAGGGGATGGGGTTCCAAGTGGTCAAGTGGAAGCTCAAAATCTTTTTAGGACATCACAGAAGCCCAGGTCTTCATTTCTGCAGCATTCTGTTGGTAAAGCAAGTCACTAAGGCCAGCTCACATTCAAAGGCAGGAGAATTAGATTCCACCTATGAATGGGAAAAGTGGCAAAGAATTTGCAGCTTTCTTAACCTACTATCCCACCTTATGGGAGGTGGGTGTATAGTGTGGGTAATTTCACAGTAACAGAGCAATGCTGCACATTCAGGACCCCATAGAGGGCTGAGTTATTAAGCTCAACAGCAGAATTCTGTCTGGATCAGGGAAAAGAGAGGTCTCTGTATCAATCAGGGATGGTGAATTCACATTAGGCACACCTGTGTTTGAATTCCAGCTCTGAAACTTTATAGTTGAGTAACTTCAGGCATCTGACTCAACTTATATGTTCACAGTTTTCTCAATTCTAAAATGGAAATCATCTTATATAACTTTTTTGCTTTGTGGATAGTGAAGCAACCCCCTCCAAAAAAAGAGGGTGCGCTTATTAAAGTGCCTGGGTTATAATGGACATTTAATAAATTGAAGCTATCTATTTCTTTGAGTGTTGAAACTCATTTTCCAGGAATCCTTTGAGATCCACTGAACTTGAGCTCATTAGAATTACTTTTGTCATCATTTTGTAGGTCATTTTTAAAAAAAGTCCAAGAACAATACATATGCAGTTCAAATATTTGGAAAATATAGATAAACCATATAAAAAGAAAATAGAAATAATCTGTAATAATGCAACCCAGAGGTAGCCCTTAAAAAGCCTTTGAGGTGTGTACCTCAGGTATACAGCAATCAGCTATTTCCAGAAAATGCTGCCATCTTCATCTCAGGCCTTAATGCAGCAGTCACTTAATCTCATGAATCTAAGGGGCAGCTAGGGGTTAACTGACCTAGGCTGGACTTGGCTGTGTAGATCTGCTCTACTCCAAGGGGCTCTCATTTTCCTCCTGGGAATGAAAGCCACCAGTCCAGTTATATTCTTCTCATGGAGATGGGCAGAAATGCAGGAGAATGAGTGGGAATGTGTGAGGGCACTTATGACCTAGGGTTGGGACTGGTGCACACACATTTCAGCCCCATTCTGTTGGTCAAAGCAAGGCCCATTACTAACTCCAAAGTCAATGGCAAAGGATGTAGATCCAGAAAGGAGTCAAGAACTAGGGCCAATAATGTCTTCTACCTTAATATGTATTTTTTTTTGCACAATTGGTTCAAATTACACATCCTTCTTTTTTACTACTAGCTTTTTTCACTTAATATAGTGTATAAAAATTCCTATGTAATAAAATAGCTTTCTGCACTAAAACTTTTAAGGATTGTATCCTTATTCCACTAAATGGATGTTCCACAATTTGTTCACTTGGTTTCCTCTTATTGGTCATTTGTGTTATCTCTAGACTTCCTAGATTTCCAGTATTATGAGAATTGTAGCTCTGGATTTATGCACATCCATCTCCATAATTCTATTTTGCCATGTCAAAGTTATTGGTTTTGATTTATATTGCCAACTGTCCACATTTAGAAAAGTAATACCCACTTACGTGTTCCCCACTGGCAGTATATTATAGTACCTACTTCCTTGAATTCCCACCTACTTAGAGTATAGCTGTTTATATATATGTGTATGTAAATATTGTAAAGCAACTGTTTATTTTGCAATAAGAGTATAAGGAACACTTGAATATCTTTTATATAGATTCATCAATGCTTCCTTTTCACATTTGTCTTCACTTGTTGTACATGTATGTGTGTATAATCATTATACATGCCTGTCTCTTTCTACACATAACACTGATATTTCTAACTCTATCTTATTTATATAAATTTTTCCTGAATTGTATGAAACAAAATTTAGAAACAGTGTGCCCCTGTACTAAATACTTGAGAACGTACAAAACACTCCTCTTACCTAACCATTAACATTAATACAATACTGTTATCTAACCTACAGTCCATACTCATATTTCATCAATTGTCTAATATTCTTTTTAATGATTTGTTTTTTTCCCCTCCAAGATTTAATCTTGAATCACACACTGCATTAATTGTCATGTCTCTTTGGTCTTTTTTATTTTGAAACTGTTTATTTGCCTTTCTTGACCTTGATATTTATGAAGGGTAGAAGTCAGATATTTGGTAGAATGTCCCTAAAATTGGGTTTGTCTGATGTTTCTTCATGGTTGACTCAGATTATGCATTTTTTGGCAGAAAAACTAAAGGAGTAATGTTGTGATGATATTTATTTGTCCATTTTTAGAGGTATTAATTTTGATCACTTGGTTCAGTAGGTATCTGTCTGATTCTCCATTATAAGTTTACTGGTTTTCCACTGGTGTTCCCTTTGTAGGTAAATTATTTGAGACTATACAATACACTGTTTCTCATCAAACATTCAACCCCTAGATCTAGCATTTATCAATAATTTTCTAACTTTATTGTTCTTCTTACATTTATAAGTTGGCAATATTCTGTAAGGAAGACTTTCTTCTTCATTCAAATTGATTAATTGATTATTTACATTATCACAGACTCCTAGATTCTTATTTTATTGACTGGATTATCATCCATTTTTGGTGCTCAAATTGTCCTAGATGTTGCTAGTGGGAGTCTCTTCAAGCTGGCGTCCATATCTTTGTGATATGTCCCTATCATTCTTTGAACACTTTCTTCTTTCCTGATGCAACATGATGTTTCAGAGTTATCTTCTATTTTTTTTCTGCTTCATCCCTGGAGTCTGCCTATTTTCCAACAAGTCCTCAATACTTTAAAGGAGAATAGTATTTAGAAACCAAGATCTGAATACTGTGGGTATAGAGGCCTTTTAGGTGTACAAACACTAATATTTTCATTTTTATATTTGTAAACTTCTATAATAATGAAAAATCTGGCTCCTGATATTCAGATATATGTAAAAAAGGTATTTTTGTTCTGTTTCTAAGTAAACTTTAACATTTTCTCTTTGCCTTTTACATTTTACTTAAAAAAATTCTGATCAAGTGTATTACACATTTTATCAATTGAAGGGTTTGCTTTTTCCTTTTCAATTTGGAATTCCTCATTATATGTTCAAAGTATTAACTTTTTTTCTGTGACATGTATAGATACCAAAATGTTTCTTCTACGTTTATCACTTGATTTAGAATTTTTATTCTGTTTTTGTTTCCCATAGTAAAACGTATCTTTTTTTCTTTCTTGTTATTTTTTTTCAGAACTCAGGTACACAGAGTTGATTAATTATAATCCCTGGTTCTAACACATAGTTTTGTTGTTCATACATGGTCTTCGTATTAGTCTGGGATCTCCAGAGAAATAAAAATAATAGGATATGTTTGTGGTTGTGTTTATGTAAATATACATACACACACATATACACACATATATATACAAATACACACACATATATCTGTGTGTATCTTTGCATCTATCTTCATGTCTATTTATGCCTATCTATATAGCCTATATATCCATCTATCTCTCTCTATATTTATTAAGATACATATATTTCCATTTTTCTATCTATTGATCTATCTATCTATTTTATCTATCTATCTATCTATCTATCTAAAATAAGAAATTGGCTCAAAAAATTATGCAGGCTGAGAAGTCCTAGGATCTGCAGCTGGTAAGCTGATGACCCAGGAGAGCTGATGATGTGGTTCAGTCTGGGTCTGAAGGTAGAACACTAATGTCTTTGCTTGAGGTCAGGCAGGCACAGGGAAAATACTTTCTTACACAAACTTTATTCAGGCCTTCAACGAATTAGATGAGGTCTACCTAACATTGAGCATTGAGGGCGGTGATCTTCTTTACAGCCTACTAATTCAAATGTTAATCTCGTCCAGAAACACCATCACAGACATACCCAGAAGTAATATTTAACAAAATATCTGGGCATCCCATGGCCTGGTCAAATTGACACATAAAATTAACTATCACAGCTTCCTAATTAACTATCACAGCCTCCTTTTATTTAGTTGTTTTGCCTGTGTTTGTAATTTTGTTTAATTTAGCAATTTTAATAATGTTATTACATTATTAAATAGACATCTGTGAAGTTCCTTCCCCAATTCAGCTAGTCTCTTCACAAGAAGCCATATATAAACATGGTTGGTCCTCCCCCTTCAATCCATTCTCACCTTCTCTCTTCTGAGGTCATTATCATCCTGAATTCATTTTTATTTAGTTTTATTAAATAGAAGTGGAGTTTAGTATTACAAGATAGGTTTTAAAAATTGTGGTTTGTAGCTTCATAAAAAAGGCAGCTGGGCGCGGTGGCTCATGACTGTAATCCCAGCACTTTGGGAGGCTGAGGCAGGTGGATCACGAGGTCAAGAGATCAAGACCACCCGGGCCAACATGGTGAAACCCCGTCTCTACTAAAAATACAGCAATTAGCTAGGCGTGGTGGTGCACACCTGTAGTCCCAGCTATTCGAGAGGCTGAGGCAGGAGAACTGCTTGAACTCGGGAGGTGGAAGTTGAAGTGAGCCGAGATCGCACCACTGCACTCCAGGCTGGCCGCAGAGTGAGACTCCATCACCCCAGACCCCCCAAAAAAGGGTATGCAATTCGTTAAAAAACAACTAGAATTGATTTATAATGTACATACAAATAACATATACAAAACATTATGTATGCAGTTCAATGAATTTTTACTTACATAAAACCCATATAACTACTTGTGATATAAAAATATATAACTTTCCCAGTAACTTAAAGAACTTGTGAGCAATCTTTGGTAGTCTTTTCATTTAATGTAATTTTGCTAAAATTTATCACTTGGTTACTTGTAACATCATTGTGCTTAATTCATTTTGACAGATGCGTGATATATAATATATAAAGATAGCCTTTTTGTTTGTTTGTTTTGGAGATGGAGTCTCACTTTGTCACCCAGGCTGGAGTGCATTGGTGCAATCTCAGCTCACTGCAACCTCTGTCTCCTGGGTTCATATGATTCTCCTGCCTCAGCCTCCATAGTATCTAGGATGACATGTGTGCACCACCACACCCAGCTAATTTTTTTTGTAGTTTTAGTAGAGATGGAGTTTCACTGTGTTGGCCAGTCCGGTCTCTAACTCTTGATCTCAAATGATCTGCCTGCCTTGGTCTCCCAAAGTGCTGGGAAAACAGGTATAATGCCACTGCACCTGGCTAAATATACCATTTTTACATATTATATATCATGCGTCTGTCATTTGTGAATATCTATTAATGGATATTTGAGTGGTTTCTAGGGTTTTGCTACTGTAAACATTGTAGCTCTAAACATTCCCGGCTATGTGTCTTGATATATGTGTATTATTGCATCCAGGAGTAGAGTTGCTAGGTCATAGACAATAAAAATGTTTACTATTAGAAGACACTACTCAATTATTTTCCAAAGTGGTAATACCATGTCATGCTCCACCAGCAGTGTGTAAGAAATTCTGTAGACCTAAATCCTCTCCATAATTTAGTATTGTAAACTTTCAATTTTTGCCAGTTGAGGGTGTGTAAAATTGTAGATCATAGTTGTCCTGAATTGTATTTTCCTGATTACTAACACTGTTTAACAATTTGCAAGGGTTTATCTTTTCCTCTTTCTTATTTTTTCTTCTTGTTCAGATCTCAGGTACGCAGAATTGATTAATCATGATCCTTGGTTCTAACACACTGTTTTGTTGTTTATGCGTTAGTCTGGGTTCTCCAGAGTAACAGAAACACTCAGTCTTTTAGGAAATACCTGTTCATGTCTTTTGCCCATTTTTAATTGGGTTATTCATGATTTTATTTTTGATTTCTAAGATAGCCTTGGATGTTTCATGAAATAAATTCTATCAATCTTTGCCTTCATGCTTTCTGCCTTTGCTTGCTAATTTAGCAACATCTCTCCAACCTACAATTATTTAAATATTAATTTGTTTTTTTCTTCTAGTGCCTCCTGGTTTTCTCTCTGCTGTTTCCATTGCTAGCAAGCCCCGCCTAAGCCACATTCCTGAGCTGAAGGTTTGTGTCTAGGATGTGGGACTTTGCATGCATAATCAGGTATCTAGGCCTCTCTTGGTCTCCACCCTGGCCCCTTTGAGGCTCCACCCAAGCTTGGCTGTGTCCTGGCCCAGGGAACTGCCTGGAGCTACCTGGTCTATTTCCAGTAGATCTGAGTCATTTTCCTTTCCAAGAAATTAAGGAGTATAACATTTACTGGATACTCTGGAAGATTCAGCTAAACTACTTTTACAAATGAAGACACTGAGGTTCTGAGAGGTGATGTAATTTGCCCAAGATTTCACAGCCAGACATATGAGAAAGGCGTGAAGATACTGAATGTTTCCTTTGGACAAATGGATTCAAATTTGAAAACTTTACAGTGGATTCAGTGAACATGCACTAAATTCTTTTTTTTGCCTCCAAATCCCAGAATATGATGAAAGGAAGTCCATGCAGCAGTTCAATTGGTCTCCCAGCTCTTATCCAAGCACCCTCTACTCCACTCTTCATATAATATACAGATGAAAACTTTTATTGAACCCAGCCCATATCTCTTTGCTGCTTCAAATGCTTCAATTGCACTTACATTTAAATCTAAACTCTTTATAATGTCCTATATGTTTAGTACTTGAATGCCTCTCTAACTTTATTTCCCACACTCATTCTTGCTCAGCCTCTCTAGCCATACTGACCTCGTTTATGATCTTTGCATGTGCTCAGTTCTTTTGTACCTTAAGGTCTTTGCCTCTGCTGTTTCCTTTGCTGGGAATGCTTCTCTCTTGGACCTTTGCTTAACCAACTTCTTGTTATCCTTTAATTGATGTATTGGCTTATATGTCACCTCTTTAGAGAACTCTCTCCTGTTCCTCCTAAATACTACATCCCTCTCCCTTTACAGTGCATCACAACACTTTGTTTCACTTCTTACTAGAACTTTTAAAATCTGTAATTATGTTGTTTATGTGTTTCTTATTACGGCTCTGCCCCATTTCTCCAATGGATTGCATACTCTAAAAGTTTGTCTCATTCACTTGTATCCCCAGGGGCTGAGCCAGTGCTGGCACATCGCTCAGTCAATATTTGTTGAGCCAGTGAGTGAGTCCAGTAGCTACTCAATAATTAGTGGTTTCCATTTCCTTCTCTCCTCTATGCAGTGCTGCCATACACACATACTGGCACACATAACCTGAAGGAACTTGAATAGGACAATGGAAATAACAGCTCAGTGGTTATATCTAGTATGTATCAGAAAAACTGGCTAAGCCGGTTGAGCTTCCCACTGTTTTATGGTTTGCTTTGTTTAATTTCATGAGGATTTTGGCCTCTGTTGCTTCTTCTGTTATGGGTCTACATATTCATGGAGAAGAGGAGTTTATATTAATGACGATATTATAATACCTAATCTTAATAAGCATGAACAAGCTACTACCAAAAAGATACCTATTAGGGTATAATAGCAAAATGATTTTTTTTGTTTGTTTTCAGGAAAGAGATTCCAATACATTTTGAAAGTGAGGAGGAACCAAATAGGTACACTTTTCAAGTACTTTATGGTTATGGTGCCCTTTCTGAATACTTGGTCCTCGATGAAATGACAGAAGGTATAGTGAGGGGAGAGTTCTCATGTTTCCCATGTGCTGAATGAGGAAACAGATTGAAAATTGTTAATCTCCAGGAAATGTCCTAAGCAAAACTTGGATTTGCTATGCTAATTTGTATTCAGGAATGTCTTTTCAATAATAGCCCCATTCTACCTTCTAGTCTGGCTGGAAGTTCCAGAGGTAAGGGGCTGCTTTGCAAAGCCCTCTTCTTCTTAGAAATCAGGAGCAAGCAAACCTAGATCTTTCTCTTGGTGATAGTTGGAAAAATTTCATGCTCCAAAGAATGGGCTGTGGTTGATACTTATAAATAATTAGCCAATTTTATTACATTTGAAGGAAGAAAGCAGTTACCTTATCTCTCTCTCCCTCCCTTCTTTGGCTTCTCCCTCCCTTCCCTCTTTTCTCTCTTTCCTTCCACCAGCTATGTGCTAGGTGCCGTGGTGTGGGTGAGAGATAACATAGGAAATGTCCTGCCTCTTAGGTGTTCATGAATTTGTGGTAGAAAAAAGCAAGTTAAACGCTGTAGTGCAAGATGATAAAAATTATGGAAGGACATGCACAGATTTCTAGAAACACAAACAGTGATGTGCTAATAAATATTTAACCGGCTGTAGGTGGGAGAGATCTTGATTTGTAGCATCTACTGATTCCCATGGTGTAAATGCTTCCACCCTGGCAGATTTCAAGCTACTAACCTGACGTGGCTGCACATGGAGCTGGGAAGAGGTGTGCATACCCTGCTCTCTAGTTTATGGGGGCTGGCTTGGCACATCCCTGAGAAGGGTACCTCACAGGGCTCATTTAGGAGTGGGGTTGTAATGTCAGGGGCTTTTCCAGGAAGAGATGACACCTGAGTTGCATTTGCTTATTTGGAAATGGAGAGGGTAATAAAGGGAAAGTTATAACTCTTTTTCTGCTGTGTACACTGAAGAAAATGTAGAAAATGCAGATAAACCAAATGAAGAAAATAAAATCTTCTATAATTTAAAAACTGAGAGATGAACACTTAACTTTTTGTTATTATTATTCCTTGCATCTTTTTCTCATTTTTTCTTTGTGGATTGGGGTTTTACTATTTGAAAGTGGGTTTTTCTATCCAAGTTAATCTGTTGTCTGATACAAGTAGTGTGACTATTATTTACTTCTTAATTTTATTTTAACTGATAATTCAGTTTCAAAAATTTTGAGGACTGTTTAAGTTTTGATTCTGATTAAAGAATCTTTTTTTCAGATATTTTACAGATATATCTAAAATTATAACTCTTATGTTCACTCTTCTATCACCTTGATTAAAAATTTATTTTAACATGTCCTTATCTTTTCCTTGGGTTTCTTGCTTTTTGTGGGGTGTTTTTAATACCTTTATATTCTTTATTATTATTATTGTTTTATAATTTATGTATCCAGCATTAAACTCAGCTCTTCCTGCTTAAGAATTTTATCATACTTTTACTTTCTTCTCTACCATTTTCCTCTTCCATGTTGCAGTATTTTAACAGGTTCTGTAATTTTAGATACAAAATATTGGTATATAATTAGCATTGCTGCTGTTGTTTTGTTGTTATTTACTTTAAATACTGACTTTCTCCAAAATATTGACTCTGGCACATGATTTTATTACAAAGATTAAAATAACGATTTAATCTTACCTGTATTTTAATTGATTTCAGTGCTCCCTAGCGGACTTTTTTCATCAATTTTTAGTTCTGGTTTTAGCTTCATCTTTCAACTGGGCGGAGTGCACATTCTTGTAACTTTTCCAAAAGGAAGACACCAGTGATCTATTAGAGAATCCCTTGAATGTTTGAAATGAAATGTGGTTTTGTTAACATGCCTTACAAATGGAAATTTAACTGATTGAAGGTAAAAAACCTAACTCAGTCAAGTGTCATAAAAGACATAACTGATGACTAGAAGCCTTGACACTTTACTATGAGTGTGACTCTTTTTTATTTTTTTTGAGACAGAGTCTCTCTCTGTCGCCCAGGCTGGAGTGCAGTGGCACGATCATGGCTCACTGCAACCTCTGCCTTCCGGGTTCAAGTGATTCTCCTGCCTCAGCCTTCTGAGTAGCTGGGACTACAGGTGTGTGCCACCACGCCGGCTAATTTTTTGTATTTTTCAGTACAGACGGGGTTTCACTGTGTTAGCCCGGATTGTCTCCACCTCCTCACCTCGTGATCTGCCTGGCTCGGCCTCCCAAAGTGCTGGGATTATAGGCATGAGCCACCACGCCTGGCCTATGAGTGTGACTCTTAAAACGCAATTCCCATTTTCTATTTGTGCCAATGTGTTTTTGAGCCCAGACATGGATCTCTATATCCCTCCTTGCTACAGTGCATCATCATATGCTGTCTTGCATGCCACAGGGTTACAGGTCACAAGTCCATCCTAGCCCAGGTCCAGGCACTGCTGGCTCTGGGCTTGGGATGATCACTGGGCAAAATCAGGGCCACCTGATTCTGCGCACAAGCCAGAAGAGGAAGCTGGTAGTGCAATGACAGGTGGACTCCTCAGGTGCCAACCCCTGGAGAGATTCTGGCCCATCTTCTTAGCACCCCTGATGTCTGCCAATATCCTTGAGGGCTTTTCCTGGTTATGCCTTCTTCTGGGCTCTCTGAGAAGATGGCAAGCCTATCACCAAAACATACATGTGGCGGGTAACTTCTCTGGTTGCTATCGTTAACTCCACATAGCTTCATGTCAATAATCCTTCAGGCCTTGTGTGTTGAACCCACTCTTTAAGTAATGATTTGCCATGCCATTCTCCTGGGTCCTTCTTGGCAGAGTGTGAGTTGCTTTGCATTGATGACCTCATGCATACATCCCAGTATCTCATTATTCCCATGTGCAGATGAGGAAACGGGATGAGAGAGGTCAGGGAACTCGCTCAGGGCCCCTTAACCAGTAAGCATCAGAGCACACATCAGAACACAGCACTCTGGCTCATTTTCTGTGATCTCTCCTCTGCTCTGTACTGCCTTTTTCCTCATGAAGGGCCTCTGACTGCAGAGTTTCCCGAGGTTCCTCTTGGGTCCCCAGGCTGCTTCTAGCCTCTCTGAGATCTGCACTTCTCTGCTTTTTACAGGCAATCTGAGGGGGTGCAGGCTTTTTGGGTTTCCAGCAGCTCAGCTCTATGGGTTCTCCCTTTACTTCCCTCCCATTGAGGATGGAGCAGGGAAGGAGGCTGCATGGGCTCACCCTGGGGTTCAGCCTCAGGCTGGAAGCAAACCCACCCTTACCCCATGGGTCCCAGAGTTCACCTCCCACCAGGTTTTATTACCTTGCAAAGAAGGATTGAGGAACTGTTTATGGGCCTGGGAGGAGCAGTAAAGGTTTGCAAGCATTTCTGTCTCTTACTTAATAAACCTTATTGTGCCCTTCATGCACCCATTCACCAAAAAAAAAACCACACACACAGAAAAATGGGGTGGGGTGGAGGTGAGGTTCAGGCATTGTCATGAAGCTAAAAATGTCATGAATTCCACATGAAACTTGACCCAAACTAAGGGTTTCATTAACAGGAGGAGAGTGTGTTGCAGGAAGGCCTCACTGTGTGCTTCCCAAAGGCCTGGGATTCTGAAGAGGGGCCTCAGAGGCTTGCTATGTGCTCCAAAGATGCTGCACTTCCCAAACTCCTGGGCCTGCTCAGAAAGTTCCCAAGTTCTCTGAGGTTTGGAAAGATGAGATGGTGGGCAGTACAGGGTAAGGAGAGCAAGCTAGCCTTTGCTCAAATAGCAGAAAGTGCCTAGAGAGTCAGGCTAGATGACAAAATATCTGCTGTGGGCCTGAGGGATTGAAACCTTGGTTCTTGGCTTGAGAAGTTCACATTTCACGTAGAGTAGACTTATATAGACGTCATAATACCAGTTACACTTTTTGAGCAGTTCTCAGCTCAGACATGATTCTAAACTCTACATGTGTCCACAAAATCCTTTCAAAGTAAGTACTATTATTGTCCCCATCTGAAAGATGGAGAAGAAGCAGGTATTCAGAGAGGTGAAGTAACTTACCCAAAGTTACACAGCTAGTAAGGATAGAGCTGGTATTCAAGTGAAAAAAGTTGGCTTTCAGAGCCTGCGATCTGGAGGACTCTATGGTATAGTGTTTCCTGGTCAGAAACTGGCACAGGACCCCAAGGCACTGACCTTGGCTTGGTGGAACCAGGATTATGGACTAGGGAATTCAGATAACATGGAGAAGGCAAAGAGGGAAAGTAAACTAGCAACTACTAAGCACCTCTGTGTGTCAGGTAGTTATATGTATAGAGCCCCTTCAATATTCACAAGGTTCTTTGAGATAGAGACTATAATGCTCTTTGTGCCGGTAAGGAAAACAAGCTCGAGGAGATTAAAGTCTGTTGTTTGTAAATGACAAAGGGGCTGCCTGACCTCAAAAACATCAACATCAGGTTGTCTTCGAGGAAGAAGTAATTTGTACTTATCATGGATGGGGAAACAATTGAATTCATTCATTTCATACATTAATTCATTCAATACTTGTTGCGAACCTTTCCTCTCATGTATCTTCCTGGGAAGCTAAAGTGTTCAAAACCCTAAAGCTACAAAGATATACAAAATTGAGATTGTCTTCGACCATGTGGATTCTGGTCCTCAATCCTGAAAAGCTCCAGCACATGCCCTTTGAGGATTCCTGAACAAGCTGTGGTTTCCCATGCCTCTGACAGCCACAACACCCCTCCTTGCTCTTGCTTTAGGCATTATTAGACTCCGAAACATGAGCTGACCTTCCTCAAAAACCATGAGGTCATTTGTGTGCTTGTATGGAAGTGTGAGTGGGAGAATTGTCTTGGGTATGGAAGAATTTTTCTTGGTAACCTCCCTTAAACTGTCACATGCACTGAGAAAGTATGAGAGAAACTCAAATCATTTACTTGGAGAAGATTGGGGGTCATTCGTGAAGGATGATGAGCCCTGTGGAAGGCTGGGGTTGTAGACGGAAGGCGAGGCATTTCAGGGACAGGGTGGCCAGTGGGAATACCTGTTTTGTATCTCTCTGACCCCTTGTACCTAATAGCCTTGCTGGAGGTAAGTTGTCTGCTCCTGTTATGGTTTCAAACCTGCACTGACTCCTGGGGGATGTATGTTAACATCTGCTCCCAATAGTCATGAAACAGGCTCCATGTTTTTGGGAAACAAATGGCTAAGGTCTTATTTTTTTCATTATTGGAGAGAGTAGGAGAAGTGGGAAAGAAATTAAGATTAAAATTATTAATAGGCTAGGATGACTAGCTCTTCAAGAGACCCATGAATCTGAAAAAAGAAAAAGAAAGAAAAAAGAAAAAACAACAACAAAAACAAGATTCACATACCACTCCTGAAGCTCATGTTAGAATTTATACTGGGGCATAAAACGATCTTAGGTGGAGTTGAACTGACATGTTTTCTTTGGGTTTACAGCAGCTACATTTTCATAACCCAAATCAGGGTTTTATTTTTTTCTTACTAAGAATGTTTTTCTGCCTTACAGATTTCTCTTACAAGGAAAAGTTAAGGGAAAGAATGCTAAAATGTGGGACAACCAACTGGTTGTTGAATATATGACCTTGGCTCCTTAAATGATACGGCATACTATTCTTGCCCTTCTCCCTTGTATTTTTGGTGCAGCCCAGGAGATGTCATTTTGCTTTTCTATCCCATAATTCCATTTTGAATTTTTTTCTAGTCTTTAAGAAATGGAAAATTTAATCAGGTTTGAAGAGTAAATCCAGAAGAGTCTAAGAGACACAGTGTTCAGTAGTGACAAAGAACACAAGCTCAGGAATCAGACTGTCTGAGTCTGAATTTTGGTTCTTTTTAGTTACATGGCATTGGGCAAGTGAGTTAAACTTTCTGAGCCTCAGTTCCCCCATATGTAAAGTGGGGGTGATTCTAGAAACCTCTTAGAAATATTTCCCAATGCAGAAAGTGGTGCCCCGACTTGCATACTTCATGATGGACATGAGTTGCCTGCTTTGTGAAAACTCTTTTTCTCTTTTTTTGAGACAGAGTCCCGCTCTTTCGCCTAGGCCAGAGTGCAGTGGCGCTATCTTGGCTCACTGCAAGCTCCGCCTCCCGGGTTCACGCCATTCTCTTGCCTCAGCCTCCAGAGTAGCTGGGACTACAGGCGCCCGCAACCACGCCCAGCTAATTTTTTGTATTTTTAGTAGAGATGGGGTTTCACCGTGTTAGCCAGGATGGTCTCCATCTCCTGACCTCGTGATCCGCCTGCCTCAGCCTCCCAAAGTGCTGGGATTACAGGTGTGAGACACCGCGCCCGGCCTGTGAAAAGTCTTGGTCAAGGTTCTGTTGAACGTTAGAACTAAGACTTTGGAATCTCAGACCCAGAAGTAACTTTGAGGGTGCTTGGCCATCTCTCTCATTTTGAAAACAAAAACAGGCTGAGGCTGTGCTCTTGAGAAAACAGAGCCTGAAGCAAGAACTGAGGGTCTTATCCGTTTGACTTGGAAGGTGCAGATCAGAACAAGGAGAAGGTAAGGAAAGGAAAGTAGGGCAAGGAATCCTGGGAAGCAATGGGAAATGAGGTGTCCTCATGGGTGCTCCTTCACAATAGACCAAGTCACCTCAGAGGAAGAACCTGGGTGGACTGGCTGCAGAAGAAATGGAGTAGTCTGCAGGGCAGGAAAGAGGAAATGTTATCTGCTTGGCTCCCTTCCATCTCCTTTTTCCCATTAGTCAAGACTCAGCCCACGAACAGTTAATTCCCTGATTTCTGGGACATGTCACCTGACCTTTTGGTGTTTGTTCTGTTTGCCAGATGCCACCAAGGCAGATTGGTGTTCCTGCTAAGTCTGGAAGTGGAGGAGGAGCCAGAACTCTGGGCATGTGGCTTGTTGGCCCAGGCCCAGGGCTCAGCATTCCCAGGGAAAGTGGCTGGCCCACCCATCAGTGACAGCACAATTTGGGAGGCAGGAGCCACTGGGGAACGATTCTGGGGAGGCATTTAAGATTTGCAGTGGATGTTCTCAGAGAGGGGAAGGAATTTGTCTTAGTTGTATAGTAAGTCATAATACAGAATAGAACCCAAATTTCTGCTGTACAAGACTTTACGGAGTGATGGTCAGTTAATCCTTGTCAACATAGGCCCTCCAGATAAAACCAAGTCCCAGATGATGTAGGAGGCCCCAATATACGTGTACAGTTACATTTCTGGCCGCCCCTAGGAGACAGCCTTATTCCATCTCAGCGTTTTCTTGCAAGAACATGCCATTCTCATTTCTCTATGTTTTTGCATAGAGTGCCTCCGGTGCCAGAGATGCCTTCTTTCTTATTGTAGATTCTAGTTTATTTTTTCCCTCATAAGACTCAAGCTCAAATGTGATATCCTCTGTGAAGCTTTCAGTTTTCCTGTATTCTTGAAGCCCTGGATATGCATCTATTATTTTATTGATTATGCCTTAGTTGTTTGGGTTCTGTGAGATCTTTAACAGCTGTTCTCTTTGTGTTCTTATTCCTCAGTGCCCAATACAGTGCCTGATGCTTCAGAGAGGTTTAGTTGAGGAGAGAAAAAAAAAAAATTACATGTTAGGTAGAAAAGATTTGAATTAAGAATGGGCTTCTAGGGCCATAGAAATGCTCATATTTTAAAGGAGGGAAGCCAGAGAAGAGACTTTATGCTGACAAAATGATGCAGAATGTAGGGAATAAGCATTTAGTGCGGAAAACGCTCACCTGGCTTTCTGGCTATATTCTAGAGGGCCAAGCATTCCAAAGGAGCTGTTAGCATAGCCAGCCATGTTTAGAATCAAGGAACCTCATCAGTATCTCAGTCCTTCCTACTAATTTCTAGGCTTTTTAATGAATTTGTTTTTCCTCATTGAAACCCCATAGCAATAAATAGCCTGTATGTAAATACGACCAGAATGCTGGGTTGATAAGAATATGCTGTGGACATGTTGTAGTATTATTAATGATCTTATCATCAATGAAATTGCAATTTTTTTTAAAGAGAAAGCCTTAAACTTAGCTTGTGCATGTGTCTGAGATCATCTTGTTTGCCTTAGAAAAGTTGCTGATTCTAAAGATTTTTTTTCTTTCTTTGTGTTGCAACTTGAGCTTCTTTTGATGTTTGCCTGTTTGGATATTACTTAAATAATTAAAGCAGCTATTTTTGACCTACTTTGCATATAGAAAGTTTAATTTTTATCATTGAATTAGAAAATTATTTGGTGCTACCGCATTAAATTGGGAAAAGATAGATATGTAGATAAGTAGATAGATAGAGATTGATTCTGGATTATTTTATTAAAAATATGGACAGTGTAAAATCAAGATGGACACTCAGCCCCACTGTGATTCTCTGTAGCCTCCAGGTGCTGACTTCCCACTAACTTCAAAGGGAATTGAGGAGGAAGAAAGCACACTGTGTTGGGAATGTACCCCAGGTCTTTGATACCTGGTGAAAAGTAGGTTGCAATGTCCATGTAATTTATTTGTATTTAAGGACACTATGCAAAAGTTCATTTGTCTTCATGGGCAGCCCCCAGGGCCAGTTCTGTGAGTGAAGAAGCATGGCCACAACCACAAGCCACTTTTGAGTCTTGGTTCTATCATTTAGCAGCTGGGCAAGTCACTTAACCAGTCTGAGCCTCCGTTTTCATATTTGTAACATAGAGATTATAAAATTGAACTTTCAGAGCTGTTTTAAACATTAAAAATAAAGTTTTAAAGTACCTAACACATAATAGATGCTCAGTAAGTGGTATTTAATATCACTATGATTATTATGCATGAGTGGGAACTCTTGTCTTCCCATCTGAGATCCACAAAGGTCTTTCTCTTCAACCTACTCATGAAATCCAAGCTTTTCCAGTCAGCCTCTCAGCCCAGCTGTCCTGTGCCATAGCAGCCTGGAAGGGACCCATGTGACCATGACTCCAATGTCACTAGCAAAATGGGTCTCCTCAAAGTGTAAGAGATCTTTTATCACTGATCTTACCCTTCTCTTACTAATTTTCAAAAAATATAGCCTGCCTCTCTCAACCTACTTGTAGCTCTCTTAACCTTAAGACATTACTGGAATATGTTTAAGAGAAGCAACCATGTACTGCAAACATTCCCTTTCATCACCCAGAATGGAACCCAGGAAATGTCACTGTAGCTTTTATGTTTGGAGAAGAGGCTCTCTACCCATTCAAGAAGGAGTGATCTTCATCCTCACTATCTGTTTTCAGGTTGTGTTTCTTTTGTGTAGTGGACTAGACACTTATCCTGAAGTCGTCTTTAGTTTTCCTCCCCAAATGAAATTTTAGGCAGCCTATCCTGCTAGGCTATGCTGTTCCAGATGTTAGCAATACACTCCCATTATTATTCGTGCATTTATTCAACAACCTGCTATTGAGAATCTACTCAATGCCAGGCACAGCTCTAGGACCCAAAGGCATCAATGAAAGAAAGAAAATAATGAAAGGGAATAGAAAACACATTATTCCTACCCTCAGGCAGATATTAATCAAAGATATAACATTACAATTAAGTTAAAGTGCTATGGAGAAGTTATATGTGGTGGCATTAAAGTAAATAATAAGGGGAATTGACTCAGTCCAGGAAGGTAAAGGAAGGCTTGTCTAAGGCAATGATCCCTAGGCTTCTGTCTGGAAGATGAGTGCATTAACTGGATGAAACAAAGTCAAGGAAAGAAGTGAGAGATTATTTCAGGTAGATGGCATGCATGTTCAAATGCCCAATGTAAGAAGGTATATGGTATGTGCAATTGAATTCTCCAGAGAATGAGGAGAAGACGCAGGAGCCAAGCAGGCAGCATCCAGATTATGGAAGAATTTGTAGGACTGCTTAAGGATTTCAGTCTTCTCCCCAATAGCAATGAGAAGCCACTGAAGCGATACAACTGGTTGGAAGAGAATATGATCAAATTGGGACTTTCAGAAAGATGTTATTGGGTCCCTTGTTAATTAGACATCAACCATCTGTACAGATATACTTCCAAGACCAGCCTCTCAGCTGCCTCTGAGACAGGGAACCAGGAGGAAGCATGAGTCAGGGGCTCCCTATAATTGGATGCCTCTAACCTCTGCTGCCCTGTTGGTGATGACTTGAGTGCACCATGATTTCATTACCGTCTTTGGTCTTGGCTTTTAATGCCAAGGAGCTTTCAGCATATCCAGTTTCCCTTTACCAGGAGGGTAAGAAAATCAACATCCTTGATACTAGCATCAAAGGGATCCAAATACTGAGTTTTGGCCTCATTAAACATCGAAGTCATTGGTGAGTTAGTCCCTATTAAAAACTTTGATAATTTTGAATTTTTTTCTCCCTTATATTTATTGGCAGTAAAACAACTTTCTAATAACTAAACCATAAGGTACATGAAAAATAGGAATCTCTTCTTATACCATTTTATCTTCATCCTGCTGCACAGTAGTTGCTCAATAAATATTTGTTATATACACATGTATATTGAATTCGCTTTTAATACATAATCCTAGTTTATAAATAATTTAGACTTTTCCCCAATATTTTCTTATCAAAAATATATGAGTCAAACTCTTAATTAGCCACGTGGATCATCCTGGGGTGTACTCTTTTGGACACAAGGGATACACACAGCATTATATAGATAAGCATGTGTATATTTGAAGCCGTAACCCTACAACTTGGCTGGGACCAATTTTCTCCAGACAGAGATAAAGATGCAACACACTTTAAAGAGAGGAGAGAAGAAAAGAACAAAATTTTAGGAATCATAAATGAACTGGATGTCCACATTTTTAAATTATTTAAAGCTTTGCGCTGGCTTGAAAAATGAAAGTATGGCTAGGCGCAGTGGCTCACACCTGTAATCCCAGCACCTTGGGAGGCCGTGGCATGCAGATCACGAGGTCAGGATTTCGAGACTATTCTGGCTAACATGGTGAAACCCCATCTCTACTAAAAATACAAAAACTTAGCCGGGCGTGGTGGCACCTGTAGTCCCAGCTACTCGGGAGGCTGAGGCAGGAGAATCACTTGAACCCGGGAGGCGGAGATTGCAGTGGGCTGAGATTGTGCCACTGCACTCCAGCCTGGGTGACAAAATGAGACTCCATCTCAAATTAAAAAAAAGAAAAAGAAAAAAAAGAAAGAAAAAGGAAAGTATATGCATCATTAAAGCTTTCAGCTGATTTGATATAAGAAAGTATATGTAGTATCCCTGACAATGATCCTGGGGAAACTCAATCTTAGATAAAGAAGAAACCCCTAAAAGGAAGGACTTGAATTTATTAGAGTGAGGGGACATATCATTCAGGAAAGAGATTTCAAACGTTTTTGACTGAAATAATTAGTAAGACATATATTTTACATTGTGACTTATTATACATATATTATGTGTGTATATATGTGTGTGTATAGGTAGGTAAGTGGATAGATAGATAAATAGATGGATGGATAGATGGATGGATGGATGGATGGATGAATGGGTGGATAGATGAATAAATGGATGAATGGACAGACCAACAGGTGAATGCATGGATTAACAGACAGACAGACACATAGATAGATACAGAAGTATAACAAAACAGATACAGAAGTATCTGTATCTGTTGAGAAATAAGAAAAATAAGAGCACTTTTTATAAATTATGTTTGCATCAAGAAAACATTTATATCCTGATATCAAAGCAAAATGTGCCTTTGCTATGTGCAATGCATTTTGATATTTTGTATTCTCTTCTATTTCATTTTTTGAAATTTTTGATTAATCTCAACTTACCATCACAATACTAGATAGCATTCCACAATTTATAAAACATTAAATTAAGGTATAGATATGGCTTAATGCAATAGAGATTCTACTTAGAGTAGTGAAGGACAATTTGCTGGGAATGGGTGTGAGTATGAGGGGAATGTGTGGATAGTGAGTTTGAATTCATGCAATTGAAAGATCCTTTAGGCCTTGCAGAGATCTGAAGAGGAAGTTTTCTGGGTTCAGGGACTGCTAGCTGCTGTCTACAACAGGAAGACATTTGTTGAGAGGGTAAGATGGGGCTTCAGAGTAAGATAGGATGAGTTAGGGTTAGGGACCTAGCCTATAACCCGTAGAGATATGGGTCCAGGCTGAGGTCCTCAAGGTCTCTTTTGTCTTGAGAGAAAACTGGTCCTTTCAGTGTGGTGGAGCCCAAGTCTATCAAGCCGGTGTGGTCTCTGTACTAGTTAAGGTATTGCTAGCTGCCATGACGGAGAAAACCCAAAACCTCACTGATGTGACATAAAAGAAATATATTTCTTACTCCCATAAAGTCTAATTGGCGGCAGAAGGTGGGCTTCTCATGGGTAATTAGGTCATTTGGGCATTGACACTAGCCATTATATTGAAAGAGGGAGAGAGCTGAGGGCAGTGTGTGAGGTTCCAATAGGCCTGAAAGTAGAACAGATTATTTCTGTCTACATTCCACAACTTGGTGCCACAGATGAGTACAAAGGAGCCTGAGAAATGTAGTCCCTTAGCTGGGTAAGAGCTCTTCAGCTGTCATTTATTGATACAGAAGGGGAACAGGAGTCTTTGGCTGACCATTGATCTCTCCCACCCCAGCTACCTGACAGTGCTGTGGTTGTGAGTCTGGCTGATGCCAAAAAACCTCAGGGCTTAGAATTAAGAACACTATTCACACATTATGCTTACATCAAGAAAATATTTATATCCTGATGTCTTAGTCACCCCTTTCCAAACTAGGCTCTCTTTTAGCATGACTTTTCCTTTCAACGTCGACCTCGGTGCCCATTTTCATCTGACAAATAAGTTTGGATGGGGAGTCAGAAGAAGTAAGGGGCAGAATGCTTTGTTCAGTCTTTCATCCCTTGGGAAGATCTGGGTCTTCCATCCCCTTGTCTCTTTAGGCTCATTACAGGAGTCAGAGATAATATAACACATTGATTTAAAGTACAGAACTTGGAGTGATGCAGATTTTGGGCAACTACTAAAGCTTTCTTGAGCCTTGATTTCCTCATCTTTGAGATGAGGATACTTGTATCTATTTCCTCCTAGGTTGACATGTGGATTAAATGAGATTATATAAGCAAAGTACTTAGTGTAGTACTGTATTAGCCCATTTTCACACTGCTATGAAGAAATATCCAAGACTGGGTAATTTATAAAGGAAAGAGGTTTAATTGACTCACAGTTTTGGATGGCTGGGGAGGCCTCAGGAAACTTACAATCATGGTGGAAGGAGAAGCAAACATGTCCTTCTTCACAAGGTGGCAGGAAAGAGAAGTGCAGATTAAAGAGGGACAAGGTCCTTAGAACACCATCAGATCTCACGACAACTCACTTTCTATCGTGAGAACAGCATGCGGGAACTGCCCCCATGCTCCAATTACCTCCCACTAGGTTCCTCCCCAGACACATAGGAATTACAATTTGGATTACAATTCAAGATGAGATTTGTATGGTGACAAAGAGCCAGACCATATCAAGTACCTAACTCATTACTATCCTATAACTATGAGTATTACTGGTATTCTTATTGGCCACTTGACACCAACACAAGTGGGGGGCCTTATATCACTTAAGAAGAGGAAATATATAGAAAAAAGTGGCCTGGAGAGAAACTTGCTCCCTGAATTTCCAATATATGTCCAAACTGATGACTGGGGTGAGAAAGATCTATTCTGGCTTTTGCATACTGACTCAGATAAAAAACAAAGCTCATATTATTACAAAGTCAAAAACAAAAGATACTGGTAGGGCTGCAGAGAAAAGGGAATGCTTATACACTGTTGGTGGGAATATAAATTAGTTCAGCCACTATGAAAAGCAGTTTGGAGATTTCTCAAAGAACTTAAAACGGAATCGCTGTTCAACCCAGTAATCTAATTAGTGGGTATATATGCAAAAGAAAACAAATCGTTCTACCAAATAGACACATGCACTCACATGTTTACTGCAACACTATTCACAACAGCAAAGAGATGGAATCTACCTAGGTGCCCATCCATGGTGGATTGGATAAATAAAATGTGGTACATATATACTATGGAATATTACACAGCCACAAAAAAGAATAAAGTCATGTCCTTTGTAGCAACATGGATGGTGCTGGAGGTCACTATCCTAAGTGAATTAACACAAGAACAGAAAACCAAATATCACATGTTCTCACTTGTAAGTGGGAGGTAAACATTGGGTACACATGGACCTAAAGATAGTAATGGTAGACACCAGGGACAACTAGAGGGGGCAGTCAGGGAGGGGAGCAAGGAATGAAAATCTAACTATTGGGTATTGTGCTCAGTATGTGGATGACAGGATCAGTCACATCCCTAACCTCATCATCATTACAATATACTCGGGTAATAAACCTACACATGTACCCCCTGAATCTAAAATAAAAGTTAAAGTTATTTTTTAAAAAAACTAAAAATGTCTGGTACACCTGAGTAATCCTCTTGGTGAGAGCTTCAGCCAGAAACCAGGCTCCTTCAATCCTAAGACTGACCCATGGATATGGATGGGGCACTGGGGCATTCCTGTTCTGGGAGCAAAGGAGGTGTTTTTTGGTGAAGATATTTGTGAAACTGAACCCTTCTGGTGGAGCTGAAGTCTCAGCTCACTGAGAAGTAAGCCATGCAAGCCAGAGGGCTCAGAGGTGGGTAGCCCAGACAAGACAAGGAGCTCTTTTCCTTGATTGACACTTATTTCACTCCATTGGTTTGTCTCCCTCTTACATAGTGTCACTGTCACTAGAGTTGGGGATGGACAAAGGATTCCTGGTTGGTCTTAAAGCCAGCACAGTGGGAGGTGGGCTGTTGGATGGCTAAGACAGATTAGAGTAAGAGTGTCTGGTGGATGGTGATGATGAGAGATCTCACCTCCAAAGCCAGGTCCTACCTGCACAGCATCTTTGGTTTGACATAGCTTTGTCAAGCAGAGCCCGAGAAATAAGAGGCTCTCAGTTTCCACTAGACCAGGCCACCCTAGTCATTGGCAAGTCAAAGCTCTGGTCCTGATGTTCATTCTTCAACTGAAGGGGCAAGGGAAATCTGTTTCCTCCTCCAGAAGCTTCTGCCATGGGACTGCGTAATACAGAGGTATCTCCTAGTGTGGGAAATGGACAGATGGTGGTGATGCTTTAGTGCACCAGCTCACTTTCCAGTTATGTTCTCTTTCTCTGGGAGAGAGAGACAGGGAGAAAGAGAGAGGGAGTTGAGGGAGAAAAAAGAGGTGGATGACATGCAGCATGAGCTGTGCACTAGTTGTGGAGAATACGACTGCCTGTTGGTCCACGGCAAATTCTAAATTAAAAAACAAACAGGGCCGGGTATGGGGACCCACGCCTGTAATTCCAGCACTTTGGGAGGCTGAAGTGGGAGGATCACTTGAGGCCAAGAGTTTGTGACCAGTCTTGGCAACAAAATGAGACCCCATCTCTATTTAAAAAAAAAAAAAAAAAAGAAAAGCCAGGAGTGGTGGCACATGCCTGTGATCCTAACTATTCAGGAGACTGAGGCAGGAGGATTTCTTGAGCCTGGTTCCAGGTTAGAGTGAATTAGGATCACATTACTATACTTGAGCCTGGGTGACAGAGTGAGATCCTGTCTCTAAGAAAAAAAATTAAAAAAGAACCCCTCCAAATCTCTTTAAGAAACTTGTTTTATGCCACAAATAAATTTGTGAAACACTATTCAATATGACAGTAATTCAATGTTAGACTCCTAAATAAACAACAAAATATCCAGTTGGCTACTAATTTTATATATATATATATATATATATATATATATATATATATATATATATATATAAAAGAATTTTCTACCCTTCTGTCCATACCCTGCAGTTTCATATCACACAATGATCTGAAATTCTAAGAAATTCTCCATTAAAGGAACCACTTTACATTTGTTTAAGCCAGTGTTTCTGCAGTTGAATTTGGCTGAAAAGATTTTTTTCAGCCTCACTTTGTGGGAAAGGTGGGAAGAAGAGCTCATTAGCAGTGAAGGGTGATAGGCAGTTCCTCACCTGCACTCCGTAACTCCAAGAGTAGGACATCTGGTTTTCCTAGTTGAATTTTGAAATTGCACCATCCCCTTCAGGCTTCGTCTGCCAGTCATTCCCTTGAGCCCTCAGATTCTGTGCTGGAGAAGGAAGGCAGAAATAATACCACATCATCATCAAGGTTTGCAGCGTAGGAAAGCAGACAGCTCCAAGTTTACGTCATGAAGATTCTATGATGAGGCCTGTGGAGCTATGAGAACAGGATGAACAAGACACTCATCTACTGGGTGTCTGTCTACCTACTTATCCCCTTCTATTCCTTCTTTCCATGGTAATTATCGAGCCTCTAAGAGGTTAAGGATGTAGTTGAAAGTTGAATACACTCTGTTCTTATGTTCTTATGTTCTTATTCTTTTTTTTTTTTTTTTTTTTTGAGACGGAGTCTGGCTCTGTTGCCCAGGCTAGAGTGCAGTGGGGCGATCTCCGCTCATTGCAAGCTCCGCCTCCCGGGTTCACGCCATTCTCCTGCCTCAGCCTCGCGAGTAGCTAGGACTACAGGCGCCCGCCACCACGCCTGGCTAATTTTTTGTGTTTTTAGTAGAGACGGGGTTTCACCGTGTTAGCCAGGATGGTCTGGATCTCCTGACCTCGTGATCCGCCTGCCTCAGCCTCCCAAAGTGCTAGGATTACAGGCGTGAGCTACCGCGCCCGGCCCTAAATACACTCTGTACTTATTCTGAAGGCACCCATGATCTAGAGGGGGTCATAGGTAAGTAAGTAAGCCATTTTGCTCAGTTGGGTTAGATGCATGGTGGAGAGAAAAAGGGCCATGGGTGTGACAAACGCAGAGGGTTGTAGCCTACACAATCTGCAAGGTTGAAGGAAGAGTCAAGAAGACTTCCTCAAGGAAGAGCAGCCAAGATGAGTACTGAAGGATCAAGGAGTCAGCTCAGTGAAAGGAGGTGGAGATCAGGGAGTCCCAGGCAGACGCTTTTCCTGTGGCTTCTTTGAAAACTCTAGTGACAATGGCAATTCTGAACCAAGGAGGCAACTCTGGCTGAGGTGAGACTTACTTTTTATTTCCTCTCCAGTTGCTTCAGAAAACTCAGTTTTCTTGCCCGGACAAGTGCCAGATTTACAGAGCCCTTATAGCCAATTTCAGCTGGGTCCCTGCTGAGGGAGGCAGTAACCTTCTTAATGGGAATGTCTCCAACAGGAGGGGTCAGGGGCACCCAGCACTTTTCTTGTGTAAAATTAATTAAGCTCCAAGGTCAGGAGGTGATGGGTGGGCTCCTTAGAACAAATGATTTCTGTTTGAGTAAAAATGGCTTTGGGGTTCTTTCCAGATCTTGCCTAATTCAGTAATTATGTCTGCCCCATGCTTTAAGCAAACAGCAGTAAAATAAGTGTGTTTAGAGATAAGGGAAGGGGTGAGAGGAGACTCAGTTGAGCTGGGTTGGGTTTTTGTTTCAGCTGGGGCTTGCAGAAGGGCTAGGCTCATGATTCTCTGGCTGGATTTCTTGGAGGCATGCTGTGAGCATAGATATGTCCATTCTAGGAATCTTAAGCTGTGAGCTGGGTCTCATGCATAGAAGCTTTCAGGAAATGTTTGCTGTCATCATTATCATTGTTGTAGTGGAAACTGTGGCTGTCTCTCCAGCATCCACTTTTATAAAAACCTTACTTTGTTATTATTTAGATCAACATCTCCCCAATTCAAATTCATGTGTTTTGTGAGAAGAAGACTGAACTCTTGTACATGGTTCAGGGCTATTTTCATTAGTAAACCGTATTTTTTGGCTACAGCAATTGGTTCAGGGCTGAGCACATGGTCCCATGTGGGCCCATAAAATGGGAAGATATGATATCTAGGAGTTTTTGGAATTGCACTTCCTCATTTTACTTAGAGAGCTTTTCATAATAACTTGTTCTCCCCATCTCTTGACATGGCCTGAAGAGGCGTGGACCTTTCATGGTTGTTAGCAGACATCATAATCGTGAAGTACAACCAGCCTTAGGATGAAATTAACACCATGGCAAACAGAAGAGAGAGAGAAATGATGACAGTGTTCAAATGCTGAATCAAACCAATACTTTCCAACATCAAGGGCTTTGTTATTCGCCCAGATATCCTCTTTTTAGTAAATACTACTTTGAGTTAAATTTGTTCGTTATTTACAACTGAAGGCATCTTATATGATAGAGAGCTTGATTCCAGAAAGTAGGACATTGTTAATAACAAACCCTGAAGTATGGAATTGGTTGAGTGGCACAAGGGCACTACAGAGGACTCCAGGTGGTTAGTCAGCTGCCCATACACCTTGGGAAAGGGATCATCAAGGCTGTAGTGTTAGGAGACTTGGTAGAAAAAATAGGGGTATTGATGCATGAATTTGAAGGTTCTGTAAGAAAGAGAAACGTTTAGGCTGCAGATGACTTTCCTGGACACAGAAAGAGAGGAAAATACAACTGTGTTCCAAGAGACCACTTATGAGAAGCAATATCTCCCTATTTAAGCCAATTTGAATTGGGATTTATGTTCCTTGCAACAGATTACATGCTAATCATAGCAGTCATCAAAGTGTCTTGTTCATCCTGCTATAGGAGCACTTAAAAATAAATATTTGCTTATATTTCCATTTACTCTGAATATTTTCCCATTGAAGTATTCATCTCTTAAAGGCAGGAGCCATATATATTTATCTCAGCATTTGCAACACTGAGTATAATGTCTGGCACATAGTAGGTGCACATATATGCTTGAAGAATGCATGGTCTCCACCAGAAGACATTAAAGTAGAGGTCAGTAGCTGAAATATGGAAATGGTTCACTCAGTCAATACATATTAGTGAGCATTTTATATGTGAAGAATTCTGTGACAGATAATGATTCTCCACAGAACTGTTCTTCTGGTGGATTTTCTTTTTCTCCCTGTTCTTTATTTTTTGCTAAATCATACTCATTAGAGGTAACGAAACCCCTTTTCCACCATCCTTTCAATACTATCTGACATTAATACAAGAGACAGGTGTATCTTTGAAGACATCCTGGCTTTTTTAAATAAACAAACTATTTTTTGCAGGTTTTGTAGGAACCGACCCTGCAAAATGTAACCACTTTTTCCAGAGAGTCGATCATTCCTCCCAAGGTGCAGGAATCTACTTGAATTGCAGAAGACTTTGGAGAAGATCAAACTGTGTGGCAGCCACGTAAATGTGCTTCCCATATTTCCTTTCAAGAAATAACCTGCTGTGAGGAGTGTAGTGAGCTGACAGATGCCAGTTGCTGCAAATTTGTGATGCACTCCTTCCTTCTTTCCTCCTCTGTCTTCAGAGGTGTCAGACCTGGTGTCAAGTGTCAGACCTGCATTGCAGTCCAAAGGTTCCCTCCAATCTTCTGTTTTCTCTCCCTTTTATCCTTTACAGATCCTTCGCCCAATAAATCTCTTGTACATCTATTTCCATTTTGGCTCCCACTTCTCAGAAGATCTAAACCGATGCACATGCCTGGGCCGTTTGATGGCTGGGTTGGCAAACTAGGGTAAATAAGTGTGATGCTTGACATACTTTGTCCCATGTTCAGGAAAGTCCAGGAGCTGCCCTTCTCAGGATTTGTTTCCAGTAGAGGCATTTTCTTGAGGAAATTTGAAGGATGGGAAAGGACAACAACCAGCTGTGGGGAGCACTTGAGAGAAGGGAAGACAACAGCAAGCAGTCATGGAAAGAAAATAGTAATGCAAGATACCTCCTTTTAAATTAAGTTAAACAATCAAAGCGTTTACGGGCTGTGCTTTTTTTCTTGTAGAGATGGGATCTCACTAATTGCCCAGTCTGGTCTTGAATTCCTGGCCTCCCAAAGTGCAGAGATCTCACGTGTAAGCCACTGTGCCCAGTCTCTACTCTGTGCTTTTAACAGAGGATGGATATGCTGGGAAAGCTTTCAGCTAATAAAAGCTTCAGGTTCCCTGGGCTTTGTCTCTGTAGACATCCCTTGTTCTAGACTCATTTCTTATTCTGTATCCCTTTTCTATTGCCCACTGTAAAAGCTGGTTATGTGCCATAGCAGAAGGAAGGTTAAATGGAAAATAATACTGATCTGGATTCTCAACTGACTTTTGCTGTGTGACTTTACACCAGAGACTTAATTTCTCTGAGTTTGTTTTCTCAGTATGAGATGATAATCTTGTCTTACAGTGTTGTTGAGAAGATGAAACAAGGCAACATAGGCATTGAAGGTCTAGCACAACTGAAGGCACAGGATAGGGGCTAGGTGATATTCATCAGTGCTCACTGCGGGTAAGTTTCAGAGTATGAGAAACAGCAGGGAGCACGAAGTGCTCCTGCTCTGCAATTCCAGAAGGGAGATGATGGATCAGGGCTGGAAGACCCATGGGTTCTGTGGCCATTGGTCTCTTCCCTTAGTTCTCTGGGTTATTTTGCCCAAGATTAAAATAACTGCATTTACTTTAAATTCTTTGCTTTCTTCTTATTTTTGGAACACTGTTATGAATACTTTATCATATATATGGAATCTAATGAAGGATGAGGTGAGGTTTTAGAGCTAAAGATAGTTTAATCCAGCATGCTCCATAGAGCATCTGCAGAGGAGGAAACTGAGGCCCAGCATTGAGGAATGGCTTGCTCAAGGCTTTGGGACATCTGGGAGGATTCCTGGTTTCCTGCTCAAATGCATCTGCTTCATTCAGGAATTGACTACATCTTTTGGAATATGTTTTATCTGGCTGTTTTGAATGGGAACCCTGGGTTTTATGGCCCCGGTATCCTACTCCTCTGAGGGCTTTGTGATCTTTTTTCGCAGCTTGAATTGCTCCCTCCTATTTAATGCTCCTCCAATACCTTGTGCATTGTCCTCTTACAGACCTCAATGTCTCTGTCTTTCCTTCTCATTCATGACAAAGGCCATATTTTGCTCAGATCAGTATTCCAATGCATGGAAAAGATGAGAGTCATAAATGCCCACTTGCTAAATTTGTCGAATTCATATGTTTTTATAATGATGAGTAGTCAGAGGGAGAATTGGGCAGCAGGAGGGAGGATAGGGGCAAAGTATAATTATGTTACTTCATTTATTTTGGAAAAGACTTCCTGGTTGTATATACATTCCTAAGACCTTTCGCTGGGAGGAATGAGAATCAAAGTGCACATTAGTCAAGAACATGAACTTTGGAGTTAATCTGCCTGAGTTTGAATCCTAATTCTGTAATATACTAGCCATGCGACCCACCCAGAGCAAGTTATTTAATTTCTCTGTGTTCTTCCCAGGGAGAGGATCCAGAACTACTATTCAGGCGACTGGGATGTAGGCAGATGTTTATGTTAGCATGCATATAAATGCATGCGTATATGTAGACTTGCATATGTATATGTGGCTGTGCATTTATATGTAGGCTGGCACCTACAGTTCTCTTACATTTTCACTTCAAAGTTGCTTGGTGAGTTTGGTGACGTCGATCATTCATTCAATGAATAAACATGGAGTAAGCACCTAGAAGGTGGCAGACCCCATTAGGAGCTGAGGAAAGAGCCATGAATTAAACATGTTCCCTCACTTGAAGGTATGCAGTCTCTCACTAGTGAATAACTGTGATGCTGCATGTTAAGGACAGGGGCAGAGTCCTCTGGAAGCACAGAGGAAGGCGTGAGCAATTCTCTTGGAGAGTGGAGGGAGGCCATGACAGGCAGGGGGATTCTTGAGCTGTGTGATGAGGACAGGAGCTGTGGGTAGAGACAGAGCTGGGAGGATGTTTCAGGTAGAGAAGTGTGGGAAACAAAGATGAGGCTGATTGGAGACCAGGTGATTGGAGAATTTATTTGAATGTATGTGAGTTACTCTTTTCAATAGCTGTTAAGTTAAGACATAAATACTGAGTGTTTTGGACCTAACTCCCTAATAAAAGGATCAGGTTTTCCTTTTGGCCTACACTTGCCAGGAGAATATTACTGAGACACTAAGTGTGTAAGAAACTGAAAAAATGTGAGAAATTATAACCTAGACATTAACGTGAAGACACTTCCCAGGATTTTTTTGTTTGTTTGTTTGCCTTTGTTTTTTTCTGTATTGAAAGGCTTGTTATCAACTGTATTTACATGTAGTATCAAGATTGTAACAATATTATTTTTCATGAAGAAGGACAATCAGATGATCACAGTTGTGTGTATACATGCACACCAACACCCGCACACATACACACATGCACACATACACACACATAGGTAGGCACCTTCAGAGGGTAATTAACTTTGAGAAATGAAAATGATTAAAAATCAATTAAGATATCATTTCTAGAGAAATGAGGGGAATCAGGATCAGAAATTTCCAGGGAGGGATGATTTCCTCAGCAATGTGGCCTTCCCTTGAGGAAATGATTTCAAGCTCTCCTGGCCAGTGGGTGAGTTTTGCCGTCATGACGAATGTAGTGCATGCAGGAATCCCACATACCTGACACTTTTCCAGGGTTTCACACCTTTGTAATTTCATCACTTTTCCAATGAGTCCACGATGTTTCTCCAGAATGAGACTACATCATCCTCGCTTTGTGTTCAGTTCCATCCATTCTAATTCCTGCCAATATGTCCAAACTTCCTCCATCCAACAAGACCATCTTTCAGTGCTTTAAGACTCAACACACTGTCCTTCTCCCCACTTTTGTTTTCTGTCAAACATCTTCAAAGTTGCTGTCATCATTGTTGTCAAAAACTGGCTCTGGATCTGTCACTAAGTGACCTTCAAAAGCCTTAGACAGGGAAAGCATGGCTGATGAATAACATCAACAAAATCACCTCTTAGAACATATTTTCCTCTGCTTTTGGACTACTGCATGCCCTAGCTTGCTCACCTTATCTACCACTGTATTTATGGATCTGAAAGCTCAACTCTTTAATGGAAATCTTGATAAAAAATTCCACCTCTCATTCTACAGCATTTGTTGGTCCCAATCTAGTTGGTGTTGTGACCACAGTGTATACCTAGTCCTGACTTGAGTTTTGGAAGTAATTACGTATTTCTTCCTGAAACATTACCATCTGATTTCTGGGAAGTCTAACATTCCTGATTATCCTGCTGTTTCTCTGAGTGCTTCCCTCAGGCTTTCAATGACCCTTCTCCACTCTCTCTACATCCTTTCCCTCTTGTTGATCTGAACCATTGGCCCATGACCACTACAGAGACTGATTCAGAGACTGTATCTCAAACCTCTGATTTTACTCCTAAGTTTTTGACTTCCAGATAGGTCACACTATCACACCTGAAAGTTCATCATTTCTTTCTTTCTTTCTTTCTTTTTTTGAGATGGAGTCTTGCTCTGTTGCCCAGGCTGGAGTGCAGTGGTGCGATCTTGGCTCCCTGCAAGCTCCGTCTCCCGGGTTCACGCCATTCTCCTGTCTCAGCTTCCCAAGTAGCTGGGACTACAGGCGCCTGCCACCACGACCGGCTAATTTTTTGTATTTTTAGTAGAGATGGGGTTTCACTGTGCTAGCCAGGATGGTCTCGATCTCCTGGCCTCGTGATCCGCCTGCCTTGGCCTCCCAAAGTGCTGGGATTACAGGCCTGGCCAGTTCATCATTTCTTTTGCCCGAATCTGCTTCTTTTCCTGGATTGCTGTCTCTGTTAATGGTAACTCCATCTTCTCAGCCTTGGAGCTTTAAAAATTCAGTTATGTCTCTTTTCTTTCTTTACCTAATCCCTTATTTCCAATATGTTAACACAGCGCCCATATGACACTAAGAAGTAGAACTAATCCACCTTCTTTCTGTCTCTCTCTCTCCTCCTACCTTCCCATGTCCCTCCTTTCAGACTTTCACTAACTCTCACTTATGCAACAGATCCTTAGCTGATCTTCCTGTCTCTACATACTATTTTCCCTCTTGCTGCCAGATTATTTTGCCAAAGCTCAGGTTAGAATATTTTACTTCCCTATTTTTAACACTTTGTAGATTCCCACTGAAGAATGTCTCCTCCTGCCTTCAAAGCTCCCAGCAATAGAGTCTGTAATGGCTTTGCAATGTGTCAACTTGGCTAGGCTGGACTACATTTCCTAGGGTCCTCTTTTTTACGTTTCCAGTTAGGGTGAGCCACAAGGAAAGTTCTTGTGAGACTGGGAGGGCAGAAGGAAAGTGGCAGCCATTTTGCAGCATGCATGGTTGGGAATGTGCTGATTCACCTCGTTGGCATTAAGAAGCATTTGGGCATGAATTGCTTTACTTGCCCCTGGATCCCTCTTTAGCTTCTCTGGCTCCTAGACCTGCATGTGCACTTAGCTCCCTGATAAAGAGATCCCATTTCTGCAGGACTCCTTCATCACCAAGGTCAGAAGCAACAAAAATGGACAAGGATTTTAGCCCATCCTCATGGGGTTCCAGTTCATTTCTGCTCTTATTTTTAATTAAAAAACACCAGTATTTTGATATAATCCACATACTATACATTTTGCACATGTAAAATGTATAGTTTATTTGCCTTTAATATATTCAGAGTTGTGCAACTATTACCACAAACAAATTTAGTACATTTCATCACCCCGAAAGGAAACTTCATACCCATTAACAGTCACTCCATATTTCTACCCCCTCTCCCACCCCTTGCCCAACCCCAATCCTAGGCAGCTACCAATCTATTTTCTGTTTCTTCTATGGATTTGTTTATTCTGAACATTTTATATGAATGGAATCATACAATATGTAGCCTTTGCTATCTGGCTTCTTTGTCTTAGCATTTTTTTCAAAGTTTATCCCTGTTGTAGCATGTATCATCAGTACTTGATACCCTTTTATTGTTGAATAATACCCCATTATATGAATATACCACATTTTGTTTACTCTTTCATTTGTATGGTTTCTACTTTTTGGCTATTATGAATAACAGTACTATGAACATCTGTGTACAAGTTTTTGTGTGGAAATGTGTTTTCATTTCTCTTGGGTATATACCTAGGAGTGGAATTGCTGGGTCATATGAGAACTTATTTTGAGCAACTGCCAAATGTTTTTCTAATTGACTGTTCTATTGCCTGCTAAGCAAGGCAGTAGGATTCTAATGGGTCTACAACCTTTCCAATACTGGTTGTTATCTGCGTTTTTGATTATTGACATCCCAGTGGGTATGGAGGGGTATCTCATTGTGGTTTTGATTTGCATCACCTAATGGCTATTGGTGGTGAACATCTTTTCATGTGCTTATTGATTATTTATTTATCCTCTTTGGAGAGATGTCTACTTAGATAATTTACCCATTTAAAATTGTGTTATTTGTTCTTTTATTGTTGAGTTCTAAGAGTTCTAGCCCACTCTTCTTCTTCCCTTCCTGACTGCCTGCCATGGAGGATTTGAGCTCCAGCATCAGATGCAAAGAACAACAGCTTTACAGAGACTGCTTAACCAGCTTCCGCAATTGTGTAAAGTTGCTTCCATGTAGCAAGTCCATATATTTCCTACTGGTTCTACTCTTTGGTTGAATCCTTGCTGATAGAGTCTCAGCCCCACATTCTAATCTCATCTCCCGCTACTCTCTACATACACGGCTCTGCTCCAGCCAAATGGTGCCCCACGAGCATCCTGTTTTATCATTTTTTACCTCATACTTGCTTATTTTACAGTATGAGTTTTTCCTATTTTTTCCATTTAAAATTTTACCTATCCTTTGAAACCACCTCATATTCTCTGTCATCCATAGAAACTTTTCCAATCCCATCACCTTCCTCCTTTGAACCTTATAGTATAGCTTATCTTCTTGAATATCAATTTTCTGTAATCCTATAGGACAGTTGAAGGGAATAATGAAGATTACACATAGAAGACATCTTCACAGAGTATCCGGCACATGACAGGTGATGAGTTATGGCTAGTTCTATTCATTTTCCATCCCCAGAGCACATGGAGAGCTCTGTAAATACTGTTGTACATTTTCCAGTTTTGTAGATCTGAAAATGAGGACAGAAGGCTCAGGTGATTCATGTTTTTATAGATTTTCTTCCTTTCTGTGGCTTAGGGATCCTTCTGGGACAACTTGCTCTTTCTGCTCTGGGTTCCAAGGCTGGACACACCTTTTCTATAAAGGTCTGTATTTGCAAGATGATAGTACTGATGACTTCCAGCCATAAAATGTTTCCTTTTATCCCATCTAATAATTTGAGGAGGTTGTGGTTTCAATAAATAGCAATGGATCTAATTAATAGCATTGGATCTAATTTATAGCAATGTCTCATGTTTGCAACAAGCTTCAGAGCTTCCAAAGTTGTTTTTCTCTTTAAGTCCATACAATAGCCCTTGGTGTGAGATAGGCAGGGCAGTTGAGCATTTTGAGGCATGGGTGGCTTAAGTCATCTAAAGGTCAAGGTGAATAATTAGAACACACAGGTCCTGACTCCCAGGCTAGTGTTTCTTTCTCTGCACTCTCCAACAAGCAAAGTGGAAAGGAAAAATGGAGCTATTGCTGTAATGCCAAACCCAGTTGATCCTGGGTGGTTTCAATGGAATCTTGAAACTCTCCCTGCTTGATCTTACCCCATCCATCCCCGCACTTCTATTGGTGCCCCCGCTATCATTCCCTGGAATCCAAGATGCTAATCACATGGGTCAGAAACAAGAAACACATCATGTTTGTTAGTTGCTTTATTTATCTATTCCTGCATAACAAATCACCTTAAAACTTCGTGACTTAAAACAACCACAATTTATTTTTGTTATGATTCTGTGGGTTGGCTGGTCAGTTCCTCTGCTGGCTTCAACTAGGCTCACACAAGTGGCTGCTTTGGCTGGAGGGTCAGCTGGGCTGGGACATACAAGATGGAACATTCTGGCCGGGCGCAGTGGCTCACACCTGTAATCCCAGCATTTTGGGAGTCCAAGGCAGGTGGATTACTGGAGGTCAGGAGTTCAAGATCATCTTGGCTAACATGGTGAAACCCCATCTCTACTAAAAATACACAATTAGCCTGACATGTTGGCAGGCGCCTATAATCTCAGCTACTCGGGAGACTGAGGCAAGAGAATTGCTTGAACCTGGGAGTTGGAGGTTGCAGTGAGCTGAGATCGTGCCATTGCACTCAAGCCTGGGCAAAAAGAGTGAAACTCCATCTAAAAGAAAAAAAGAACATTCTTAAGTCTGGCAGTTGGTGTCAACTGTCATCTAGTATGCCTTGGTTTACCTCCATGTGGACTCTTAACTCTGGTAGGCTAGCCTGATGGTCTATGTGGTGGTCTCATGGTGGTGGTCCCAAATCACAAAGCCAGAAAACACAAGGCCCATTGAAACTTGGGCTGGGATCACGTACAATATCACTTCCACCATCACTCTATTAGTCAAAGCTATCACAAAGCCACCCTTACTCAAGGGTAGGGGAAATAGACTTCACCTCTTGATAGGAGGAACCTTACATTCATATAGTAACCACACAGGATGAATTGTTGGGGTTATCTTTGGAAACCATGGTGCATGGAATCATCATGCATGAAATGAGGTAGAGAAAGTGGGCACAGCTTTCTCACTCTTATCTACATTAGGAGTTTTTGATAGGACCCATCTGATATCTTTATATGAGAAGAAGCTTGGTGTTCTCACCCTCAAAGACTTCTCTTCCTCTGCCTCTTACCTGGTAGCCAGAGAGGATCACTGCCTCTATCCACCCTGCCCTAACTCAGCACTAGGCACTAGGGACTGATGAACATTCTCTCGAACATTCTAAAGTGTATTCATCACTTTTTTTTTGGTATCCCAGTGACATATTTAGGTGTGAAACCAATTGGAGCTAATCATCTCTAATAGTTTTATCTATCTGATTCAGCACAGGCTAATGTAGTTCTCCATTTTGTAGTTTGAAGCAAAGCCTCAGCATAAAGTGTGTTTCCTATGTACTGCTATGGTTCCAAGCACTCCTGCTCATCAGTGAACCTAAAGGAAGATACGTTTTGTCAGGTTAAGTATCCAAATACTTTAAGGTTCCCTCTCCATAATGCCATCAAAGAGCTCCCTATTTTACCAACTTCTCTAATATCTTAAGGTGGTTTTTAAGTAACTCATTTCATTAAGTGAATGCAACTATCTTTATTTTCTATCTCTTGCTTCTAATTCGCAGGACCTCTTTTGGTGAAAAGCGCTCAATCTTGTCATCTAAAGATATTAAAATTACATAGTCTGTTTAAACCCTAATCTCTCTCTCTCTCTCTCTCTCTCTCTCTCTCTCTCTTCCTCTCTCTCTGGTTAATGACTCAGACAACCTTTTTTTTCTCCTTACATCCAGTGTTTTACCCCTCCTACCTCACTTCCTTGCTTGGATAGCATATGGATGCAGTGGAGAGTTTATGCATCCTTGTGGCACTGGGAGAATGACAGCTGGTATACTCATCTCGATGTTTAACTCCTGCCCACTTGCGGGGTGGGGGGCAACTCTATCCCACTAGAACTGGAGAGGGAGGTGCTAGTCTTTAACCCTTTGCTCTACTTTCTTTTGCATCCTCCAGCAAGGGATGGTTTAACCCTTCCTGTGTGGAGACATTTCCTTCCCACATATCCACATCTGTCCTGGTCTATGATTAGTTTTTCTAAGCTTCACTTCCTAAATGGAAACATGGAGTTTAAGGAGGTCTGAGAAGATCCTTTTCTCTCCCTTGAAAGCCTTGCTCTCAAGACTATTTTCTGTGGACTTATAAGTCTAGATTAAAACTCAGAGCTGAGCATTGAAGGCTGCCTTTCCTTTCTTTGGAGCAGTAAGCCAGCATGGAGATGGTCTGAATCCCCAAATCAATTGACATTTCACCACCTTTCATAGCTTTTAAAAATTATCTCATTCAAATAGTACTTCACTTTTCTCTAAGTTGTCACACACATTTACTTTGATAGAGCAAATTTTTCTCATTCCTTTCCATACATCTTATTAATGACACTTACTTAGTTGTAATAATTATTTTATATTTGTACTTCACCAAATCTCAAGATTGTTAGCAGAAACATGCTTAACACTGACACAAACACAGTTGAAGTCACTCAGTAAATGTTTAAAGAAACCAGTGTGAGCTGTTCACAATGATAGAGTGCAGTTTTGTTCCCTTGTGTTCTCCAGGGCATAGCACTCTGCACTTACATGGTATCTAATAATGTTTGTTGATTAACAGACTTATGCACAAATATATGAGCTCTGTTTACAGTTGGTGCAATGCATCAGGATTAGCTTGCTTTGTGAGAACATGTACTTTTAAGGGAGTCAATCAAGTAGCCTGACTATGGGATGATCAACTGTACATCCCCATTCTATTTTGGGTTCTCCCTCTTCCTGGAGTCTGCTTGCCTGCCTGCATACCTGCTTGATGGACTTAGCCTGTCTCATGGTCTCACTCTGGGGGATTGTTTCCCACTACAATGTGATCTCCTTGGGAGATTTCAATTGCTTTTGAATTAGTTATAGGCTCAGAAATGAGGGACTCCCATTATTACAATGCAGATTTTAAAATGACTCAATTTCAAGTTGCCAGCTAGGCAACATTAACTTGTCAGATAATTCTGCATGGTCACGAAGAAGATTGACTTTTCAAAAAGCAAAGCAGAAATGAGCCAATACGGTCAAGGAGTGAAGGAAATGACCTTTGAAATGCCTTCCATGTATGAAAGCCATGCCTTGTCTGTTTTACCATCTATAAAATGGAGGCAAAACTTCTGATCTCTGTTTTTAAAAGTGAGTTGGGGAGTAGTCAGTGATTATGCTATGTAAAACAATTCATTGAGCATAGTACTCACTGGATTCTCCAGATTCATGAATTTACACAACGGTATCTGTAGTAAAGCTTGTGCACACACAAAACGGCCTTATGTCAAATATCAAAGGGCTGTGTCTGGAATAAATGGCATTTAAGGAATTGTTTCTGACATAGTCTCTTTTCACTTGTCTTGAAAATAGGAAAAAGAAGGACAAGAGAGAGCAGAAAGACTGGAGAAAAAATATACCACAAATATCAAAATGTTAACTGTGGCTTACAAGGTGATTTTTATTTTTTATTTTTGGCTTTTTCTGTATTTTGAAAATATTCTAGGATATGTTTTTTTTTTAAATCAGGCCAAATGCTATTAATTAAAATATTGATGAAATCAAAGAATACCTCAAAACATATAACCAGAAAACAATAATAAAGATAATAGCTGTCTTACTTTGGGTACCCCAAGAGTTGACTCTGAGACTAGGTGCAAGTAGTTTATTTGGGAATTAAATCTAGGAAGTACTAATAGGAAAAGTAGGAAAATGAGAGAGAAGGGAAGAAAGCCAATACAAGGTGTATGAATGAATAGGTTACCTCCATGGGAAGCTGGGGTTTATTTCTGGGAACCTCTGGAAGATGGTGTAGAACACACCATAGAATTGTACCATCCTAGGTCAGGAAGATGGGGTCTTTGTCCAGCAAATAAACAGGGAAAGCACTTCTGGCTTTCTCCATGTACAGATCAAGCCTGCTTCTGCAGCCAGAAAAGTCCTTAGGCAAAAATTGAATTTCAATTGTTTGTGGTATGAGTAACATTGAGTATCAAGAGAATATGAGCCAGGCATTGACAAAAATCTGCTGCGCCAATGAATCTATTGCCAAAATCCGGGAGAAGATTTAGTTAACTATGGAACCATGACACCACCTTGAGAATCATAACTAGCAGGCAGCCCACCTTTACCTGCTTAACAACACAGAAAATCTCATGACTGAAATAAAGTAGAAACCTTGGCCTTGACCTTCTCCTTGACTCCTGTGTTACATGTTACATGACTCTTTAAGGTGGTCACACACAGGTATTCAGTAGTACTACCAATTACATCAATTTGGATTCAACAACTTCTAAAAGACACTGGAAATACACAGAGGAAATAGCCTCGGAGTTCAACTTTGGAAACTGGGAGACTGCCTTCGCTTAGATGTCTAATAGACAAGGGTAAAAATCTTGATTTTACCATCTCCTGCTTGATTCCAAGTTTTTCCACCTCAGTAAATAGCAATAAATCCCTCCTCTCAGTTACTTAAGCCCAAATATAGTCAATGTTCTTGGTTCCTTGATTTTCTTCAACTTTCATATGAATCTATTGGCACTGTCATTAGGCTAAAAACTCAAATCCATTTATTTCTCTCTTTCTTCACTACTACTACACTGCAAACCATATCACAATTATCTTTTACTTAGATTACTACAATAGCCTTCATGTTGGTCTCTTGATCTTTCAAAACTATAAATCAGATCATGGATCTTTCCATGTTAAAACCCTCCCAGTGCTCCTGTTGTACTTCTGACATAAGCCAAATTCCTGACCATGGCTTACAAAGTCTATTGTCATCTGATTCCTTCTTTTTTTTTTTTTTTTCTTGAGATGGAGTTTCAATATTGTCACTCAGGCTGGAGTGCAATGGCTCTATCTCGGCTCACTGCAACCTCTGCCTCCCAGGTTAAAGTGATTCTCCTGCCTCAGCCTCCTGAGTAGCTGGAACTACATGCGCCTGCCACCATGCCTGGCTAATTTTTTTTTTTTTTTTTTTTTGTATTTTTAGTACAGACGGGGTTTCACTATGTTGGCCAGGCTGGTCTTGGACTCCTGACCTCAGGTTATCTGCCCGCCTTGGCCTCCCAAAGAGCTGCGATTACAGGCATGACCCACTGCACCCAGCTGATTCCTTCTTATTTATTTGGCTTTGTCTCCCACCATCCTCCATACTGCAGCCACACTGGCCTTTCTGATCCTGGAATATATAATATATATAAATGTCCTCTTTAGGACATTTGCACTTTTTGTTCCCTGCAGTTGGTCAGTTCTTTCGCCAGATTTTCACATGGTGGCTCCTTCTAATCATTTAAATCTCATCTCAGCAGCTATATCATTGGTCTTTTCTTCAAGATCACCTCCTCGAAATTAGTTCATTTGTAACTAACACATTGGCTTGATATGTAATATCCTTAGCCAATGAATCCTTAGCACTCAGGGAAATGCTTGGCTCCTGGAAGGCTCTCAACAACTAATTGTTGGTGGAGGAATTTAGGATGTAACTGTGTAAATAGCCACACAGGGAAGGAGACTCAGGGTGGAGGCCCATGCTGGCAGTCTTACTATTTTTCCATTGGTTCCATTGGTCCAGAGTACTGAAGAATCAGGCAGTGGAGGGCAGGAAAAAATCACACATAATCCAGAAGAGCCATATGGTTTTGGTGCTTGTTAGGCATTTAGAACTGGGCTAAAGCTGTTCTGCTATAGAACTAAGAATTTGATCTTTTCACAACCAGGGAGATTTTGGGCAGGTCAAGAGCTGAGTTGTAGTTCTGACTGTTACAAAATGGGATTGTGAAATGTTTTCTTTTTTTTTTTTTTACTTCTTCAGTGATAATAAACTAGAATGACAATCAAGCAAACAAATATATATATGTAAATGTGTTTAAAATTTTGGGAAATCATAGACCATAGGAAATTTTGGGGTTTCTTTCATAGAATATAAAGAAATATTGATTCTGTTAAATAAAAGTGGAGAGCATTAAAAGGTAAACTATGCCGAGACCAAAAAAAAAAAAAAGCAGGAAGAAAGACAAAAAGGAGTTGATTTAAAAAAATGCTAAGAATGTTTATGAAAAAAAATTCATCTTATAGTCAAAATTATCATAGGAGGCAGTAAAACTATAATCAGCGTGCAAAAAAATATGAAAAAGATCTCTCTAAGAATAACTAAACATATGAAGAAAAAGACAAGTTGACAAATTGGCTCAGAGGTCAGCAATTACAGCCCTCAGGATAAATCTGACTCCCACCTGTTTTTATAAATAAAATCTTATTGGAACACCATCACAGTGGTTGCTTTAAGTATCACCTGTGGCTAATTCATGCTACACTGGCAAACTTAATGGTTGTAACAGATCCTATATGATCCACAAAGCCTAAACTATTTACTCTCTGGTTATTTAGAGAAAAAGTTTTTTGGCCACTGAATGGGGTAAAAGAAAATAGTTATGGTGGTAAGAGAACAAAGATCCAATTTCCTAATGTTTGATGTATTTGGCAAAAGAAATAATAAGAAATGTACTACGGCCGGGCGTGGTGGCTCACGCCTGTAATCCCAGCACTTTGGGAGGCCGAGGCGGGAGGATCACGAGGTCAGGAGATCGAGACCATCCCGGCTAAAACGGTGAAACCCCATCTCTACTAAAAATACAAAAAATTAGCCGGGCGTAGTGGCGGGCGCCTGTAGTCCCAGCTACTTGGGAGGCTGAGGCAGAATGGCGTGAACCCGGGAGGCGGAGCTTGCAGTGAGCCGAGATCCCGCCACTGCACTCCAGCTTGGGCGACAGAGCGAGACTCCATCTCAAAAAAAAAAAAAAAAAAAAAAAAGAAATGTACTACTGAGATTTATTACAGAAAGAAGGAATAATTTTCTTATTGGGCAAAGACTTACATATAAGATAGAACTGAACATACATATAAAATCATTTAAACTGTCTATGAACGTATGAAAATAATGTTGTGACAATAATCTGAGACATTACTTAGATTATCTAAATAAAAGTTTGGTATAACTAAAAGAGACATGAGAACATGCTACAGTTCTCTTGTTTTATACATATAGTAACTATTCATTCCTAATGCCTCCTTTCTCTGTCAAATGTCCCTGTTTGGATGATAGGTTTATATGATTAGTCCATTCACAGAGGTTATCACAAAGTAACTGGCAAAACCAACTTTAATTATATGATAAGTTGTATTTTAAATAAGGTTTTTGGATAAATATTAATGAAAGACAACATTTTGATCAATGAAAGTGGCAAAAATACCTTCACAATTACCTGATTAGATAAAGATAAACAAAGTACAGCTTCCATAATTTTAAAAAAGCGAAAAAAGAGGAAGCTATCAGAAATAAAATAGGACACAGAAATATGATTAACATTTTGATACAACAATAAATGTAAATATTTGAAATACCACTTTGTAGAAAATCAAGTCTCTTGGTTGTATCAAAAATAATCTTCATTTATATGTTTCTTTGAAGAAAATAACCTGAAACAAAATTACAAAAAAAAAGGGAGAGAGAGAGAGAAAAAAAATAGGACATGAAACAATTGAGGAGGAAAATATGAAAGAACAGCAAAAAAGGAATGACAGATTAATTTCAGACAAATTAAGGTCCAAGTCAAAATGCAGTGAACAAGAAAAGAAATCATTTTATAATGATAAAGAACTTGGTAACATAATACATATCCAGAACCCATATAAGTAGACATTAGCAAAAAACAGACCATGTAAGCAAAAATAAAGAAGGGCAGTAATGATTGTCATGATATGGCACATGTAAATATGTATATTTAACTCTCTCCATATAGAATTTTTAATATCTCACATAGAATACCTCTTTTCAAATACAATAATTATTCTATATTATATCAAAATACATGCCTCTAAATTCCTCACAGAAGAAATTTTATAGGCTATTTTTTGGATTATAATGCACTAAAAATTAAAATTAATCGTTTGAATTTAAACATATCTTCCCATCCAACCTCCCTCCAAAATAATTGGGAACTTAAATAAGGAAAAACAACCATATGCTGCAGAAATTTCAATGCACAGTCATAAAATTGAAGTAAAAACTATTTACAAAATAAAAAAGAATACCATGTTTTAAAGCTTATGAGATACTGTTAAATCTATTTTGAGGGACAAACTCCATATTTGAATAAAATGATAATTCTACTTAACAATTATAGAATGGAATACAATGTAGCAAATAAAAACAATGAATGAGCACTCTGTATACAAACATAGAAAGTTCTTTAATACATATTTTAAATGGCAAAGACAATAAGGTTTACAATGATATATTTCACATGATGGCTGTTATGTTAAAATACAATAAAATCTTATACATGTCTAGAATTTTTAAAAATGGTGATTTGGAAAGATACACACTAAATTGGAAACAGTGCTTATCTCTAGGAAAAGGAAGGAGGGAAAACAGCTGTCAAATGGGACTTTTGCTCTTTAGGAATTTTTACAATTAGAATAAGTTCACATCCTACCACACAAAAGGATACACAAAAATTCTCATAGTAGCTTTGTTCATAAGAGACAAAGCCTAGAAATAACTCAAATGTCCAGTTAAGAGTAGAATGGGTTGGATGCATTGTGGTATATACACACAATGGAATACCAGGTAGCAAAGACCGTAATGAACGCAACAACATGGATTAATCTCTCAGACATAATTTTGAATAAAAGAAAATGCAAGGCAGGGCACCGTGGCTCACGCCTGTAATCCCAACACTTTGGGAGGCTGAGGTGGGTGGATCACGAGGTCAAGAGATCGAGACCATCCTGGCCAACATGGTGAAACCCTGTCTCTACTAAAAATACAGAAAAATTAGCTGGGTATGGTGGCGCATGCCTAGAGTCCCAGCTACTCGGGAGGCTGAGGCGGGAGAATTGCTTGAATCTGGGAGGCGGAGGTTGCAGTGAGCCTGGGCAACAGAGTGAGACAGTCTCAAAAAAAAAAAAAAAAAAAAATCCAAAAAGGTGTTTACAGTGTGATTTTATTTATAGAAAATTTAAAGACAGATGAAACCGTTGAATGATGCTGTAAGTCAGCATATTGGCTATCTTTGGAAATCTGAAAGATATACTCCAAATCATAGACCAATCGGGTGAAAGCACAGGGGAACCCTCTGGAGTGCTGAAAAGTTCGACTTGATTTGTGTGGTAGTTACGTGCATACATATGTAAGAATTCATTGAATCATACACTTAAGATTTGCGTACTCTGTAAGTTGTATCTGCATAAAAAGAATACACTCATATTACTGAATAAACTGAATAAATAACAAGAAAACTAAAACAAAAGGATTAAAGATAAAATGAAAAGTTTCTCATGAAAAATAAAGTCTATAAAGATGTGCTTTTCACAGAGTTTTGTGTCTAGATCCACTAAGTTAAAAAAATCTATAAAAATTGGTTTAAATGATGATATACCCCTATTCTACAGTACAGAAGCATAATAGAAAGTACCTCCCTAAAATCAAATGGCAGGATTACTGTGATGAAAATCTATCTAAAGATAGCTACAGTATCAAAAATTATAAAAATGCATATATAACAAATAATATTAGAGAGGCACAAATTGAGATAATCAAATAATAGAGTGACAGAAATGCAAAATATGCATGTATAAGATAACTAAAAGCATAGGTAGTATAGGAATAAATACACTATTAAGATCAAGGCACTGAGTGAATGAATAGATTAAACTGAAATAGAATCAAATAAAATTTTTAAAGATAAAAATACATGGTTTGAAATTATCCCCTCAATTGACATAATGAAGAACATATATGAAAAAAAAAAAACAAAAGAAAATTAGGTAACTTGGAGATATATGTGAGTACCTCAAAGATAAAAGAAAGCTATTTAAAACAACTTGGGATAAGCAGGTTGTTTATAAAGGAAAGAATTGTACTGACAGCAAACTTCTTAACAGCAATCAGAAATTCCAAAATACTGTCTTATAATACCCTCAATGGGATGAGAGAAAATTTGCCATTATCCCAGAATCTTATATCCAGCTGAAGTATCATTTCAGTATGATGGTGAACTATAGATATTGTCATAGAAACAAAGACTAAGTGAACTTACCACTTACAGATGTTCCCTGGAAGAGATACTAAAGATTACATTTCAGGAAAAATAAGAATCGAATTCATAAGGACAGAGAGGAGCAGAAGAAGCACTGATAATCATTGACATTAGGAAACTTCTTTCTTTATTTATTTTTAGTTAATTTATTTTTTATTGAGACAGGGTCTCACTCTGTCACCCAGGCTGGAGTGCAGTGACACCATCTTGGCTCACTGCAACCTCTGCCTCCAGGGCTCAAGTGATCCTCTCACCTCAGCCTCCCAAGTAAAATTTTTAAAGACCACAGGAGTGTGCATTCATGCCCAGCTAAGTTTTGTATTTTTTGTAGAGACAGGGTTTCACCGTATTGCCCAAGTTGGTCTTGAACTCCTGGGCTCAAGTGATCCACGTGCCTCGCCCTCCTAAAGTGCTGGGATTACAGGCATGAGCCACCTTGCCCAGCCTATGTTAGTTAACTTATAACTAGATCTATAGAAGCATTGATAGTATGAAATAAAAATAACAATGACTGCATTGAGTTCTACAAATAGCAGGTAAAATAGAATGGGACATTTGGAGCTGGAGGATTCCAAGTTCTTAAATTGTTTTGAACAAGCATTGAGATATTAATCACTTTATCCTTCCTAAGCCACTTGTTCATATTAAATATTTGAAGTATCCATTCAGAATTAATAAAAGAACATTACTTTTCCAAAACAATCAGAGGCTAGGAAGACATGGAGAAAGGGGTGAAAAAAACCCAGTGGGAGGTAGGAAGAAGGGGAAAAGAGGGAAGCAAAGAAAAAACATAGTAAATGGAACAAAATAAAATGATAGAAATAAATGGATATATGAGTCAACACAATAAATATAGCAGATAAGCTTGTTAGAACAGAGGCTCACAAATTGAATTAAAAATTACAAAATCCAGCCAATTGTTGTTTATAAGAAAAACACCTAAAATATGATATAGAAAACTTGAAAGTGAAGACAAATAAAAATAGTGTGAATATATTAATACAGAAAAGTAGATTTCAAGACAAAATGCATTTTATGAATAAATAGAGTAATGACATAAAGATAAAGGTAGAAAATAATGGTATTTAAAACTTATATGCACATGACTCCCCAAAATGAATGAAATTGCAAGGAAAAATTGCAAAATTCACAATTAATATGGAAAATATAATACTTCTCTCTCAGTAATTCAAATGTCAGAAGAGATAAAAAATTGAACAGTGTAGATAGCAAGTGTGGTCCTATTGAACATATATAGAACTTGACAAATAACTCTGAGAAAGTCAGGAAATATATTTTCTTTTTAAGCAAGGGTGGGACATTTAAAAGAAATGACAGTATACTTGGACTCAAAGCTAGTCTTGAATAAAGTAAATAAGTCATATTATAAAGAGAACAATCTCTAATCAAAATGCAAACATATAAGAAACTTCTACCATAAATTTAAGTACACACATGCACATGCTCGGGCCCACACAAACACCCATCCACGCACACTGACCTGAGTTAGTTTCCTATTGCCTCCCTCTCTCTTTCTCTCTCTCTGTCTAATCTATCTACCTACCTACCTACCTACCTATCTCTGTGTATTGGTTTAACAAATTATTACAAACTTAGTGTCTAAAAACAACATAATTTATTATCTTAAGATTCTTGAGGTCAGAAGTCCAAAATGGGTCTTACTGGGCTAAAATCAAGGTATCAGAAGGGCTACATTTCTTTCTAGAGGCTCTAGGGGAGAATCCATATTCTTGCCTTTTCTAGCTTCTAGAGGCCACCTGAATTTCTAGGTTCATGGCTTCTAGAGGATGCCTACATTTCTTGGTTCATGTACCCTCTATATTTTCAAAGCCAGCAACAGCTGATCGAGCAGTTCTCACATTGCTTCACGCTGACACTGACTGTTCTCCACCTTTAAGAACACTTATGATTATATTGGGCTCACAGATAATGCAAGATAATCTTCCCATCTCAAGGTAACCTGACCAGCAAACTTAATTTCATCTGCAACCTTAATTTCCCTTTTTCAGGTAGCCTAACATATTCATAGGAAGTGGATATCTTTGGAGGATCGTGATACAATTCCCATGCATAAGTTAGGAAGAATCAGTATCATAGTACTGGCAATTTTCCACAAATTAATTCATAGGTTAAATGTAATTTCAATGAAAATCCCAATCCCAACAGGGTTTTTAATTTGTTTCTTTTATTGAGCTTGACAAACTGACCCTAAAATTTATATGAAAGTAAAGATTAAAAAATAATAAAGTTCAATTTTAAGAAAGATAATCACTGGAATCAACCTTACCACATTTCAAGACTTATTAAAATTTTAGTAATTAAAATAATGTGGTTTTGTCTCACAGATAGACATATTACATAAATGTAACCAATAAATGACCTCAAAATAGATCCACATGTATAAAGACAAACTGGTGTTTGACAGAAGCAACATTTATGTCAATAAAAAATGAGCTACTCAATTTATGAAGCTGGGACAATTGCTTAACCATGAGGAAAAGTAAAAGTAAATTCTGACTTCACCCTAAAAGTATAAATTCTAAGTGCTTAGAGACCCAAGCATGAAAGCAAACTTGAAATGATTTAGAAGCAATGTAGAAGAATATCTTTATGGCTTTGGGGGAGGAAACATTTCTTAAACCGGGCATAAAATATGCAAACTATAGAGAAAAAGATGGATGTACTGGACTTTGAAATTTTGAAAAAATAGACAAATTACCATAGGTTAAATGAAATGTCATTTATAAATTGGAAGAGCTTTTTGGCAATTTATAATCAATAAAGGATAAGAATCCAGAGTATAAAAGAGCCCCTTATGAATCAATAACAAAAATAAAAGATCATCAATAGAAAAATGGGCAAAGGGCATGAATCGGTAACTTGAAACCCAAGTGACCATTTAACATATGAAATGCTCAGTTTCATCAGTAATCAATACTAGGGAACAAAAAGCTGTCATTTCACATGGATTACAGTAGCAAAATTACTTAGTTTGATCATACCAAGTGTTGGTCACAACGTGGGGAACCAGGAATTGTCCTGTACAAAATCTATGCAACCACTTTTGAGAGCAAATTGGCAATATTACAGTAATGTTGAACATGCACATATACTTGTAATTTCATTTTGAGATATATTTTGTAGAGAAACTATTGTATATGTCCTGAGTAAGTATAAGGATATTCTCTAAAACACTTGCTTTCTAATGTCTAAGAAGCAGAAACACACCCTTTATTAGTGGTAGAATAGAGGAGTTGTGGTTTGTATAGACACTGAAATTCTGTAAAACAATTAAATAATATATCAAATCTCAAAAGTATGACATCGAGTGGAAAAAGGAAGTTGCAGTAGATTACTGTATTGGTTTTACCAAAAACTTGGCGACTTAAAATAACACACATTTATTATATCACAGTTTCTGTAGGTCAGAAATCTTGGCATGGCTTAACTGGACTCTGTACTTCAGCATCTTACCAAGCTGCATTCCAGGTGACAGCCAGGGTTGTGGTCTCATCAGAGGCACCACTGGGGAAGGAATTACTTCAAATATCCCTCAGTCTGTTGGGATAATTATGTTCTTATGGCTGCACAAATGAAAGGTCTAGTTTCTTTCAAGAAATGTTCTGCAGCCCTTAGAGACCACTCAAAATTCCTTGCTACATGAAATTTTCTAATATGACTCCTTCCTTCATGGCATATTGCTTCTTAAAAATCAGCAAGGGAGAAAGAGACTCTAGCAAGATGATGATACATGCTTAACAAAAACACATGAACAAATCACATACATGGCATTTGCTTCATTGCATGGATCAGAAGAAAATTAGAGGTCCTGCTCACACTCAAGGGGAAAGGATTACACAAATGTATAAATACTAGAAAGTCTTGATCATGGAAATCACTTTAAAGTTTGTCCCTCACAATTACATGTATCATTTATATAAATGTCTCAAAACATAAAAATAAAACCAGTAACTTATTTGAATTTCTAAGATATTACGCTGAATGAAAAAAAATTTCAAAAGGTGTGTAATGTATTATTCCATATATAAAACATTCCTATGATGATAACATTATAGAAACACAGAACAGATTAATGGTTTCCAGGGATCAGGTACAAGGGGAGGCCAAAGGAGGGGGACAGAGGTGAGCCTGAGTATCAAAAGAACAACAAGAAGTATATAGAACTAGTCTGTATCTTGACTGTATCAATGTCAATAACCTGGTTGTGAAAATTGTACTATGATTTTGCATGATGTTAACATTAAAATTCTGGGGAAAACTGGGTAAAGGTTACCACAATTTCTCTGTATTGTTTCTTAAAACTGCATGTGATCTACAATTATATAAAAAAAAGTTTAATCAGAAAAAACAAAAAAAATGTAGAAAAAAAATTTACAAACTAAAACCCAAAAAAAGAGTACAAATTCTGAATGGTAAACAGAAAGCCGTAAGACAATAATAGATGGAGGAAAAAAACTGGCGAAGACCAGGTTGACATAAGGAAGCTAATTTTCAGGAGATAATTAAAATCATCATTGGAGGGAGTACAGGGTAGAATGTCTCTGCATTAAATCAAGGTGGTAACTTGAAGGGCAAGGTTGAGAGACTTTCAAAATATAGAAGAAAGGAAAAAACATTGAATGACTTAAAGAGTACACATCAGTCATTAGTCTTCTGTTTGTATTACCTTACATAGACAACTTGTGAATACAAGTATTGTGTCATATGTATTATGTGATATATATGTATATACATATATGCATAATATTAGATGTATATTCTCTGACTACCTTTCAAGGAAGACATGAATACTACTCTATGAGGTAATATACAAAGTTATTAAAATATATTGTTTGGAATTACTACTATTAGTGATTTTAATTTTTCATTTTGTTTTTATATGTGTAATTTTCTATCATGAGTATAAATTCTAGATGCAAAATAATAAATGATTAAAATCAGTGTAATTTTGTGCATATTGCACATCTGCAATTATGTAAAAATACATTTAACCAAAAAAACTGGAAGTAAGTATTGTATACCAAATGTAACAGTGATTCTGCCTGGGGAATTGGGTTTTAGTTGTTTTTATTTTCTCCACATGGTACTGTGTAGTTTCCAGATTTTATACAGTGATCAGATGTTCATTTTATAATCATACAAATAAACTTAAAATTAGTATATACAATTTTATAGGTACTATATTATAACAAATATATAAAAATATGCACTGAAAATTGATGGGAAGGAATACAACAGAAGTTCAAAATATTAGAGACAACTTTCTAAGTTCTTTTAGGTTTCATATACTTTCAAAACTTGCATCATGAGCATGTATTATTTCGGTAATGGAAATACCTCTAAAGAAAGTGGAAGTTATTAATTAACTGATTTGAATGTGGAAAAAGATTTTCTAAGCATAAAACAATCAAAAAATTATGAAAAGGAGGAGATATCCAAATAGCCAATTACAGGTTGGTGTAAAAGTAATTGAGGTTTTTGCCAGTGAAAGTGGTGGTAAAAATCACAATTACTTTTGCACCAACCTAATAAAACATGGAAACAAATTTCACCTCCCTAAATGCAACTTCCAAAATTAATGTTTTTTTGGACATGCACATTCATTTTCTTCTTTTCTATTATATTTAAGTCAAATTTTAGGTGATTAAATATGACATCCTCATGATGGAATATTATTCATTTGTTAAAGATCCTATTTCAGAAAATATGTAGCAAAATGGGAAAATATAATCTTTGGAAAAAAGATAAATTATTGTATTTGCAATTTCTTTTGAACTTATCTAAATACATATTTTTATGAATGAAGAAAATGAACCAAAATATTCACCATAGTTATATTTTAGGGTTGGGATTTCAGGAGACTTTAATGTTCTCCCTAAATGCCTGTATTTTCCAAATATCTAAAATCAAACCATAAAATAATTAGATGAAATAATAGATATAATAAAACTATATCAAGAGCCAACATAGAAGTTTAAAAGATTCTGTTCTTGGCACTGCAATTTCACTAACGCAGAGTTCTCTAGAACATCTTATAAGATTCACTCATTCAACAATTACTTATTAAATGCCTACCATCTGTCAAGGACTAGAATATCTGTCTGGAATAATACAGAGAAATCCTCTATGTTATGAACAAATTGAAGAGCTTTCCCCCATGCAGCTTACCTTCAGAGATGGAATTTGGAAAACCATCTACTTCAAGCCCCACTTGTGCATAGTTATCGAAGGCCCAGCCTAGGCCAAGCACTAGGCTAGTGCAGGGAATCAAAGGGAGCAAGACTGACAGTCCTCATTCTCACTGAACTTGAGTGCAAAAGAATGTTCCTGAAAGCATTGTTCAATATGCCAGGAAGACTGTTCTCATGGTTATAGTGTGAAGTTCAGGAACCTGCATTTCAAAAGTTGTTCAGATGATTTGGATGCACAATGCAGTTTGAGAACCACTGGGCTAGTAGAGCTTCATTGTCAAAAAGATGGATAATGCACTGCCCAGAAGTTTTCAGAGAGTGCATTAATTTGCTAAGGCTGCTCTAACAAAATACCACAGATTGGATGGCTTAAATAATTTACTTCCTCATAGTTCCAGAGGCAGGGTTGGTTTGCTTCGAGGCTTCTTTCATTGGCTTGCAGATGGCGGCTCCCTCGCTGCTTCTTCTCATGGTCAGCCCTCTGTGCATGCTCACTCCTAGTGTCTGTTTCTCTTCTTATAAAGACATCAGGCGTATTGGACTAGGGCTCCAACCTAAGATTCTCATTTTAACGAAATCACTTCTTTAAAGACCTTATCTTCGTATATGGTTATATTCTGATACTGGGGGATCAGAACTTCAGCACATGAATTTTAGGGGGGATACAATTCAGTCCATACACCACTGTATTCTTTAATCGTCTTTAGGGACCTCTCCTATTCTCATCCACCGTCTATTTGCTTACCTTCAGCGATGAGGAGTGCACTACTCCCCTGTGTGTTGGCGGACAGAATCTAAATCTTCTCTGAATAGAACACCATAAGGCCCAGACATTTCCAGTAGTACGTGGTTGAACTCTTCAGCCCTCTGTCTTCCCTAAGATGCCTGTGACATTTTTCATTCTTAAAAGGGATTTATTACCTTCAATATTATTATTATTTTGTATTTTAACTGATCAAACAGAAAACTTTCTGGGCCCTCTGCAGAGGAATTAGAAAGGCAGTTTTCTTAAGTCAGAACAACTCAAAAGAATCAGCTCACTCCTTTCTCTGGCAGCCAGAATTCCGCTCCTGGGTCACATGTCACTTCTAATTGTGGGCATGATGCTCGAGTTCCCCTTGGGCCTGAATTTCATCCGAGTAAATCCTCTCCTTCAGCAGCTGCAGGATTGTGTCAGGGAGAGTGATCTTCAGGCACACACTTCTGCAGAAGAGAGCAGCTGAGCCTGGCACGAACCCTCGGAGTCAGTCATCTCCCATCGACCTGTTATCGACTCTGACATGGCCTCCCTCAGTCAGACACTAACAAACAGAGGCCAATGGGTGCAAGAGAAGGAGCTGGAGTCCTGGAGATGGGGCTTTACTCTCGCTTTTAAATAACGGCGAGTGTTTCCAAGAGAGAAAGTGCTGGAATGGCTGGGGTAATGAAAAATACTCTGAGTAGAATTCTCTCTGGTTTTACCTAGTTTGGCCAAATGGTTTTTGGGTGTCTGGTGTTAGATGAATTGTTTCTCTAGAAAGCCTCAGACGTAATTTGCACACCCTGAGAAAGGTCTTAAATATCCTCAGGGAACCTCAGAGTCCTTTCTAGTGTGCAGCCTTCGCATAGTTATGTGAACCAGAAGCTCCTTTTCACCTCAGCATTTTGTCATGTAAAATTTCTAATACAGCAAAATTGAGAGGAATTTACAGTGAACACTTGTATACTCATCACCTGGATTCTACTATTAACATTTGACTATACCTGCTTTATCTTGTGTCAGTGTATCTCTCTGTCCAGCCATCAATCCATTTTATTTTTTGAATGTATTTCAAGGCAAATTGCAGACATCATTACAATACCTCTAAATACTACAGCATGTAGACAGAGTTCAGTATTCGTTTACATTTTTTTTTCTCTTAAGAGGTAAAGTTTGCTTACAATGAAACACATGAATCTCAAGTGTGCATTTATTGACTTTTGATGAATGCATGCACTTATCCAACTAAATTACTATCAATATAGAGCAATGTCATCACCCAGAAAATTCTCTTATGCCCCTTCCCAGTAAATTCCCAGCACCTTCCATTTCCCAGAAAAACTTTGTTTTTAAGTTTTTCTACCCCAAGTTAGTTTTCTATGTTTAGATGTTCACAAAAAAGGAGTCATATATTATGTACTCTTACATGTCTTCTATTGCTCAGCACGGTATTTTTGAAGTTTATCCATGTTGTGCATACTACATCAGTAGTTTGTTCCTTTTTACTATTAGGTAGAATTCCATTGGGTTAATATACCAGTTTGTTTATCCATTTTTCTATTGTGGATAAGTTGGCTTTTTTAAGCTGTAACAAATATGAATAAAGTGACTACGACTATTCTTACACAAGCATAAGAGCCAACTTTTTCCTCTCCATAAGTACAACATAATATTTTCAACCATATCATCCATCCATCCATCCATCCATCCATCCATCCATCCATCCATTCTTTCTCCCTCTCTTCTATCCATTCAAACATCTATTGTGTATTCATTGCATGCCAGGCACTGTTCTGCCACTGGGAATACAAAGTCAGAAAATACATCCCTGTCCTTCAAAGAATCTAGTGGAAGAACTCTACAGATAAACAGGCAATTACAGAATCATGGAATTAGAGCTAAGATGGAGACTTGCAGAGAAAGAAGCAGCTAATCAGGTAGAGGAGAGTTAGACAAGACTTCCAGGCAGGTCAAGACTGAGGGACAGAAACAGACTACAGGATCTCCAATAACATTACATGGAAATTTTAATAATGAGTGTCATGATACTTTGTCTTCAATAAAAGTCTTAGCCCTCACCATAGAACTCATTTCAGTGGAGGTGATTTCACAAGGGGCCTTAGTGAGTTAATTTGCTCCTTGAAATCAACTCTCCTAGAGCTTATAATCTTTATTTGCATTCCTCCTGCAGGTTTGTCTCAAGTTTTCATCTCACTTGACTTGAGACTTTCAGAGGAAAGACAGTAGTTTGCATTAGAAGGCTGTTTTATTCTCAAGTTTATAGAGTTCTTCTGAAAAGCTCTGTGGAGTTGACTCATAGAATTAGCCAGATTTCTTAAGTGCAACCATTCCAGAATGTACCAATTCTGAGATATAGGTTGCTTTTTAGTCACTGGTAGGGTTTCCAAATGAAATACAGGACACTGAGTTAAATTTAAATTTCAAAGACAATTTTTTTAGTATAATTGTGTCCCAAATATTGCATGGGGCATAAGTGTGTTCCAAATATAGGATGTGATATATTTATACTGAAAAGTGATTAGTTGATTAGTTGTTTTGCTGAAATTCAAATTTAACTGGGCATCCTGTATTTTTATTTGCTATATCTGACAAGCCTAGTCACTAGGGAAAGAGGCTTTCTGCCCAAGTGAATTCTACCCATAATAAAAGCCAATCCCATAAAATATCAGAAACTAATTATGGAGAAAAAGTTTAATTGTACTATACACCTCCAAGTCTTTTAACTAGAATATACAGGCCTAACATAAACATTTCTTGATCACCTGAAGTCATTAGTATGAATGTCAATTATTGCAATGTGTGATGTCCTCAAAGGTACTTGGGGTATTATGGCCTGTCTGTATGCCACCAGTCATTTGTGATTTTAGAATTTTGAATCTGTCTTTTTAAAATCGTATTTTTAAATTATAAGGCTATCAGTTAAATCTGCTCATGACAATCGATATTTATTTTCCCAGAGTCTAGAAACACAAAACTTTTCTCGTGCCTAAACTGATGTCAATAAAAAAAAGAGATCTGAATATTGCTAAAAATATATATAAACAAAGTTTATAAGCTAGCATGGAAAAAAATACTGAGTTTATGATAATTAGCGTTTCAGAGCCTTTTATTTTTTTTTTTACAAATTTCTGGTTTTTAAATTTTATTTTCTCAAGCATTCATTCACTCACTCATTCAAATGATAAATATTATTATCTAACAGGTGTTTATGTAGACCTCTACCGCTTCAGAATTTTATAAAATAATACTTATAATTAGTCATTAGAAACACATATCTTTAAAGATATGTCTTTAAAGGGCTTTAAAGGGTTAGAGGGTGATTAAAATCTGAAGGTTAGGCTGGGCACAGTGGCTCACACCTGTAATCCCACCAGTTTGGGAGGCCAAGACAGGCGGATTACCTGAGGTCGCAAGTTCGAGACCAGCCTGACCAACATGGAGAAACCCCATCTCTACTAAAAATACAAAATTAGCTGGGTGTGGTGGTGCATGCCTGTAATCCCAGCTACCTGGGAGGCTGAAGCAGGAGCATTGCTTGAACCAGGGAAGCAGAGGTTGCGGTGAGCTGAGATTGCGCCATTGCACTCCAGTCTGGGCAACAAGAGCGAAACTCCGTCTCAAAAAAAAAAAAAAAGAAAAAGAAAAACCTGAAGGTTTCCATCTGAATATTATATATCCTCCAAACAGCGTATTCATTCCGTTTTCATAATTGCATAAATAGGTAAGTGGATTTCTACCTGGCTTCATGTAATCATGCTAAGCAGTGTTATTTAAATGTTGAAAGCACAGTTCTCTCTCACCTAGACCTTTCTTGAGCACGCTTTCAGGATACGCATTAGATCTTAACTTCTTCTGCACATTTAATTTTGATCTCCTTTCAACCAATCAGAGAGAGAAAAACAATTATTTTAGCTACATATTTCAAGACAAGGACTCAGCTTCTAGCTGAGTTGACCCTAATCCTCAGCAGTTCACAGTCCCTTTCTCTGGGAATCTTTGTGCTAAAGAGTCTAAGTCCTCGTGACATTTGCCAGAGCACACAGAAGTCACTGCTGGCAGATATTCATAGACGTCGGAGTTAACATTCCTGCATCAAAATTCTTGAAAACGGATCTAGTAGATTACCCAAAGGACATATCCTGCTATAAACATCCGCCAAAGTCCCTTACCTGTAAAGATGCTGCTTTCTGTAAAGGAAATGTCCTCACCATTTCAGTGATAACTCAGATCCGCATATGAATCAGGGAAGACCCATAATTACACCACGGGATTGTGCATAATGATCAGTCTAGCTCCATCATACTGGACCATTGCTCACTCCTGACCTGGATTCCTGACTTGAGACAATCATTTACCTGCCATGCTTTTTCTTGGCAATGAATTATCCATCTTTTTTGACATAAAATCTCTGCTAGCACAGTGGTTCTCAAATTGCAATGTGCATCTAAGTCACCTGGAGACCTGTTGAAAATGCAGGTTCTTGGGCCTCACACTATAACGATGAATCCAGACTCTCTGGCCTATTGAGCCATGATTCTAGAAACACTCTTCTCTATCTAAGTTGCCTGAGGATGGGAACTGCATCAGTCTTGCTCCCTCTAATTGCTGCATTAGCCTAGTGCTTGCTTGGCTCAGGGTAGGCCCTCAATAAATATTTGGTCAATGAAGGAATCAAGAAAGACTAAAAAATGGTAGCTGGCAGGGTAGCCCCAGTGAGTAGTTTAAGAAGAGTTTTAAGTGAAGGCATTCCTATTAACATGAGGGATCAGTTGAAGACAGTTTTTCTGAAACTTCATTTTTGTGTTTTGAATTTTTAATAAATATCACTGCTTCTGTTAAAACATAAAAGTACTATGCCAGGATGTAAAACATGGTTTCATTGTAATACCTTATCCTCTCTCACTCTTCCTTCCTTCCTTCCTTCCCTCCATCTTAAATATAGAGAATGTTCTAGAAAAATGTTTGCTCAATGCTCAATTTTTGAGTAGTAAGATTTTGGGTTTTTTTTCTACTTTTCCATATTACATAATTTTTGTAATATGTTTATATTATCAAAAGAAATTAAAGTAAATAATTATTTAAACTTAAAAAAATAAACCATGACAGGATGGAAGTTAGAATCAGTCAACACATTTGATCTCTCAGCCTACAAAGGTGAGTGAGAAGACAGGGTGTAGACATCAAGTCTAATTGTGATGGCCTGCATCTTCTTCTAAAGAGTTCTCTGTGAAGGCCTCCAATCTACATTTTAGACCATGCCTCTATAGGTCTCAAAAGCTCCCTTCTCTGAACCCAACATTTAGGATTTGCTTGGAAATTACCTATGCTCTTGACTCACGGACTGTGTATTTCAAGCCTTCCAGGTGCACACTAAGGGAGCAGTTTGCATGAGGCTAAGGCTGGTGGTGAAAGCTCCTGCATTGAAGAGTAAACCCTGGATTCACTCGCAGATCTTTAGGTCTCTGACATCGGGGTCTCTCTGGACATAAAAATAAAAAATGGAAAGACCAGCTCATGTTTTTAAATAGGTCAAATCATCCTTTGTAGAAACTTCTCTGGGGACTTGTCCCTTTTACAGGGAATGGAGACCAAGTGTGTACTATTTAGGAAAGAACTAGTCTCACTGGAATAGTCCAGCTTATACCCCAGCTGACCCCAAGACCAACTTTCCAACTTTACTCTTTGCAACCCTCTTCCACAAATATCTTAGTCTGCCATGAGTTTTCCTGTCTGATTTCCAAATATATTTTTCTTGAAAGGCTCTGTTCTTCCTGGTGCTCCCATTGAGGAACAGGCCACCATGTACTTTCAAAGCCAGATCCCCATTCCTTTCCCATGAAATACCTTTCTCTTGCTCCTTGGCAAATCCTATTGTGGCATAACCAATACTATAATCAAACACACTTCCCTACTCCTTTGAGAATACAGAAAAATTACCTTTCCTAGCTTCCTTTTGCCATTTAGTGGAGCCACATGGCTATTTCTGGCTACTGTGATGTGGATAGCAGTGATGTAAGGTAATTCTTGGTTGACTCTTAAAATCTCTTGAGAGATCTATATTCTGTGTCATTCCTCATTGTGAAGATGAAGACAATCTGTTGAAGATCCAGAAGAAGAATTCTGAGGTCCTAAGGAATAGCAGAACCCCTAAATTGATGTGGATGAGGATACCAAATCACTGTGTGAACAAGAGCTACTCAGTAGAGCTGTCTCACTATGAACATCTGAATTAGACTTTGCATAAGCTGGAAATAAACTTCGATTGTGTTTCTCCGTTTAGATTTAGATAATTTGTATTCCTATAGAATAATATAGCCCACCTTAGTGTTAACACCTGCTCTTACTTTAACATCTACTTAAAGCATTCCTGTCTCTGACTAGCTCTCCTGAGTACCACAGATGAGGTTAACCCAAATTAATGTCTCTCTTGGAAATGTCCGTATTACAATATATCATAAACATTCTCCCACATCCCTTTCTCTCTCACTAGACTGGAAGCTGTGCAAGAGCAGCGTGATTTTTGTAAACTTAGGGCTGGTCACTGCATCTGAAGCATTCCAGTCCTATAAAAGGGTGGAATCTGTACTAGAAGGAAGACTTGCTTCACCAAAATATGTGCTCCTGTATATTGCTTCTCATATTGCTTCTCAGATAGAGCTAGAGGGGAAAGAAGCCTAGGTTCAGTGGATCTGAAGAGAAGTTTCAATTCTCAACAGCCTCCTTTCGGCAGTAAGAAGCCTTGATATCCTCATGGAAGTATTTGTATTTTTTTCCTCTTACAATCTCCTGTGAGTATGACTACAGACAATTGGCCAAAGATGGCCAAAGATGAGTACAGGTCCTTTGAAGGCATGGCTTGGCTTTCCAGAGCTGCTGTCCTTCCTGGATACCACACTGGGGAAGTGACAGTGATCTCCATCTCTTCCCCCAAGACCAGGCATTAAGCAGTTATGACAGAGATTCCCTGCCCAGGTATTTTTTGTTCAAGAACAAAACGCCTTTCTGAGCAGAACAGAAAATGAGAAAGTCCAACACCCAGCTACAGAGCTGGAAGGAAGCACATAGCAGTGGCCCAGGAGGATCTGTTTCATGATGCTGCCTTTTCTGGGAAATGTATTGCATGCTTTGCATGGCTTTCTTGGGGTGGAGGGCTCTAATGTACAAATGTGTGCACACAGCACTTTCTGAGATGTGGCTTGTCTGACTTTTTACTGTAACTCAAGGAAAGTCAATGCATTTAGAAACTAAAGTGGTTTTCTTCAGATGTTCAAGTTACATTTTTACTTCCCCAGTTCAACTCTCAATCTCCTCATCTAATTGGTTATGAACTTCTGAAAACAAAAAAAGAGAAGGATTATCCTGAATCATTTACCTAGAACTTGGACTGAGGGTAAAACAGTTGAAGAGCAGTGTAACTTCTAAGAAACCAGAGAGTGGTGGAAGTATTATAATATTGCTCCACGCAACTAAGGTTCACAAAATGCAAAGACTGGCTTCACGGTCCATGAAGACCACAAGCACCAGTGAATATTTGCAGTAAGTTCCATACAATGAGTCCCTGAAATACACTATACATACTTATGTAATCTCTTATATTCTGTTTTAGGAGAAGGGTGAAAAGAGTCACAGTTTATAAAGTATGCTGTATGCTGGTTACTATTCATTCCTTAACAACTATTTACTAAGTGCTTACCATAAACTGGCAACTATAATATACAAAGTTGAGTAAGACATGATTCTTGACCATAAGGAGATCAAATTATCCAAACTGAAACTTGGAAAAAAATTATTTTGCACTGAAGGTGGCAAGAGAAGATGACTTGAGGGTAGAAGAGGGGATGAGGAATGTTCTTGCCAAGAAATAGGATTTGGTAACAGGTTTAAGTAGGATCTAAGAATCCCAGGGCACTAAGAAATGAAGAAAGCTTGAGACATTCTCCAGCTACTGTGTTTTCTGCAGCATGTTCTGCAGAATGCCAGTCAGCATGGTGCTCTCTGTACAAGTGCTCTGTGGTCAAATGTGTTTGGGAAACCTTGTATATCATATCATGGAAATTTATAAAAAGACTTGCTTGACACAATAAGGAATCTAAAAAGTTTTGTAGGCAAAAAAAGAATTACATCTCTCCACGTACCACAACCCAGGGCATCTCAGACTTACCTACAATATATTATTTTGTCACTTAATATTTATTCATAGTTATGAATTTGGTATTTTTCTCATCTTATTTTATAAAGCAAGGAAACAGTTTAACCTGGAACTTTGCACTATCTAAAAAGGCTTTGGGTAATCAAATATGCATTTCATAATAACAATTATTATTAATCATGTACATATTTACTTGGGGCTATAAATCATTCATAATAAACTTATTATGACTAACTCTCAAATATATTATGTTGTGTTATGTTATACTATAAGATATACCATAGGTGCCATATCAACTCATAAGATCATATCATGTGTAATGGTGTGAAAATATTTATTAACAGCTTGCACCAGCATTCTGTTTAGGAAATAAAAAGATCTGGAGAAGTTGCTGGGGGAGAAGATTACACCTAAATGTATAGATCATCAGGCACCAAAGCAATTTAACAAAGGAACAGATCAGTAATTTGGTTTGGAAAGAGAGAGAATGAAGAGCTGTGCAGTCTTATTCTGGGACTAGCAAGCCAAATGTTCACTGTCAGGGTTTGAGAGAAGTGACTCAACAGCATGGAGATGGAAGGAGACATCAGTGTCTGGGGTACACTGCGAAGGGGCTGCAAAGAGCCAAGTAATGATCATAGGTTGCATTCTGCTGTCTAGTATGGAGGCGGTGGCAGTCCTATTTTGCTCTAGGCTAGCTTGTTCATTCCTCTTCTGGACTTATGCTTCAGGGGCTTGGTAATCATCAGTTTCCAGAGTGACTGTAGAGAAGTATAGATCCGACCATGTTAGTTCCTCCTTTAAAACAATTCAACGGCTTCCCATTGCATGAAGAATAAGTTGTACTCTCTTCCTCTGAGCATATAAGAACCCTCATGCTCTTCTCTTCTTCAGTCCTTTCCCATGTGCCATGCTCTCTGCCTGAAATGTTCTCCCTCTCCTACTTTCCCTCCTGGTCCAGTTGACTTCTATTAATCTTTTGTACCTCAGTCAGATGTCACTGTTCCAGTTAAGTGTTTCTTGACCTCCCAGACCAAGTTGTCCTACCCATTCTCATTCCATCCTCTCTGTTCTCTTCCTGGTGTTTAATTCTCAACAGGAGAATCCACCCTGCACTGGCATATAGTGTGAAAAATCCAGTAGGGGGCCCTTCACTTTGAAGGAGGATGAGGCTGTTCATAACATCCACTGAGATGGCCTCTCGCCCACATTGGGGAGGGTCAACATGTTGAACAAAAACCAAGAATATTGTCAGTCTTTAGAGGTGATTAAAGACTGATAGGATTCTCAAAGCCAGTGGTCTTCAAACTGGGGTATATATACCCTGAAGATTTATAAGTATTTTCGGAGAGACATATGAAGAAATTTGGTTTTGGATTATCAACTTCCATATAAACTTTCCTTAAACTTGGCCAACTGATTAAGAACACTAAAATTTCTCCTCATTATTTAATAATCTCCCATTTCCCATAAGAAACACAAAAGACCATATCTTTGCTTATTGAGAGTCTCATTACTCTGCATTGGACTATCACAAAAAACTTCTAGGACACCAAAAGGATAATTCAAAACATTAAAAAATATTTTTGATGTTTTTGTTCCATAGTCAGTTGCAATAATGATTTGAATAACAATGTTTAAAAAAGAAGCTTCCATTTCTATGTAGCTATTTTGTGAACACATTTTCTGGGCATTTAATGTGTATAAACACAAAAAAGAAATAGAATCGATACTGAACACTCTTTCTTTCATGTAATTTGTCATAATCATCCCCATTAATAGAGGAATTTCCAATACAATTGATTTCTTTCTGCTTAATAAATATTTATCAAAATTTATAATGTATATATCTTGCTTTAATTCATGTCTTAGTAATAATAATGGTGTATTCATATAGAGGAAATTCTTTTTAATACTTGAACCACATAGTCCTAGGTATTACAAACAAAATTTAAAAGTCAATTTATTTACATATTGTTGTAGCAGATAGGTATGATCAATTAAAGATTTTTTAAATTTTAATTTTAAGTTCAAGAGTACATGTGCAGGTTTGTTATATAGGTAAACTTGTGTCATAAGGATTTGTTGTACAGATTATTTTACCACCTAGGTATTAAGTCTATACCCATTAGTTATTTTTCCTGATCCTCTTCACATGCATACGTATGCTCATTGCAGCACGATTCACAATAGCAAAGACATGGAATCAACCTCAATTCCCATCAGTGACTGACTGGATAAAGAAATTGTGGTACATATGCACCATGAAATACTATGCAGCCATAAAAATGAACAATTAAAGATTTTCAAGCATCAAAATATATTGCATGAGCTTAAAAGTCTGTGAGGGATGTAAAATATCTGACTGTTACAGGAGAGCGTGTTCATTTTTTAAATGGATGATGGTGGGTATGAAATTACTATGCTTACTATTGATTACATTTTAAAAAGTGTTTGACAGTTTTGTTTAACAATTTCAATATTTGCCATCTTAAAAATGATATCCTTTGCTAGGAGGCACCAAACTTTCAGAAGTTATTTTGGGGGATAAGCAAATGGAAAGTCTAAAGATTACTGCACTCAGCTACTGCTCCTAGGAAACTGAATGTTCAGCCCAGCTCTGCTTCTTGGCAAAGGGTGTCACCTAGCACATGTGGAATGTGTGACACCCCAGGAGGGTGGCATATCCTACTCCCAATGCCATGCTTATCAATTGCTGCAGGTGATGAACACTCTCACATTGGAGAATCTTCCTTTAAGGTTAGGGCCCTTCAGGATCTTTCCTTAGGAAAGATTTCTCTGCCCAGCCCTGGCCAGATCCAGTGAAATTCTCCTGATAAGCATTCTCAGAGCCCCCACAGTGTTTCCTCAGATCACTTATTCTGTTTCATAATTATGCATTAAAAAGGCCATGACCAAAGTCCAGACCTGCCACTGGAATGTAAGCTCTCTGAGGACAGGGTCTTGCCTATCTTTGTTTATACTTTTTTCTTTAGCATCTAGCACAGGGTTTAGAGCTTCAAAGAAGCTCAGTAACTATTTGTTGAACGAATAGATAAACTAAATAAAAAGTTCTTCATTAAAACACAAGTACCACAAGAATAACAACACTTTTGGGTTATTTTTATGTATGTACATATTATTCATTTATTGTTTGTTTGCTTATTGTCAAGATTAATCTGAAAGATTAACTGTGCACTTATCATGTGCTGTGTATTGGCTGTGTAACTTGAACATGCAGGCAGGAAAGAGTTAAAAATTTACACAGTGGCACTGGGAGCATTAATGGCATTAATCTTTGGATGTCACTATAGCTACAGTGGAGCTGTCTTGCTGTAGAACCAAGAGAACACCCCTGGGAAGGTGCTGGGTTGTTGGTGACCTTGTGTGAGGGATTCTTCTATGGACGACAACCCAGGAAACTTCTCCTGAATCTAGGAGGGCTTCAGATGACACTTTCCAGACTGGCAGACATTGGGGTTGAGAGAAAAGGCCTGGAACTGCCCAAATTGCGCAAGTACAAATAAAAAGAAGGAATAAAGATGAACTGAGAGATAGAAGCTTCTGCAGCAGTGTACAAGTGCAAATACAAAGAAGTAATAAAGATGAACTGAGAGATAGAAGCTTCTGCAGCAGCAGCAGCAGCAGCAAGTATCTATGCTTCTTAGGTGGTGCTCACTGTATCTTTTCATAGGGAAGTTGACTAAACAAGAGGGCTCTTTGGAGCACTGATATGCAGCAAGTCAGCTTGGGGCTCTCCAGACAGAGAAAATTAATGTAAAACAAAACTATTCATAAAGAACATGAAGTGAAGTGCTGGTGGCCGGAAGAAAGACATCTGAGCACAATTCAGTGAAATAGGTGCTTGAACCCTGACTCTGCAATTTCTAGCTGCGTAACTTTGACAAATGACTTAACTTCCCTGAGTCTTAGCTTCCACATTAGTAAAACGGGATTTTGCAATACTCCCTAAATGAGAGAATAGATATGAAAGTGTTGGCTTCATAAGAGGTTTTCTGGTAAATATTTGTCAAAACTTTAAAAAGACAGAGATTTCAAAATGAGATTAAGTCCTGTTATCTGGACACCATGATCAGAGATTAGAGAGTTGGCTAGCCAAGATGGTCTTTGGATCCTACCATGCCATGGATGTGTGTGTAAACATGTGTAAATTTCTGGTTCTAGAACAAGAGTTTTCAATCTTGGTACTATTGACATATTGGGCTGGAAAACTCTTTGTAGTGGGTGATAAAGTGGGATGTGTTTCAAGATATTTAGCAACATTCCTGGCCTCTACCTATCGGATGCCAGTAGCTCTCCCACCCCAAGTTGTGACAATTTAAAATGTTTCCAGACTTTGCCAATGTCTCCTGGGGGACAAAATTGCCTCTGGCTGAGAACCACAAGTCTAGGAGATAGACTCACATATAAGAGACTCTGGGGGGTGTGTCTGTGTGTGTGTGTGTGTGTGTGTGTGTGTACACATGAATTCGTGTGTGTGTGTGAAGAAATGTCTTTTTCATTGGAAGCTAATCACGCATAACTCAAGTGAAGAACAAAGCACAGATTGTTAATTTTCTCCCATAGTTCTCTCCCAGCCCATCCACCATGTGTGTACATTTTAACACACTCTTTTACAAAACTTCCCACAAACACCTTGGGGAGCGTATTCTCTAGAGACCCATGAATTCCATGCTAGGTTGTTAGCTTTATCTAGCATCTCCCAATGATGCTCATATTCATTCATCCATTCATTCATTTCATAAATTTAACATACGTATGGGGCTTCCACTATGTGTTAGACGCTATGTTAAGATTGGGGACAAGACGGATAAGGACATGGAGCTTGCATTCTAGTGGGAGGGGACAGAAAATAATAACTAACACATAAATTCAATAAGACCTAGGAAATAACATGGGCGATGGGATAGGGAAGTAACTGGGGATGAGAAGAGCTGTATCAACTCAAGTGATCAGGGGAGGCTGGTGTGGCGAGGTGATGTTTAGGCTGAGATGCTCTGAGTGAAGTTCTTGGGGAGGATGATTGTGGCACAAACTGGATCAGGCCATTGACTATCCCAGGTTCAGAACTTAATACTATAGCTGTGTCTTGCTGCTGTGCTAAAGAACCGCTCCTGGCTGTGAATATGAGGCTAGTGAGAGAAGTAGTTCTGAAATTCTTATTGAGAATCTAAAGTTTTGTACTCTCTCAATAGAAAAGGTATGTACCCACGTGCTTATGAATACTTACAATTTCAGGGGGTTAATGACACGTTTAATGAAGCTTTTTTTCTTGACTATTGATTTAGAAACCCAACTACCAACATTAGTCATAGTCTTCATGGCTTATGTGAATTCCTGGTGAGGATTTGTGGAAGGGGAGCTGGGGAAGAATGGGGGATTACTTGCTAATCACTTCAGGTGGATTGATAGTGTAGTAGGTTAGATAATTGTTCCCAATGCTTCACTCTCCCTAGTATTAGTGTCTAGCCACTCCCTTGCTACGGCCTTACAGTGGGCAGAATGTACCGTCTCACCTCTTGACATTGGCCTTGTGACTTTATTGGGCCATTACTGGGCACTGTGTTTGTGTGGTTGGGCTTTCCCTCTGCATTTCTGCCATCACCTGAAAAGAACATACCCTCAGTGGCTGCTGCCCTTTCAGCCTGGTCTCAGGATGAGGCTGGATCCACACCCCTTTGTCCTGCAGCTTCAAGCAGAGCCACCCCAGGGAACCAATTCTAGATCAGATGAACACAGTCAGCCTATAAATTTGTGTACATGAGAATGAAAGTGGAGTTGGAAGGCAGTGAGTTTGGGGCTGGTGTGTTACATAGCATCTTTGTGGCAGGAACTGCCTAACATAGGTTTACATGTAACAACCATATATATCACCTGAAACATACTGAGCGTGTGTGGAGTTCTGAACTTAAATGGTGCCTATAAATGGCCCAGGGGATCCCACATGAGCACAACTGTCTGATTAAGCCATCTTCATTTCACAATGCTGGAATGATGTCTGCACTTTTTGTATTCCTTGTAAAATTTCTATTGCACAAATTACAGGATGAAAAAAACAAAGTGGGAGAGGAAAGTGAGAGGGGTGAAAGAGAGATCAATTTTGTCCTATACTGCAGAAAGTTTGGAGAAGCTAAGGGCTAAGATAAAAGCTTTGGCTACTGCGGAAAAGGGAAGAAAATACATAAAGAGGGAAATTGAACTAATATGTATTGGGTGCCACATACCATGCCAAATGCTTTACATACATTGCTTGACTGAATTCTGTTCAAAAACAAATAAATAAACCAACAAATCCTTATAACACATCATGATGCCATTTCACAGATAGAAAAACTGAGGCTCAGAAGGTTTAAATAAATTTTTCTTGGTTACTCTGATGTGGATACTAGGTTTCAAATCTAGCTCTTGTCTACAAAAGTCATGCCCTGCCCATGAGTTGATATCATTTCCCTATGAGGATGAGCAGCTTAGCATTTTACTGGGGGCAGAGTACATGCAAAATTTCATGGGGCTAAGAAGGGACAGGGCAGTATAGATGTACACTATTTTTAGAGTTGAAACCTTTGAAGAGGAAAAGAAAGAGAGTGGGTGGATGGTAGCTTGAGCAGATAGGCACTGGAATTCAGATTTAATTAACTGAGCATATCCAAAAATATTGAATTGTCACAGTACCTACCTTCAGATGTGGCATTGGGTTACTGATTACTTTCTTTTCTATTTTGATCTATACACCTGTCTTATCCCTCAGACTTGAAGACAAGGGTCATTAACTTTTCTTAAATAGGCAATATGTGCACAGGGTGACAAATTCAGGTAGTATAATAAGCTGTAGTGAAAAGTAAGTCTCCCTTCTCCTCCTGTCCCCAAGTCCCACATCTTGAGTTAACCACTATTATCAGGTAAGGGGGATTTTTCAACTTTCCATGTAAGTTTGAGAACTTGGAAGCCTTGTTACTTTAGAACGTCCACTGTACCTCTCTAAGCCTCATTCGTGCATTAACTAAACACATACTTATTACATGTCTATCAGGGGCCAGGACTTAGTTTTCCTATCTGTATTGGTTTCCTGTTAACATAACAAATTGCCACACACTTAGTGGCTTAAAACAACAAAAATTCATTATCTTCCAGTTCTAGAGGTCACAGGTCTGAAATGAATTGGCAGGGCTGGGCTCTCTCTGAGGCTGTAGGGGAGAACGTTTCATTGCATTTTCTGACTTCCAGAAGCCACCTGCTTTCCTTGACTCCTGGCCTCCTCCTTCATCTTCAAAGCCAGCAGCAAAGCATCTTCAAATTGATCTCCACTTGATCCAGTCTCTCTTGCCTTCCTCTTTCCCTTATTAGGACACTTGTGATTAGATTGGGCCAAACTGGATAATCCAGGATAATTTCCCCATCTCAAGGTTCTTAATTGAACTACATCTTCATGATCTCTTCCATCATATAAAACAACATATTCACAGATGCCAGGAATTAGGATGTGGACATCTTTGGGAGGCCACTACTCAGTGTACCACACCATCTAAAATTGAAATAATTTATATGTACAAGTTTTATTTTAAATGGTATCTCCTAAATAAGTCACAATCCATCCAGTTCTCTCTATTCCACTGACAACACATAGATGTGCCTTTCATTATCTTTGTCTGAGGTCACTGCAAAGCCTTCTCAACAGGCTCCCCTGACACCTGGATCACCCTGTCCATCACTTCTTTACACTGCAGCCAGGTGAGCCTTTGTAAATCTCCATTTTTTTCCCATGCCATTCCCTTCTAAAAATATCTCAATGACACCCCATAGGGCTCAATCTGATGTAGTACGTGCTTTGCTTAGTTAATGAGACTTTTCTTAATGTAGCAACTGCTACCTTGTAGTCACCCTGAATTTCTTCACGTTCCTCAGATTCAGTCCCTACGCCTTTGCACATGTTTTTACTCATCTTCCACATCTCAGCTTAGGTGTTACCCTCTCGGGGAAGGCATCCTTGTTTCCCCACAGCTAGGCTAGATTAGATGCCTGCCTCTGTGACCCAACAACAATTCTGCATCCCCTATTATCACCCTCATTGTGCTGAATAGATGTTCTTGCTCACATGTGGTGTTTAATAAATATTTGCTGTTTGAGTAACTGCATGAATAAATGAATGAGCCACACTGTCACTGTACAAACAGGCTCTATCTGTTCTCCACCCACCCTGACATATATTATCAACCCTGATTCTCTGAGAGCAAGGTATATTTGGGAAGACAGTACTGTTATAGAGGGCTGTGGGTATCAGCTTTTCATAAAAAAAATCAGTATATAGGTATCTGGCATGTAATTTTTGGGGGGAGGTTTTATCTCAGGGCTTTTTAACTGGGCTTTTAGATTTGAAGCCCTGCCATCCTCTCTAGACAGATCAATTAGGCAGAGTTGGGAATCATCACTAACTAGAAATACAAGAGTTCAACAAGAAGTGTTTGCCACTGTAGACTTTTCTACAGATATGCTGTGTACTCACAAGGTTTTAAAGGTCCAGCATTCAGAGACTGGTGTTCTCTGCACCAACATGCGTTATATCTTCCTTAACATTCTGCTTCCATAGAATATTCCTGGTCATTCTGAAAGCAAGGTACAAGATTCCATGAGATAAAATTTTCCAGAGAAGCGAAGAGAGTGAAACTAGGGAGTCTGGCAGGAGGACCCCTTCTTCCTGCTCCCGGACATTCCAGGGAAGGCAGTGAACCACACATGTGCTTATTTTGCTGGAAACAGCAGACCCAGCACAACATGGTGGCATCTCTCTGGTTGCGGGGCAGGGGGGGTTGCAGCTTACAAGATTCCACTATTCTAATGCCAACCTGGCAGCCGAGATGGCAAGGTTGGCTTTACTTCCAGAAGAAATCTCTGCTTCACACAGGAGGTGGATTACAGGAAGGATGTGGATGTTTGACAGTTCATATCAGGAATTCCTCAGCAGGAGAGAGCGGACAAGGTTGTTTATCAGCAGAACTTGCCAAATAAATAGGGCACATTTGATACAGGCTGGTAGCTCACTCCAGCTCTAGGGAAAACTATTTCCTTCCTCTTCTTATCCTAACTTCTTTGGAGCTGCCTATTTATTAACCTATCTCACTGGCTGTCATAGCTGAGTAGGAAAAGTGACCAGACACTTCCTTGCACAGGCACAAGCTCATGTCTCTGGTTCTTGAGACAGACCATCTTCCAAGATAGAGTCAGTGCACAGTAGATACTCCATTCTACTGTATGTTGTCCCCAGACTACATGATCTGGCCATATATGGACAGGGAACCCAAAAGTCTGTTATTTCCAGAGAAAAGGAAAGTGGACTTAACTTGCTTTTTGTCCGGTGATGGGGTCTTTGTAACTAAATCCCAGCCCAACCAGTGGAACTCTCAAGTCCTAGGGGTCTCACAGTTAATGAATCTAACAGTCACAGGGTATATTTGTTAAGCTCTTGGGGCTTTCCCAGCCCTGTGAACCAGAGCTTCTTGGAGGTAAATCTTAAGAATTTGCATGATGCAGGGATTAGAGGCAGGGTGGAAGTTCATTGTGAGCACATTTGCCCTAGCATTTAAGATTACAATGGAATATCTGGATGAATTGGTTTGACTTCAGATAGCTCTAGATGAGAATCTTGTTTCTCCTATTTACTAAGTGTTTGACCTTGGGCAAATCACTTCTCCTCTCTTAGTTTTAGCTTTCTCAATGGCAAAAGGGGGATAGTGACAGTATCTCCTTATCTGGGCTGCTGTGTGAGTATAAATTGAGGTTGTCTGGTAAAGTGCCTGAATGGTAAATGCTCCATAAAAGGCACTTGGCCCTGATGATATGGTTTTGGGTAGCTATGTTTTTGTGTGGAGAAAGGATCTCCCATTTTCTCCAGGCCAAACACTCAATTTTACTCTAGGAATGAATGGGTTCCTGGAGTCTGCTGGAGTATGTCCCTGTGAGATAAGTTTGAGATAATTGACTAGAAAACTGAAGTCTAAATCCGGAAGGAAAGCAGGAGGTGACAGATAGATCTGGGTTTGTATCTTGCCTCCAACTATGGGATTTTGGACAAAGCTTCCTATCCTTCTCAACCTCCTTTATTTTAACAATAAAAATAATATGTGGCTTGAAAATTTATTAGGGATATCAGGTAAAGCATCTACAAATTAAATTAGATTAAATTATTTAGGGTAACATATTTTCATTTTTATTTTGTTCTCAGTTTATTCAGGCATTATTGACAAATAAAAATTGTGTATATTTACAGTGTATGATGTGATGTTTTGATAGATGTATATATACATTGTTAAATGGTTAAAGTTAATTAACATATCCATCATCTCACATACTTATTTTTTGTGGTGTGAACATTTAAAATTTACTCTCTTAGCAATTTTCAAGTATATAATAGATTATTATCAACTAAAACCACCATGTTGTACAATAGATCTCCAGAATGTATTTATCCTCACAAAACTTTATACCCTTTAACAAACGTCTTCCCATTTCTGCTCCCTTTGACCTGTTACCAGCCTCTGAAACCACTATACTACTGTCTCTGCTTCTATGAGTGTGACTTTTTTAGAATTCATGTATAAGTGAGATAATAATGTATTTGCCTTTTTCAACTTTTTTTATTTTTAATTCTTTGTGAGTATATAGTAGGTGTATATATTTATGGGGTACATGAAATATTTTCACACAGGCATGCAACATATAATAATCACATCAGGGTAAATGGGGTACTCATCATCTCAAGTATGCATCCTTTGTGATTCAAACAGTACAGTTATACTCATTTAGTTATTTTTAAATGTACAATTAAATTATTTTTATATCGTTGTGCTAGCAAATACTAGGTCTTATTAGTTCTTTTTATTTTTTGTACCCATTAACCATCCCCAATTACTCCTCAAGCCCACTGCGCTTTCCAGTTGCTGATAACCATCCTGCTACCCTCTATCTCTTTGAGTTCAATTGTTTAATTTTTAGCTCCCAAAGATAACTGAGAACATACAATGTTTGTCTTTCTGTGTTTGGCTTTTTCACTTAATATGATGAAAGTTGTTCCATTCATGTTGTTGCAAATGTCAGGATCTCATTTTTTTGTGGTCAAATACTACTCCATTGTGTATATATACCACATTTTCTTTATTCATTTATCTGTTGATAGACAATTAGGTTGTTTCCAAATTATGACTTATTGTGACTAATGTTGCAACAAATATGGGAGTGCAGATATCTCTTAGATATACTGATTTCTTTTCTTTTGGGTATATACCCAGCAGTGGGATTGCTGGATAATATGATAGCTCTATTTTAGTTTTTTGAGGACACTCCAAACTGTTCTCCATAGTGGTTGTACTAATTTACATTCCCACCAGCAGTAGGGTTCCCTTTTCTCCACATCCTTGCCAGCATTTGTTATTGCTTGTCCTCTGGATAAAAGCCATTTTAATTGGAGTGAGATGATATCTCACTGTAGTTTTGATTTTTTTCCTCTGATGATTAATGATGTTGAGTGCCTTTTCATATACCTGTTTGCCATTTGTATGTCTTCTTTTGAGAAATATCTATTCAAATCTTTTGTCCATTTTTTAATTACATGATTAATTTTTTTTCTAGAGTTGTTTGAGCTCCTTATATATTCTAGTTATTAATCCCTTGTCATATGGGTAGTTTGCAAATATTTTCTCCCATTCTGTGGGTCATCTCTTCACTTTGTTGATTGCATCCTTTGCTGGGCAGAAACTTTTTAACTTGATGTGATCCCATTTGTCCATTTTTGCTTTGGTTGCGTGTGCCTGTGGGTTATTATTCAAGAAGTCTTCTTTGCCCACTCCAATACCTGGAGTTTCCCCAATGCTTTCTTTTAGTAGTTTTATATGTTGAGGCCTTGAATTTAAGTCTTGAATCCATTTTTATTTTTTATATGGTGAGAGATAGGAGTCTAGTTTCATTCTTCTGCATATGGATATCCAGTTTTCCCAGCAACATTTATTGAAGAGACTGTCCTTTCCCCAATGTGTGCTCTCAAAAATTTTGTTGAAAATGTGCTCACTGTAGATGTATGGATTTATTTCTGGGTTCTCTATTCTGTTAAACTGGCCTATGTGCCTGTTTTTATACTACTACCGTGCCAATTTGGATACTATAGCTCTGCAACATAATTTGAAGTCAGATAATGTTATTAATGTTATTACTTCAGTTTTGCTCTTTTTGCTTAGGATAGCTTTGGTTATTCTGGGTCTTCTGTGGTTTCATATAAATTAAACTTTTTTTTCTATTTCTGTGAAGAAGATCATTGATATTTTGATAGGGATTGCATTAAATCTGTAGATTGCTTTGAGAAGTATAGACATTTTAACAATATTGATTCTTCTAATCCAGGAACATGGACTATCTTTCCATTTTTTAGTGTCCTCTCCAATTTCTTGCATCAGTGCTTTATAGTTTTCACTGTAGATATCTTTCACATCTTTGGTTAAGCAAATTCTTAGGTATTTAATTTATTTATGGCTATTGTAAATGGGATTACTTGCTTGAATTCTTTTTCCAATTGTTCACTCTTGGCATATAAAATGCTACTGAGTTTTGTCTGTTGATTGTGTATCCTGCAACTTTACTGAATTTGTTTATCATTTCTAATTATTTCGGTGGAGTCTTCAGGTTTTTCCAAATATAAGATCACTTGATCTGTAAACAAGGATAATTTGACTTCTTTCCAATTTAGATGCCCTTTGTTTCTTTGTCTTGTCTGATTCCTCTAGCTAGGACTTCCAATACTATGTTGAATAACAGTGAAGAAAATGAGCATCTTTGCTGTGTTCCAAATCTTTGAAGAAGAAAGGCTTTCAGTTTTTCCCTATGCAGTGTAATACTAGCTGAAGGTCTGTCATATATGGCTTTTATTATGTTGAGGTATAGTCCTTCTATACCCAGTTTTTTTTGAGGGTTTTTGTCATGAAGGGCTGTTGAATTTTATCAAATGCTTTTCCAGCATCAATTTAAATAATTATATGGCTTCTGTCCCTCATTCTGTTGTTATGATGTATCACATTGATTGATTTGTGTCTATGTTGAACTATGCTTGCATTCCAGGGATAAATCCCACTTGATTATGATGGATTATCTTTTTAAGGTGTTGTTGAATTCAGTTTGCTAGTATTTTGTTGAGGATTTTTGCATCAACATTTATTAGTGATATGGGCCTATAGTTTTCCTATTTGGTGTGCCTTTGTCTTGTTTTGGTCTCAGGGTAATACTAGTCCCACAGAATGAGTTTGGAAGTATTCTATTTTCTTCTAGTTTTCAGAATAGTTTGGGTAGAATTGGTATTATTTCCTCTTTAAATGTTTGGTGGGATTCAGCTGTGAAACTGTTGAGTCACAGGCTTTTCCTTGCTGGAAGATGTTTTTATTATTACTTCAGTTTCATTACTTGTTATTGGTCTGTTCTGGTTTTTGATTTCTTCATGGTTCAATCTTGGTAGGTTGTATGTGTCTAGAAATTTGTCAATTTCTTCTAGATTTTCAAGTTTATTGGCATATAGTTGCCCATAGTAGCCACTAATGATCCTTTGAATTTCTGTGTTATCAGTTGAATATTGTGTCCTTTCTTGTGTCTAATTTTATTTATTTGGGTCTACACTCTTTTTTTCTTGTTAATCTGGCTAAAGGCTTGTCATTTTTGTTTAACTTTTCAAATAACCAACTTTTTGTATTGTTGATCTTTTGTATTTCTTTCTCATTTCAATTTTATTTATTTCTGCTTTGATCTTTATTATTTATTTTCTTCTACTAATTTTGGGTTTGGTTTGCTCTTGCTTTTCTGGTTCCATAAGACGCAGCCTTAGGTGGTTTATTTGAAGTTTTTCTTCTTTTTTGATGTAGGCACTTATAGCTATAAATTTCCCTCATAGTACTATTTTTTCTGCATCCCACAGGTTTTGATATGTTGTTTCCAGTATCATTTGTTTCAAGAAATTTTTCAATTTTGTTCTTAAATTCTTTATTAAGCCACTGGTCATTCAGGATCATATTGTTTAATTTTCATGTATTTGTATCATTTCCAAAATTCCTCTTGTTGATTTTTAGTTCTATTCCATTGTTATCAGAGAAAATGCTCTATATTATCTCAATTTTTTTGAATGTGTTAAGACTTGTTTTGTGACCCAACCTATATTCTATCCTTGAGAATGATCCATGTGCTGAGGGAAAGAATGTGTATTCTGCAGTAGTTGAATAAAGTGTTCTGTAAATATGTATTAGGTCCATTTGGTCTATAGTGCAGATTAAGTTTGATGTTTCTTTGTTGATTTTCTGTCTGGAAGATCTGTCCAATACTGAAAGTGGGGTTTTGAAGTCTCCAGCTATTGTTGTACTGGAGTCTATCTCTCTCTTTAGCTCCAATAATATTTGCTCTATATATCTGGGTGCTCTGGTGTTGGGTGCATATGTATTTACAATTGGTTTATCATCTTGCTGAATTGACCCCTTTATCATTATATAGTGACCTTATTTGTCTCTTCTTATAGTTTTTGTCTTGAAATCTATTTTGTCTGATATAAGTGTAACTACTTCTGCTCTTTTTTGGTTTCCATTAGCATGGAATATCCTTTTCTATCCCTTTATTTCAGTCTATGTGTGTCTTTATAGGTTAAGTGTGCTTTTGTAGGCAACAGATCACTAGGTCTTGTTTCTTATCCATTCAGCAACTCTATGTCTTTTGATTGGAGAGTTTAGTCCATTTATATTCAATGTTATTATTGATAAGTAAATACTTACTCCTGACATTTTGTTATTTTGTTATTTGTTTTCTGGTTATTTTGTGGCCTTTCTTTCTTTCTTTCTCTTCTCTCTCTTTCTTTTCCTTTCCTTTATTTTCTTTCTCTCTTTCTTTCTTTCTTTTCTCTTTTCTTTCCTTTTTTTTCTTTCTTTTCTCTTCCTTTGAGTGAAGGTGACTTTCTCTGGTAGTTAGATTTAATTTCTTGCTTTTTATTTTTTCTGTATCTGTTGTATTTTTTTTATTTGAAGTTGCCATGAGGCTTGCAAACACTATCTTATAACCCATTTTTTTAACCTGATAAAAACGTTATACTGTTTGCATAAACAAATAAGCCAAAAGGAAACTAATAAAAACTATACACCTTAACTTTGTTCCCCCACTTTTAAACTTTTTGTTCTATTTGTATCTTATTGTACTGCTTATGTCTTGAAAAGTTGTTGTATTATAGTTATTATTTTTGATTTATTCATCTTTTAGTGTTTCTACTTAAGATGAGTTTAAACACCACAATTACAGTGTTATAATATTCTGTGTTTTTTCTATGTACTTAACATTACCAGTGAATTTTGTACCTTCAGAAAAATTCTTTTTTTTTTTTTTTTGAGATGGAGTCTCGCTTTGTCGCTCAGGCTGAAGTGCAGTAGCATGATCTTGGCTCACTGCAAGCTCTGCCTCCTGGGTTCATGCCATTCTCCTGCCTCAGCCTCCCAAGTAGCTGGGACTACAGGCGTCCACCACCACACCCAGTTAATTTTTTGTATTTTTAGTAGAGATGGGGTTTCACTGTGTTAGCCAGCATGGTCTCGATCTGCTGACCTTGTAATCCACCTGCCTTGGCCTCCCAAAGTGCTGAGATTACAGCTGTAAGCCACAGCGCCCAGCCCAGAAAAATTCTTATTGCTCATTAATGTGCTTTTCTTCTGGATTGCAGTACTCCCTTTAGCATTTCGTGTAGGACCGGTCTGGTGTTGGTTAAGTTCTTCAGCTTTTGTTTTTCTGAGAAAGCTTTTATTTCTCCTTCATGTTTGAAGGATGTTTTCACCAGATATACTATTCTAGGGTAAACATTTTTTCCTTCAGCACTTTAAATATGTCATGCCACTTTCTGCTGTTTCATAAGGTTTTTGCTGGAGCTTAGTTGTTATGTCATTTGTTTCACTGGTTGAAACAAATTGGTTGGTTGTACTGGAGCTTCATTGTTATGTCATTTGTTTCTTTTCTCTTGCTGCTTTTAGGGTCCTTTCCTTATCCTTAACCTTTGGGAATTTGATTATTAAATGGCAGGTGGTAGTCATCTTTGAGTTAAATCTGCTTGGTGTTCTATAACCTTCTTTTACTTGGATATTGATACCTTTCTCTAGATTGGAGAAATTCTCGTTATTATCCCTTTGAATAAACTTTCTACCCTTATCTCTTTCTCTACCTCCTTTTAAAGGCCAATAACTCTTAAATTTGCCCTTTTGGGGCTATTTTCTAAATATTGTAGGCTTGCTTCATTCTTTTTTATTCCTTTTTGTCTCTTCTGACTGTGCCTTTTCAAATAGCCTGTCTTCAAGCTCACTAATTGTTTCTTCTGCTTTATCAATTCTGCTATTAAAAGACTCTGATGTGTTCTTCAGTATGTCAGTTGCAATTTTCAACTCCAGAATTTCATCTTGATTCTTTTTAATTATTTCAATCTGCTTGTTAAATGTATCTGATAGAATTCTGAATTCCTTCTCTGTGTTATCCTGAATTTCTTGGAGTTTCCTTAAAATGGCTATTTTGAATTCTCTGCCTGAAAAGTCACATATCTCTGTTTCTCCAGGACTGCTCCCTGTTGTCTTATTTGGTTTGTTTGGTGAAGTCATGTTTTCCTGGATGATGCTAATGCTTGTAGATGTTTATCAGTGTCTGGGCATTGAAGAGTTAGGTATTTATTGTAGTCTTCACTATCTGGGCTTATTTGTAGCTGTCCTTCTTGGGGAAGCTTTCTAGATATTTGGAAAGACTTGAGTGTTATGATCTAAGCTGTATCTGCATTAGGGGGCACCCCAAAGCCCAGTAACACTGTGGTGTTTGCAGACTCATAGGGGTACTGCCTTGATTATCTTGAATAAGATCCAAAAGAATTCTCTGGATTATCAGGTAGAAAGTCTTCTCTTCCCTTACCTTCTCCTGTACAAACAGTGTCTCTTTCTCTCTGTGCTGAGCCACCTGGAACTGGAAGGGGCTGACACACATATCCCTGTGGCCACCACCACTGGGGCTGGGCTAGGTCAGACTTGAAGCCAGCACAGCACCAGATCTCACCCAAGGTCCATTGTAACCACTACCTGGCTACTGCCTATGTTCACTCAAGGCCCGAGGGCTGTACAATCAGCAGGTGGTGAAGACGGACAGGCTTGTATCCTTCCCTTCATGGCAGTGAGTTCCGCTAGCCCCTGAATTGGTCCATAGATGCCATCCAGGACTAGAGAAAAGGCTAGAGACTACAGAAAAAATCCTAGACATCTACCTGGTTTCTCTTGCACTGCTGCTAAGCTGGTACTTAAAACACAAGATGCAGTCGTTCCCATTGTTTCCTCCCCTTTCTATAGACAGAGAAGCCTCACCTCATGGCCACCAGCACCACAGGTCCATGAGGATTACTGGCAGGCTTCCACTGATGCTTCCTTAAGGGCCAAGGTCTTTTCAGTCAGCTTGTGGTGAATGTTGCCAGGCCTGCGACTCACCGTTCAGGGTGGTGGGCTCCCCTCTGGCCCAGAGCAGGTCTAGAAATACCATCCAAGAGTCAATGCCTAGAACTGGAGACCCCAAGAGGCTGCCTGTTGCTCTGCTCCACTGTGACTGAGCTGGTACCTAAAGTGCAAGATAAATGCCCCTTTACTTTTCTCAAGCAGATGGAGTCTTTCCCCATAGCCACAACAGCTAGGGATGGGCTATGTTCCCCCCAAAGCATCTCAGAGTCTCACTTAAGGCCCATGTATTTGCCTCTTTTGTTCCTGGCTTATCTCACTTAGCATAATCTAATGTCCTTCAGGCTTATCCATGTTTCCTCTGTTGTCTGAAATGACAAAATTTCTTTCTTTTTAAAGGCTGAATGGTATCTCATTGTGTGTGTGTGTGTGTGTGTGTGTGTGTGTGTGTGTATTACATCTTCTTTACCCATTCATCCATCAATGGACACTTAACATTGATTCCATGTCTTGGCTGCTATGAATAATACCCAATAATAGCCAGTAATACCCATGCCCCTGTAGCCACCACAACGGGGGCTGTGTTAGGTCAGACTTGAAGCCAACACAGCACCAGGTCTCACCCAAAGTCCACTGTAACCACGACCTGGTTACTGCCTATGTTCACTCAAGGCCATAGGGCTGTAAAATCAGCGGGTTGTTTTGAGTAATAGCAAAGATATGGAATGAATATGGGAGTACAGATATCTCCTCAACATGCTGATTTTATTTCCTTTTCATTTATATCCAGAAGTGGGATTTCTGGGTCATATGATAATTTTTTTTTTTTTGAGAAACCTTTATACTATTTTCCATAATGGTTATACTAACTTACATTGTCACTGAGTATAAAGGGTTCCTTTTTCTCCACATTCTTGTCACCATTTGTTATCTTTTGTCTCTTTGATAATAGCCATTATCAAATGAGTTTGAGGTGATATTTCACTGTGATTTTAATTTGCATTTCTCTAATGATTAATGATGTTGAATATTTTTTCATATACCTGCCAATCATTTGTCTGTCTTCTTTTGAGAAATGTCTGTTCAAGTCAGCTTAGAGCATTTCAGACAGAGAAAACTGATGTTGGGTATGTATATATATACATACACGCACACACATATATGTATATATGTATGTATATATATGTAGATATGTGTATATATATACTTACAATTGTTATGTCCTTTTGATAATTTAACCCTTTTATCAACGATCTTCTTTGTCTCTTGTGACAGCTTTTGACTAAAATCTATTTTGTCTGATATTAATATAGACACCTCTGCTCTCTTTAGGTGATTGTTTGAGTGGAATATTTTATCTCCATCTCTTTACATTCAGACTATATGTTTTCTTAATGCTAAAGTGAGTATCTTATAGGAAGAATGTAGTTAAATTTTGCTTTTAAAAATCTATTTAGACATTACATTTTTTGATTTGAGAATTTAATCCATTTACATTTAAAGTAATTACTGATAGGTAAGGACTTACTGTGGTTATTTAAAAAATTGTTTTCTGACTATTTTGTAGTTCTTTTGTTTCATGCCTCCTCTCTTGCTGCCCTCCTTTTAGAGTTGATAGATTTTTTTTTGTGGTATCCTTTGATTGCTTTCTCTTTATCTTTTGTGTATCTACTATAGGTTTTTTTATGGTTAACACAAAGCTTACATAAAACATCATGTAGTTATAACAATCTATTTTAAGCTGATAACATCTTTACTTTGACTGCATACAAAACTCTATGCTTTATTCATCTCCCCACATTTTGTGTTACTGATATCACAATGTACCTCTTTTATATATTGTGTATCCATTACCAAATTATTTAATGACCACAATTTTTAATACTTTAATCTTTTAGCTTTTATATTAGACTTAAAAAGTGATTTATGCATCACCCTTACAGTATTAGAGTATTCTAAACTCCACTGCATTCTTATTTTTATGGTGAGTTTTACAATTTCAAATGATTTCATGTTTCTAGTTACCACCCTTTTGTTTCAATTTGAAGAGCTTACTTTAGCATTTCTTGTAAGGCAGCTCTACTAATGATGAACTCCTACAACTTTTGCTTGTCTGGAAACCTCCTTATCTCTCTTCATTTCTGAAGACTTGCTGAGTATAGTATTCTTGGTTGACAGTTGTTTTCTTTCAGTACTTTGTATATATCATCCCACTCTCTCCTGGCCTGCAAGGTTTCTGCTGAGAAATCTGCTGGTGGTTTTAATAAGATTCCCTTGTATGTGACAATTTTTCTTTCTTTTGTTGCTTCTCAATTTTTCTCTTTGTCTTTGACTTCTGAGAATTTGATTAGGTTTCAGTGAAGATCTCTTTATATTTGATTTATTTTGGGTTCTTTGGGCTTCAAGATTCTAGATATTTATTTCCCTCTTCAGATTGGGAATTTTTCTATCTTTTTTTTTTTAATAAATAAGCTTTCTTCTCCTTTCTCTTTCTGTGCTCTTTGTGAGAATTCTGTAAAGTATATGTTGGTTCACTTGATGGTGTTTCATAATTTTGTAGGCTTTCTTTATTCTTTTTCATTTTTATTTCTTTTTGTTTATCTGACTAGGTAATTTTAAATGACCTGTTTTTATCTCACTGATTTTTTTCCTGCTGCTTGATGGAGTTTGCTGTTGAAGCTGTCTGTGGAATTTTCCTGTTAAGGTATTGTATGCTTCAGCACCATAATTTTTGTTTGGTTCACTTTTATGGTTTCTATTTGTTGAACTTCAAATTTTGTTCAGGTAGTGTTTTTATGATTATGTTTAGTTGTCTGTGTTTTCTTGTAGCTCACTGGACTTCAAGACAGTTATTTTGAATTCTGTGTCAGGCAGTCATATCTCCCTTTCTTTAGGGTTAGTTACTAGTGCTTTATCTTGTTCATTTGGTGGTGTCATGTTTCACAGATAATTTTTTTACCCTTCTGGCCATGTCTTATGATTGCAAGTTCAAAGAAGTAGGCACCTATTCCAGTTTTTACAGATTGGCTTTGGCAGGGAAAACTCTCCAGTCTGGGTTGAGTTCTGAGATTCTGAGTTGACCATTTTGTAAGTCCCAGTGGTGGGTTTGCTGCTAGAGTCCTAGGGCAGGCTGGCCTGGTGTCTGGGTCAGAATGTGTGCAGGTCTGGTACCTGGGTCCACAGGGACCTGCTTAAAGCTGAGTGTATGGGGATCGGGCCTGGATCCTGGGTCCATAAGAGCCAGCCTGGTGCTGAGATGGGCCTTGAGCCTGAGTCATCAGGGGATGGCCTTTTGTTGGAATAGACTTGCCACCTGGGTTCGTGGAGATAGTCCTGGAACTTGAGTCTTTGCAGGGCTGGCTTGGTACTGGGGTGGGCCTAGAAAGTGAGTCTGCAGGAGTGAACCTAGTTTCTGGGTCTACAGTTGCTGGTCTAGTGCCTGGGGCCACTGGGGCCAGCCTGGAGTCTGGGGCTACAGGGGCTGACCTGGAGCCTGGGGTTATGGCAGCTGGCCTAGAGCCTGGGGCTGCTGGAACCAGCCAGACGTCTGAGGCTTCATGGGCCAGCCTAGAACTGAGATCTGCAGGTGTTGTTCTGGCACTGAGGAGGTCCTAGAAGGTGGGTCCTTGGGTGTCATTATGGGGCTGTAGAGAATGGCCTGGAGCCTGGAGCAATGGGTCTGGTCTGACAGTAGGGTAGGCCTGGAGGCATGATCCATGGGTGCTGACCTAGAGTCTGGGGCTGTGGAGGCTGGCCTAGTGCTGAATTTCATTGAAGCTGGCCTGGTGCTGGGGTTTGTAGCAAAGCCAGGTGCTTATTTCACTTTCCCTCCCACATGTGGAGGTTATCTCTCCATGTTGTGCTGCCCAGGCTTAAGGGAGGGGTGACTCAGATAATGTGAAGCTGTCCTTCCTAGCCTCTTCAATGTGTCAGTTCTTATTTCTTTGCTACTCCAAGTTGCTGTAATCTCTCACCTGGGTTTCCTTAGCTCTTATGAAATTATTTTTGTGCAAGGATAAATTGTCCAAATTGATGTTCCTCCTAGGGGATGAGTGCTGGAAAGTCCTATTCTGTCATCTTGCTGATGTCACTCTCCCTATACATTTTAGTTTCTTCATTTTTTGTATCACTTCTTGTTCCAAATGATATGCCTCTCTGCTCATAGATTACATATGATTAATAATATTTAGAGAAAGCAATTAATTTGATGGTTTTAAAATTTTATTTATTGAAGAAGTATATTTTGGCCGTGGAAACTTTGAGGAACATTTGCTGTTGTTTGGGAGGAAAGAGGTTATTCATTCATTCATAGTGCAATGCATGCATATAAGACGTACTTATTAAAGAGTGCCTTTTAAGCTATTATTAATGTTGTTCATATAGTAACATATTAATAGTAATAATCACGCTGGGCTAGTATATGAAGAATGTGAGCTGTAAGAAAGTCATTACTGGGTTCATGTTCTAGCAGTTAGAAACCGTCTCTGAGTAAGGTACTAAATTTCTCCAGATTTGAATTGTGTCATCTGTAGGATCAGAAGGTTAGACCTATCTTGCCAGTGTGAATGAGAATTAAAATGATATGCCATGGTTCAAAGGCATGCAGCAGGCATTCAACATATGTGTATATTAAACATATATCTTTCTACTTTTCTTAAAATCCCATTAATTTTTTTAGTTAAGTCTTTTTGATTTCTCCATACAGATAAATTCATCTGCAAGGAGGGACAATTTTAGCTTTGCTTTATTAAAAGTTAAACATCTTTTTTTTCCTTATCTTATTGTGGATACTAGAACTTGTAGAACAATAATAAACTATAATGATGTCAGTCTACTTTTTCTACTGTTTTGCCTCATTGGGAATGATTTTATTATATTTTAATAAGGTACAATTTTGTTGTCAAACTCTGGTAGCATTATCATAGTCAACATTTTTTCCTATTTTTACTTTAACAAGGGTTGTTTATCTTTTTGTTTTCCTAATGAGGAATGTATGTTGACTCTTGTTATCTGTTTTTTTCATCAGTTTCCAAAATAGTCGTCTTTTTTTTTTGGTCTTTTTCTTTTTCTTTTTTTTTCCCTACTAAGTTGAATAATTGAGACTGCTAATGCATAACCATCTTTTAATTACTGGCGGCAACTGTACCTGTTCTATTTGTTAATAATAAACATAAAATGTTATTCTCCTTATCGTCTAGTCACTGGTCTTATAGCAGTCCATCTGTCTTCTCTCTCTGTTGTCTACATCTCATGTTTTTTTGCACAGTGCTTTTAGGGGGAGGGAGAAAATGGCAAGGATGCCCACTTGCAAGTGCACATGGAGGGAGATTGCCACAGGACTAGCTGGGCATTTAGAGAGATAAACCCACAAGTTCCTGGTCCCTGTTATTAGGAGATTTGGAGGCCTCTGGGTGTCTGTTCTCTTATGCCATTCTGTCCCCTGCAAATTGCTGCTGCAGCAGCCTCTGACCAGCTGCCAGGCACCTGACTTCATGTTCCTCTGACCACAGAGGACCAAAGCCATGTCTGCCCAAGACTGTTTCCATAGAAATGCAAATACATAGCAAGAGCTTCCTCTTTGGACCATCTTACTCCTCTCTTCCCTTTTTGTTTCTAAATGTTTTATGACAGTAGCTTGGATTTCACAACAGGGAGATGTGTCACACAGTCATGCAGTTCCCTATAAATAGATAGATTTTCTATTCTATTATTTTTTGAAAATGCAAAAAATAATGACAGATGAACTTTGGGGTCTTCATAAAGAGGTCATGTGCATTTCTACAGGGGTAAGGAGGAAAAATAGGGGTGAAACCTAGTGAGGTCTATGCAGATGGGTCTGGCTTCAGGTTGGTCAGATAGAAGGGGAGCTCTCATGGAAGGAGATGGCCTCGATCTTGCATCACCCTCCAAAAGCAATTAAGAGTCCAGTCTTCTGACCCTTAGTATCGGGTATAAGATTTTTGTCCCTTGGAAGAGAGGCACACCTCCTTCCACTCTCTAGCCTGACTCCACCAGTTTCAAAGATGGTCAGCTCAAAATAGGTATAATCTTCAGGGATAGGGGAAAACCTACTTTTAAGCTTCACATTGTGTTGACTTTGAGTTGAATTGTTCATATTCAACTTTCTGGAAGACCAAGTTTGGGCAGGGTAGAATATAAGCAATGAAAAACTAAAGACAGGAAGTGTGTTTTGGGTTTGACTGTCCAGAAACAGATTCTGAGATGAGGATTCATTTGCAGGTAACTTAGGAAAGGAAAGCTGGGAAGGAAGGTGAAAATTAGACCGGGAAGAGTTGGAAGCCAAGCAAGGGCATGATCTCAGGCACAGACCTGTGGAAGTTGACTTCAGCCTGATCCCACAGGGAAACTGGAGTGTAAGTTAAACCTCAGAAGTGTCCTGACCTGAAGTAAGGGAGTTGAGTTTCCAAAAAAATTCACTCGAATCTCAATAGTTAAAAGTTTCCAGTAGAACATAATTTCCTAGGAACTTCTGGATTTTTGTAAATGTGGTCAGAGTAGCACAAAGCTCAAGTAGCACAAAGGTGGTCCCCTAAAAAAAAATCATAGGCTCCAAGGGACACACAAAAATAAGAAAGGGATCTGCAGGAAGCTGAGTGGGCTACTAAAATGGTCCCTCCATGAAGGGATTAGTCCTGCAATGGACCCAGGTTAAGTCAGATTCCAAAGTCTCATTCAGGCCCATGAAATCAGTATTTTGGGGGGTGGAGCCCACTACAAAATCAGTATTTCTCGGGATTGAATCCCAGAAACCTGCAACTGTTCAGGTTTGTTTGTTCAGCTCTGGATGATTCTAATACCTTCTAATGGTGGAGGACCACCGTTCTAAATGTTGCAATGGGCTGAGGATTAAATCACTGTTTAGAAACAGAAAGCTGGGGGCAAAGGTGATCAGAAGGATAGCTCTTGAAGTAGGAAGAGAGAGTAGTATGTGAGGCTGAAAATAATGCAGGCTCTGCAGCCAAAACCTCTTCCATTCCTATCCTGGCCCTGTGATTCTGTGATTTGGAGAACTCCACCTGACTCCTTAGAGGCTTAGTTTCTATGTTGATATGAATCATAGAGTCATATACTTAATTCTTAGGTCATACACTTAATTCACGGAGCTCTGAAGAGTTCACTTATTCATTTGACAGATATTTATTGAGCACCTATGCATTTCACCAGCAATTTTCCTGGGTCCTGAGGACATAGGGATGAGGACGAATAAGGCGGATAGGATTCCTGCTTACTTGGAGCTCAGGGGCTAGGCTGTCACATACCCTGTGAAATCAAATTCCCACTTTCTTCTCAGGCTCTCTTAACATCCTCTCTCCATCTCCACCTGTGGCTTTTCCACATTCCTAATTTCCTCCAGATCTGTAGGGCATAAGGACACATGCAAAATGGTCAGAGATGTTACAATAAGGTTTTTGAAAAATGCTTCTATAGAAAACCTACCGGTATAAGAAATAGAATAACGCAAGACAGAGATAATTGTCTCAGAATGAAGAAGGTGTTTTGGAGAGTCCGATTGCATGCAAAAAGTTAAAGGTGCTAAGAAGTCTGGTATCTAAAAAAACAAAAAAAGGATAGAAGTTACCCAGATTTGTCAAAAGATATTTTATATTACAGTGGAAAAGACCTTGAAATAAATGTAATTCATTTATTCTTGATTTTTGAATTTTACAGCCCAGTTGTCAGCCTCCCTGTTCCTTGGGATTGGGATAAGATGGCCTCAAATATCCATTTCTGTGGCCTTCTCCAGGATCTCCCTGAGTTTTCATAATTTTTCTGATCTCTAATATGCAATCCTTGTTTTGAGCCACACTGATTTAGGTGTCAGATATAGCCTCTTCACATCTTTCTACCAAACAAAATCAACTGACGTACAAACCAAAACAACCACAAGGAAAACACAGCCATGTGCTTCAATCAAACTCAGAATGGAGGAAGGGTTTCCATCACAGGAACAAACTAATTTAAAGGGATAAGAAGATACCCATTTTCCAAATGATTTGTACACATTGCACATCTTCACTAGCTGTGGATCCACTGGACTGTCTCTTCTTTCCTCCTATACTTTTTCTTCTCTCTCTTTCTTCTCTAGTTTGTCTTCTTCCCTCCTCAGTGTTGTGGGAGGGAAGTCAGTACATTTTTCTTTTATCCCAAGCAAGACAACCCCCGTCCTTTAAGGAGCTGTCTGGACCTAAGAGGGACTTATCATGGTTTTCTCATACAAAGATAGCCCTTCCCTCGGGGGAATTTTGACTTCAACTGGCTGGATAATGCAGTTGTTTCCATCTCATTATGATCCTTTGAATACAGTTGACACTAATGGGTCCCCTTGGTTATGGTTTACATTGCCACCCCTAAAAACTACTTTGGAATTTGCTTGATCTCTTGGGACAGGTTTTCTTGTTATCAAATGCAACCTTTCCCAATTCTGGGGCTTTTTTGGAACATAAAGTCACATGTGCATGGGTACTTTGCATACTCCCAAGAACCAGATGAGAAAGCAAATTGCTCATCAATTTTTTGAATGTGGGCCATTTATTAGGATTCATTTCTTTGAGGATGATAGCCTAGCTCCTAGCATAACCTCCTCTCCATAAGTTTACTTGATTCTTCACCCATTTCTTAACAAAATGAATTGCTCCATTTTCAGGGCTTCTAGACTTTTAGATACTTCTCCAGAGTAACATGTTCTCCCTGGCTTGTTGTTTAATGCAGGTGGAGAGTTTCTTGAGATACTCCATTTTGTCTTCTTTTCTTTTTTTTATTATTCTAGGAAACCAGGATGAATGACAAGGTAATTTTAGCCTCTCTTCCTGCTGAAAGGACAACCAAGTCCACACTCTTGGAGGTGCAAGCTCCCCATTATTCTGGGGAGAACTGGAAATGGAGGGTTATTGAGACTGGCTTGATAGAAAGTAACTCCTTTTGGAGCCAAGTTCCAGGAGTTGTGGCTTTTTGTAGCTGCAGAGCTGAAAGATGGCATGACCTCTGTTGGCAGTAACAGGTGCCTGCCTGCTTAGTGGACAGCTGCTAGTTTAGCCTGTTCAGTATCTACTCCCTCTGCTTCCGGGAACAGAATTTCTCCCCTAATTCTATGGAGAACCACCTCTCCCCTATTTTAAGTCAATGAATTTTTCCAGGGGTTGACTCTCCTGTCACTTTCAAGGCTAGGTATGTGACCATGTGGCCAATCAGATCATATTTCATACTTCTTGCCTCAGTTCAGGGATGGGTGTGGGACTGAAGCCAGATTAATGAGGCTCAGTTTCTCACACTAAGAAAATTCTACTCATCTTTTAAGACCAGGAACTGTAGCTGCTCCCCACTTTCTGCTCTCTCAGAGCTACCCCATCACGGAACACATCATGTGGGATTGTGGCTCTCCTTTTTTATCTGCCTTCCTCTGGGGCTGTGAAGTGTAGGCGCAAAGACTGTTTTCAACTCACTGCCAGCACATAATGGGGAAATTGGCCCATGGTAGGTGCTTAGTCAATCTTTATCAAATGGGGAGGGTGTTGAGGGAGGAGGGTTCAATCTTGGCAGCTGGGAGGGTCAGGTTGAGTAAGGACAGGGCTGAGGGCTCTGGGTTTTGGCAAGATCATGCTTCAGATCTGATCTCCAAAGAACCTTATTAAGAAAACAGCAAAACTGAGAATTGCAGTGATGTCTCCAGCAGACCTCCCAGTCCCCATTAATGACTCCTATAATAGCTTTTCATTGCCTCCTCATTCCTTAAGAAAGTCTCACATTGTCATCCAGGCCTGTTAAACGTTCTGTGGGCCCATTATCAAAATAGCATTTTCAGCTTCACTGAACACATGTAGGAAATGTTGTCGTGTTTAAAGAAAAAAAAAACACAACTCTGAGAATAAGCACAGATTGTATTGGGGTAATTATCTCCTTTCCAACAGCCTTTTGGAAAAAGAGGATATTTCTAATTTTTGGAAAGCCAAGCCGTACATCTAAAAGGGTAAGTTGTCACTGATTAGATTAGTAACTCAACAATTGAAACCTGACATCAAATTGATTTCTCCCCCTCCACCTCCCACCCGCCTCTCCGCCAACCCTTTCTTCCTCGTAATAAAGACAAATTACACACAGATTTCTGATGGATGCCTGGTGTGAGGGTCATTTTCTGACTGCGTTTCTGTGGGAGTATAAAGCAGGTCTGTAAATTTAAGTGGAGAATGGCTCCCACACTTATGATGGTGACGCTGGGCTTCAGATGAGCATCACCCTGGGTCAAAGGCTTGGCTCAGAGTCATGCATGTGCTGCCCACAGAGAGGGGAGCTCAGGGACTGAAAATGCACAGCAGAAGAATCAAGGTCTTAGGTTGTCATCAGCCGTTTTATGACCACTGTCTCCAGTTCTCAGAGTGATGCCTTAACAGTGTCTCTGCAGTCCAGAGGAGCTGAAGTGCAGGCCCAGCTCTGCCATTTATCAGCAGTGCAGCCTCCATATTGTGCTTTTCAAGCCTGAGTGTCCTCGCCTGTTAGAACCTGAATGGCAGCTCCAGCCTTATAGGTTAGTAGGAAAGAACAAAGTCATTGATGAATGTGAACATGTGTAGTGGATGATCAGGAAGGGCCACCTTCTTTTCAGGCCATTATTTGCCCTTCTCCCCACCCTTCCATTTCATCTAAAGTGGAAGACCCTGTCTGGATGGCTCCAGATCTCCAGGTCACAGAGGAAGTTGGGACACATCACAGAATAAAAAGCAGATTCCTGTTAAGTACACAGAGGAGGGCATGAGCAGCTCAGCTTTGTGGAGCCCAGGAAGACTTCTTGGAGAAAGTGGCAAGTAAGCTGCACCAGGGAGGAAGGGGAGACATTTCGTAAATGATAAAGGAGGAGAGGGCTCCTGGGCAGAGAGCTGAAGTGGCCTTTCAAGAGCACATAGGGAAAAGACAGTCGCCCTCAGTCCCCAAGGTGGATCATGCCATATCCCATGACAAGGGCTTGTGGGTTAGTGGTTCTCAGACTTCATGGATCTCAAGGACTTGTGAATTGTCCAGTGAGTTTGTTAAAAACATAGCTTCCTGAATCATCAGGAATACAAATCAAAACTACAGTGAGATACCACCTCACACCTGTTCAAGTGGCTATTATCAAAAAGGCAAGAGGTAACAAGTTTTAACAAGGATGTGGAGAAAAGAGAGTCCTTGCATACTATTGGTGGGAATGTAGATTGGTACAGCTGTCATGGAAAACAATATGGAGGTTCCTAAAAAAATTAGAAATAGAACTATCATATAACCCAGCAATCCTTCTTGTGGGTATACACCCAAATAAAATAAATAAAATCAGCACCTTGTAAAGATATCTGTGCCCCCATGTTCCCTGCAGCATTATTCACAATAGCTAAGATAGAGAAACAACCTAAGTGCCCATTAATGGATGAATGAGTAAAGACATTGTGAATATATATAAAATATGTATACCCCAAATACACAGAAATATTATTCAGCCATTAAAAAGGAAATCGTGCCATTTGCAAGAACATGGATGAAACTAGTGGACATTGTGCTTAAGTGAAATAAGCCAGATAAAGAAAGAAAAAATTACATGATCTTACTTATATGTGGAATCTTAAAACAACAACAACATCAACAACAACAACAAAACATTCAAATAGAAACAGAGAGTAGACCAGTGGCTGCTAAGGGCTGGGAGTGGTGTGGAATGTGGAGATGGTGGTCACAGAGTAGAGTTTTAGTTATGCAGGATAAGTAAGTGTAGAGATATAATGTATAGCATAAGGACACTATAGTCAATATTATATTATAGATTGGACATTTCCTAGGAGAGTAGATTTTAGGTTTTTAAAAAATAACTGCAGGATGATGGATATGTTGATTCACTTGACTGTAGAAACAATTTCACTCTGTATATGTATATCAAATATTATGTTGTACACCTTAAATATATATCATAAAAAAAGCATCCTGGCGCAGGGCCCAGGAATCTTTGTTTGCACCAGCTCCTAGGTCACACTGTACAGGTGATCAGAGGAAGAAAAGAGACACAGGGATACAGGTGATGGGAGTGAGTGCAGGGAAAGGGCTCAAAAAGTGTCCTCTCCGAGGCAGGGAAGCAGAGTCTGGAGTCTCAGGGTCTTACTAGACCATGGGCCCTGCATTAGCAGATGTGAGGAGCAAATGGGAACACCAGAGTGATTATTACAACTTTGTTAGGAGTCACCATGGGCTGGGTAGAAGGGGCAGGTTCAGTTACAAGGGTTTCATTTAAGAGACACATGCTGGAGGGAATAGGGAAGGTCGGAATGGGAGGTACAAGCAGGAATCACCAGGAGAAACTTCTCTCTTGAAACCTCCATCCAGGGTGGACTGGAGATGGTGAGGCTGAAGGCAGGGAGGCCAGAGAGGGACTGGGACACTAGCCCAGGTAAAAGACACTGAACCCTGAGCTAGGGCACAGGGCAAAGGCAAGGGCAGAAAGAATCAGACGGGAAATGTCTTGAAGATGGAGAGGACAGCACTTAGTGATGGCCTTGGAGGCTTCTGAGGGGGGCCTACCCTGGAACTCATCTTCTCTTCAGTGTGGCTTGAGAGGTCTTTGGTGGGATGATATGGACACTAAAGTCACAGCTTGGGGTATAGAAAAAAAAAAAAGTCTTCTGGAGAGGAGAATGAGCCTGCTCTCTCACTGGTAGCCAAGGTTGAGAAGTGAATCCTCAGCCTCTGGGCACTGCAGCCCCCTACAGCTCTGCAGGAGGCTGGGGCTCAGGTTTACAGGCTCATCCCCACAATAGAGCCTCTGCAGCCCAGACCTGACCTTTCCTTCAAAGGCCAACACATAGGCAAAGCACAATTCTGTTGCTTCTTGACCATATAACCTTGAGCAAGTTGTTACCTATCTCTGAGCAACAATTTTCCCATCTGTTAGGTGGTCATCACAATGGACTATGGATTAGCTGGCTGTTTCATGAGGCTGCTGGAGTGAAAGCATTGTCTGTGCAGGTGAGAGTAGGAATCATTACGTTTCTTCCAGGGCAAGCTTCTCTAGGTCCTGGGAAGCAAGAGTCCCTTTAATTCACAGGGGTGGGCTCTTCTGTTGGCCAGCAAGGTGATGATACTGCCTGTAGATGGGAAATATACTAACTGGGATAATCCACTGCAAATTTCTGGTAATTTACAGCATGAGCAATGTTGAAGAAGCTTAAAAGCTGAAAGAGCAGTGTTCTGGGTGTGCGTCTGCACTGATGTGTGGTGTGTGGTGTGTGTGAAGTCACAGTGAATAGTAATTGGCCGCTTTGGAGTGTTTTCCACCCTGGATGACAACCAAGGAGGTGGGGGCTGCCAGTCAATATCAGAGACAGCCCACAAACGTCTGCCACTGTCTCAGAGTGAGCACAAGCCCACACCCAGCCCTGCCAAGTCGGCTCATCAGCTGGCAATGATTGTGAGTAACACCAAGGGGGTGAGCACTGTCAGAGACCAGGGAGAAGGGGGAGTGTGAGCCAGACAGAGCTGCAGAGACTGTAAGGGTCTGGGCAGCCTCAGGAGCCTTATTAAGGATTTGGCTGTTTATTCCAAGCACAGTGGGAATTCATCGTTTTCAGCAAGGGGGTTATACGATTAATTGTGTGTTTCATAAAGCTCACACAGGCTGCTGTATGGAGAATGGCTTCAACAAGGTAATCCACGTTAAGGGCTTTGCTCCAGCCTGGGCTATAGTAAGTGCTCAGGAAACATTATTCAGTCACTGTTATTAATCTGACAGTTGCCAAGCGCCTGGTGGGAATGAATGGTAGCTCAGCAAATGGGCCTTGGGCACTTCCCTTCTCCAACAAAGCATTGGGGTGGTTCCAGGCTCAATGTGCCAAGCTCAGCTTAACCTGGCAGGCTTCCATGTGTAGCTGCGGATACTCAAAGGTGGGGCCCAGCCTGGCCTGTGATAGGAGCAAGTAGAAGCTTCCAGTGTGGAGTTCCAATGATTGTTCCTGAGCAGCAAGGATAGTAGTGTTGGCAGAAAGCCCCAGCAAGGAGAACTGTGCCCCATGGAGGGTGGAGGGGGATTCTTGCTTGTTGGATTTGTCCTAGGATCCCCAGTCCACAGCCCACCTACTGATCTGGGCCACTTGACTGCCTATGCTGCTGGGTTCCCAGGGGAATCTTCTCAGGTTCTCAGACCTGAAGAAGGAGAGACAGGGATACCACACAGGGACAAACTAGGCCCTCCCAGGGCAGGAGCTCAGCCAGGATTATAGGCCTCTTGAGTTGATTAGAAACTCCAGTGGGGAAATGGATGTGACCCAGCATTGTGACATCTCTGGATTCTCTCTGATCTTCCTTTAGGAATGTGAATAGCAGGCAGCCTGCAACTGCGGCAGCCACCTCGCAGATTTTTTTCTATCCAAGAGCACTGCAGGAGGGGCTAGGAGACCAGAATACCAGCAGCAGTGCTGCAGGCCCCTTCTATTCTCCTTTCTCTCCTCGATGCTGATGGATCCCATGTCTTATCCCTATAAGAGTTCTCTGTCCAATATGGCAGCCACCAGGCTCACGTGCCTATGAGAACTTGAAATGTGGCTTAATTTGAAACATGCTCTAAGTATGAAGCACACTCTGAATTTCAAAGCACAAAATAATGTTAATTACATCATGATTTGATTTTTGTATTGGTTACATGTTGAAATGACAATATTTTGAATACAATGGGTTAAATAAAATATATTATTAAACTTGAGGTTACCTGTTTCTATTTGCAATTTTTTAAATGTGTCCACTAGGAAATGTAAACGTGCATGTTTAGCTGGCATTATATTTCTATTGGATAGAGTTTATCTAGCTTTAATTAGGTGAAAATGGTTCAATAGTACAAAGAAAAACATGATGCTTTTAATTTCCTCTGAGGTATAAATAGATGAGAAGGACACAATAAATCCCAGTGACTGTAAGATGGTCACAGGAATATACAGAGCCTTGAGGAGACAGAGTGGAAATAAGTACCAGCCTTGACATCAGAGCATCATGAGTTCATAACCCAGCCCTGCTACTTCTTCCTGTGTGATTATAGACATGTCACTTAGCCTCTCTGTGTCAGGTTAGGCTCCTTTGAGCAAAATGAAGGTAGGAATATACACCTCATAGAGTTGTCAGGAGGAGATTAAATGAAAGAACATGCTTAAGTGTCCTAGATGGAGCTCTTGACACTCAAAGAGAAGGCATCAATATTCTTTAGTTTTTCCCAACGATATGTGAGAAGACCATCCCATTTGATATTTCAGAACTGAGAGATTTCTTCTGAAAACAAGGCTGATGGTCCTTCGGGTTCTTTAAATTCATGCATTGATTCATTGACTCATTGATTCATTCATTCATTCAATAACTATTCTTTGAGATGGTTAGAGAGGAAAATGAGGTGGGTGAGGTCCCTGACATCATGGATAAGGATCACTCTTATAACCCGGGGTGGTGTTTGTGTGTATGAAGGGGCTGGAGGTGGAGGATGTGCTTTGTTGGCAAATGCAAGGAGATCTTTGTCCCATCCTGGCAGATCTCTCAGCTCCCCTTTCAGCTCAGCCAGGCTCTTCCATCCACAATGGAAGCAGCCGAACCCCTCCCCAACCCACTCACTCAGAAGCGGTCCTCTTGCCCAGGTCCGTGAGGCTCAGTGTTGTAATTTCCATAAAGCCAGGCTGAAGGCAGCCCATTAGCGAGAGCTGCCTCCCCATCACCCTCATTCTGTCCCCAGCTCTTGAAACCCTCTTAATGCTGTGCTGGGCACTCCCCGGGGATTTCTGTCAATTCATGATGATCCCCAAGCGATGAGGGCCTCTTGTCTGGCAGTTCACCTTCCTGCTGAGAAATTCTGAGCTTCAGGAGAACACAAAGACAAGAGAAAGCAGATGATGAGGTTCTGCTAAAATGCACAGGGTGTCTTGGCTTGGGGATTCTTTGAGCACAGACAGAAGTGTGGCTGGGTGTGAATATTAGAGTGGGGGCCACAAAGCCCACGTTCATCCTCATGATACTTTGTGTTGAAAATGCTGCATGTACTATCTCTTTGAATTCCCCAAAGCCCTTTTGGGTAGATCCCATATCATCTGTATCTCACCTGACTCACTCAAAATCTCACATACGAACAGTGATAGAGCTTTGTTTTAAACTCAAGTCTGTCTTAGTCAAGAACCCTGTAGCATAACTCATACCCTATACCCTACATGTAGAAGCAGAAGTTTGCTAAGAATATTCTCTTTCATTATCTGACTGTTTCATTTGTCAAAGACACAGGCTCACAGGCTGAAATGAAAGTTCAGGGGATAATATCTGAGTCCTTTTGTGCCCACTCAACCCACATCACTGTGGGTGAATTTCTTTCTTCTCTGCTCTTTGTTCATACTGGATGGATCGATCCACAAGGTCAGTCTCTGGGGTACAGGATATGTACACAACAGAGCTATTTGTGTTGCTTTCCAGCTTCAAACTATATAAGAAGAAGGAACGCCTTACAGAGTTCATTCTTGTTCAGTGCAGTTGTTGGGAGAATTAAATTTAAAAATATTTGGGCCTGGCTTATACCAGTGCACCAATTAATAACACAATAACTTTCAAAGAGATGATATATGCAAAATGTTCTCACAGAATGCCCAGTTATAGCAGGTGCTCAGTAAATTCGCAGGAAGGATAGGCTGTTATCAGCTAGTGTCACCTCAGCAAGAAGGAGATCTGTAGTTCTTAATCTTGAGTGTGTAGTAGAGTCAATGAGGGGTCTTGTGGAAATGTAGACTCCTTTTTTACTCCTTCCTCCCCATTCTGATTCAGAAAATCATGGGTGGGGCATTGGCCACTGCATTTGTAATAAGCTGTCTAAGAGATTCTGATATGGGTGTTCCCTTTGGGTTATTCTTTGAAATTCGCTGAACTGGGTTGGTGGATTATATGGCAGTTAGACCAGAGATTAGTAGACACAGGCTAAGTAACTCATATTGGGGGAGGTAACCAGTGTGAGGAGCATAAGCCTGGATCATGGGATGGAGCATAGAGGGTATTCCAAGAAATGGAGTGTGGGTAAAGGGAAGGTTGGTCGCAGGAGTGGGAAGAAGGCACTTCAAGGGGGAATTGGTGGTGGTAGAATGCACACACCTCTGAGATTTCATGTTTTTCTGCTTGGGCGTCCCTGTGCCTTGCGTATACTATCTCACCGCTCTGCTGAAATAAATTGTAAGGGTCAATTCAGCTGTGACCTCTGCTAGCAATCCTGCTATCAGTCCCTAAGGTACTTTAGTTACTCCACATTTTCAGCACAAGACGATCTCTTTCATTTCTGTATCCTCAATGACCAAAACAGGGGTGGCATATAGAAGGAGCTTAATCAGTGGTGGTGATTAAATGGTTTATCGCTTTTCCAGAATACCTACCAGAAGCTTTGAGGAATTAAGCTTTACCAAACTGATTTACTGATTGATTGATTTTGGGGTGCAAAGTTGCTTAGGGAATTCCACTCTTATTGTGATTCCTTGATTTTGTAGATTTGGAACTGGGGGTCAATACATGGGCTCTGGGGCAAGGGCTGAAGTGCTCCTGTCCAAGGCGAAATTTTATGAGCACGGGCCAACAGGGAAAGCAGAGAAAGAAAGAATGGGAAGACTAGCCAGTGTGAAGAAAGGAAAAAAGGAAGAAAGAAAAAGATAGGAAGAAAGATCGAAGGGGAATGGGAGAGTGGGGAGGAGAGAGAGGATATTGATACTACTATTCTTTATTCTGTGTCTAAAGCTTTATTTTCATAACATAATGAGAGCAGCCACTGCTCGTAAAAATAAGTGGATCAAGACCCAGAATGTTAGGTTACTTTTCTAATACTGGACCTTCCATTAAGAGGCAGAGTCAGAATTTGAATCTAACTCTTTTGACTCAAAGGCTGGTTCTCTGTCCCCCACACCACCATGGAAAGCAAAGTGAGTAGCATATTTTGTTTGTTGTGAATTTCTCATGTAGCCATGTCATTCATCACCAGTCATTCGCAGCATCTTTGTTTGTTTGTTTGTTTTTGCCATTGAATCTAAGTAGGACCTTGGACTCGTTCTCAACACCACGATCCTGGAACATACACATTCCTATGAGATTTAGCATTTAAGATCAGACCTGCTTATTACTCTGTCCAAGACTGGCCTGTTCCAGGGCTCTAGGGAATTTACTTTCAGTGGTTATTTCAACTGAACACCCTGGGATTCTGACTGTACTTACTAGGGGATTAAAGAAAAAACAACAACTATAGTGTTGAACAGTGTCTGATTCTCTAAATCCTATTATGAGGAAAAAGGAGGTAAGCTATATTGGCAGGGGGAACTGTCAATGGTATTAATAAAACATAAATAATAGTACCGCTATTATTTATTGAATGCTTACTATGAGCCAAAGACTTAAGTAGGTGCAAACATGAATTCATTTGCACCTTATAATAACTTTATGAGGTTTATGGATGAGGAAACTGAGGTATAGAGAGGGTCACCTTGCCTCAGGTCATACACCTAGAAAAGGTAATGCCAGAATTCTAAATCAGGTTCCAGAGCTGAGGTCTTCAGTGGAAAACCATGCCATGTACAGGTTTTGAAGGAATTAGCATTTTTAGCTACCTCAGATATGCTTAAGTCAGTTTCTGTTGGTCATTTCCCCTCCACCTCCACCCATAAGAGGTCAGGGAGTTATAGGATGGGGTGGAGGTCCCAATCCAGGCACCCCGGTGGTTTATTCAGAAGTTAGTCACTATTTTATTTCAGCCCTGGCCACTCCCTGCCCTGCTGTCATGGGTGAGAAGCCTTGTAACTGGACTCCGTGGAGAGGAAGTTGGCACATGCAGGAAATGAGTGGGCAGTGGATCTCCGGGGACCCCAGGATGGGTGATTTTAGGTTTCTGTCATCCCTTCCTTCTGATTCCACTGTAGGGTGAAGGGAAAATGAATTGGCATTGAGTGTCTCCCTCCAGGGGCCCTGCAGGGCAGTTTCTCCTTAGGTGGAGTCTCCCATCAGCTCTGTGGAGTGGTCTGGACAATATCTTCAGCCTTAATGGGAGTAAGTTGAGGTGTAAGGAGACAGCAAGGATGCAAACTTATTTTTGTTTGACTCATATTGAGTCTCTACATGGACAACGTGGGCCTTAGCATCAATGATGAAAAACCAGTGGGGAATCAATTAACAGAGACCATGAAGGCCAATGTGTTTCAAGAAATAATTTTGGAGCTCAGAGCCAATTTTGGAGGGAACTTTCTGGGACCTCTGTTTCTTCACTTTTCCTGTTGGCTTGTAGCAAGGGTTAAATGCAATTGCATGTACATAAAACTTTGCATAAAACCTTTCTCCCACTTTCTGCCATAATCAGGTCTATTGTGAAATCACAAAATCTTTATTTCTCTAGTAATATAGTTTTTCATAAAGATATATGTGGGGCAGAAACTTGGTTGGCATGGCTGCCAATATAGGATAACACAAATATATTTATAAGCCCTTACTTTTTGTTCATGAAGAAGGTAGCTTTCTACAATACAATGAATGCCCAAGAGTTAATTTTTACTTGTCTTGGATGATTTCCTATATTGCCTAAAACAGAGCAGCATTACAAGTGGTCTTCTGACTGGAACACACATTGCTCTGGATAAGCAATTATCCTCTTTCCACAGGGCTTATGTAGACCCTTGATACCCAAGCTGTGGTAAGGGGACCAACATCAGCATCATCATGTAGGATCCTGTTAGAAATGTAGACTCTCAAATCCCATCCAGAACCTGCTGAATCAGACTCTGCATTTTAACGAGATCCCCAGGTGATCTGATGTACGTTATAGTTTGGGACATGTTGAGGCAGACGACTTTTTCTGAATCCTTAGTCTCGAGTGAATGTTTTTTATTTAAAATTAGATGATAGGCCTATCAGGAAACCACTTTCCAGTACAAGATTACAGAGTTTAGGGACTGATCACACTGATTGACAAAGGTTTGAAGGACAGAGGAACTTCCAACTTCCATTGCTGTGACTTTCAACCTATTTTTATTTGCTACATTAGAAACTTGGCCAGATGTTTCCTGGGCAGAAGGGGGCTTTCTCTAAGATGGAAGAAAAATATCTTCACCCCAGGAATGTGGATTAGTCCGTTATTATTATTATTATCATCATCATTATTAGCACAGCAGTTCCTAACTTCGATGAAGGGCAATCAGTTTGGGCTCAGATTTTGAGTATTAACTAGTCTCTTTCATGTGACCAAAAGGCCACAGAAGGAAAAGAGGAGAATTGGCCTCTGATATGGGTGGAAGGCTGGCAGACTGGAGAAGAAGGGGAATCTAGAGGCCAAAGTCCAAATGACAGAGACTCAGAGTAGACAAGAGGTAGAGAGGGAAGTGTTTGTCTGGGGAAGTGCTGGGGGAAAAGGCTGACACAGAGACCTCTGGAGAATAGGGTGTTTTTGGTGGCAAGCAGTTGTATTGGGTTAGACTTCCAGTCTTCTGAGCTCTGGTTTTCATTATGAGTGGACACTTAGATCACCTACTCCCAGGGCCTTCACTCAAGAGGGAGTATGGCTGCCTTCTCCAGGTACCCTCTCCAGCCGGCGGGAACAATGCCAAATCCATGCCATGGGTTCTTCCCTCCATAGGACCTCAGCTTACAGCTCTACAGAGGGTAAAACTTTGTGGTCCCAAAAGATATGTTCAAATCTTAACCTATGGCACCTGTGAAAATGACTTAATTAGGAAATAGGGTCTTTGCAGATGTATTCAAGTTCAGAGGACATCATACTGGACTAGAGTGAACCCTAATCCAATGACTGGTATCCTTACAAGAAGAGGTGATTTGGACACAGAGATCTGCAGGGAGAAGAATGCATGACAATGGAGACAGAGGTTGGAGTGATGTGGTTGCAAACCAAGGAATACCAAGGATTGCTGCCCCTATTAGAAACTAGGGAAAGAATAGGTACAAAAACAGTTAGAATAAATAAGATCTAATATCTGATAGCACAACAGCGTAACTATAGACACTAATAACTTAATTGTACATTTTAAAGTAAGTAAAAGAGTATAATTGAATTGTTTGTAACACAAAGGATAAATGTTTGAGGTGATGGATACTCCATTTTTCATGATGTGATTATTACGCATTGCATGCCTGTGTGAAAACATCTCAGACACCCCATAAATATATATACCTACTCAATATCCACAAAAATTAGAAATAAAAAATTAAAAAAAAAAATGAAGCTAGAAAAAGACAAGGAAGGATCTTTCTGGAGAACCTTTAGTGAAAGCATTGTCCTGCCCACACCTTGATTTTGGACTTCAGGGGACCTCTGAATACATAGCAAATGGTGGCAAATGCCCCCATGTCTATATTGTGGGAGGGGGTGTTAAATGGAGGACCCTCCAGTGCTCAGAGGCATTACCCCGATAGGGCGGCTACATGGTTGGTTGGTGGTGATATGGGACCCTGACCACAAAGCAGAATTTTTTTTTTTTTAGTTGAGATGGAGACTCGCTGTGTCGCCCAGGCTGGAGTGCAGTGGTGCAATCTTGGCTCACTGCAATCTCTGCCTCCTGGGTTCAAGTGATTCTCCTGCCTCAGCCTCCCGAGTAGCTGGGACTACAGGCACATGCCACCACGCCTGGCTAATTTTTTGTATTTTACTAGAGACGGGATTTCACCATGTTGGTCAGGATGGTCTCGATCTTCTGGCCTTATGATCCTCCCACCTCAGCCTCCCAAAATGCTAGGATTACAGGCATGAGTCACCATGCCCGGCCCAAAGCAGATATTTAATTTAACCAGTTCTTGTGTTTGATCTCTCCACCTCATTATTTCATATATCTAATCTTGCGCGTATCTCACAAAGCTCATTGCAATTATTTGTTATTTTAAAAGCTCAGTCTCTTTCTCTAAGGCTTTGGTCATCTCTGTAACTGGTCAAAGGAAGGACCCTCTGGGGGCAAAAGTTACTTTTGATTTTCCAGCAATTTCCCCTATTCATGATTTTGCAATTGCAGAATGCAGCTTGCTGTACATTTGCATAAGCCACTTCATCCTTTTTCTTTCAGGCTCTTTAAGCTACCCAGCACCCTCCACACATGAGTCACACACAGCAGTGGCCCTTAGGGTTGAGGTGCCTTCTGCAGCTCCCACACCCTCGCTGACAGACCTCTCTTTCCTCTCTGGAGCTGTGCTTCATTTGCTGCTGGGCGAAACTCAGTCTTGCTGCAAATTTGGCGCCTGCCTGTGTGTGTGTAATTGGGTTGGATTTACATTAAGAGGGTTCCCTGTGGTGAAAACCACACTGCTATTTCCAATCTGAAGCTGCATAAAACATTCAATTTTCTAAGTATCCGTCAGCTGTTAGCACTGTGGAAAACGTAGTCTGCCTGGATGGATGGGAGGCTCCCACTCAGTCCTGTAAACCCTCCGATTATTTGTGCTAACAGAGGGGATAATATTATATGGTTGTGGATAATGAAGCGTTATTCATCTAAGCATCCACTCATTCATTCAAGGAACACATTTGAGAAACTGGTGTGTGCCAGGCACTGTTCTGAGTGTCTAATCAGATCACATCTCTCCTCAGTTAAAAGCCCTTCAAACTGACTTCTTGTTGCATAATCTAAACCAAGGGCCAGCAAACTTCTTTTTTTTTGTAAAGGGCATGATAGAACATAGTTTAGGTTTTGTGGGCAATGAGGTATCTGTAGCAACTATTCAATTCTGACATGGCACCTTGAAAGCAGCCATAGACAATGTGCCTATGAATGAGTGTGGCTGTGTTCTAATAAAACACTATTTACAAAAATAGGCACTATTTATAAAAACAGCCACCGTTTGCTGACACCTAGTCTAAACACCTGATTTTGTTCTGCTGAGCTCTGTGACCTACTCCTTGTCTCATTCCTTGTGTTTACCAGACGTGGCTCTCCCTGCCATTTGCTTCCCTCTGATACAGAAACTTCTTTTCAGCTCAAAAACCCACCAAGCTCTTCTCTGACTCAGGATCTTTGTGTATGCTATTCCCTCTGCCTGAAGGAATTCTCTTTTCCTGACTTTCGGGAAAGATGGTTCATCTTCATTCCTCATGTCATCCATGTGTCTTATGCGATGGCCTCCATGAATGGAGCCTCTTTTGAAAGCTGGTCCTGCCTAAAGTGACTTCCTCCAGTTTCTCTCATCTCAGCCTGTTGGTTTCTGTCCTTGTAAGGACATGTTACAGACATTAATTATCTTTTAATTTACTTATATTTTGGCTTTGTTTTTTGTCTCCCACAAAGGAAGGCTTTAAGTCCTCAGAGGGCAGCTTCTTTTTTGTCCCATTCTCTCTCCTCAATTGTATACCTTGGCACTGCACTTAGTGTGCAAGGGTCTCTCAATTTATTTAAAAAGCAATATTTAAAACTTTTATTAAAATGTTATTTAGTCAGTAACAGACAGCCCCCAACTTCATGGAGCTTGCAGTCAAGTAGGGTGGTCAGACAGACAAAAAATCATCACAATGTCAAGAGGTGGCTCGTGCCTGTAATCCCAGCACTTTGGGAGGCCGAGGCAGGCAAATCATTTGAGGTCAGGAGTTCAAGACTAGCCTGGCCAACATGGTGAAACCCTGTCTCTACTTAAAAAAAAAAAATTGGTCTGGCATGGTGGTGTGCATCTGTAATCCCAGTTGCTTGGGAGGCTGAGGCAGGAGAATCACTTGAACTCAGGAGGCAGAGGTTGCAGTGAGCCGAGATTACACCACTGCACCCCAGCCTGGGTGACAGAGTGAGACTCCATCTCAAAAAAAAAAAAGAAAAAAAAATTGAGGAGGATTACGAGAGCTGCCTGCCCTACAGAGAAGAAAAAAATATTGAGCAAGAAGGCAGCCAGAGATGAGTAGCCTTACCACAGAGGAAGGATAATGTGAGAGTTCACAGGGACAGACACACAGAACTGTGAGGCAAGGCAGGTAGGCAATCAGTTGCAAGTTGTGCAGACAAATAAGAAAAGAAGGGGTCAGGCATGGTGGCTCATGCCTGTAATCCCAGCACTTCGGGAGGCCGAGGCGGGTAGATCACAAGGTCAGGAGATCGAGACCATCCTGACTAACACAGTGAAACCCCATCTCTACCAAAAATACAAAAAAATTAGCCAGGCTTGGTGGCAGGCGCCTGTAGTCCCAGCCACTCAGGAGGGTGAGGCAGGAGAATGGCATGAACCCAGGAGGCGGAGCTTGCAGTGAGCGGAGATCGCGCCACTGCACTCCAGCCTGGGCGACAGAGCAAGACTTCGTCTCAAAAAAAAAAAAAAAAGAAAATAAGGGAGAAGGTAACTGATACTTGGGGCAAACCTGATCCTAGGTGTCAGCTACTCTTTTAGGCACTTTTGCATACTTTCCTTACAACATAAATAGCCTGATTGTTCCTATTTTACAGATGTAGAAACTGAGAATCCAAGAGGGTAAGTGACCAGGCCAAGGACACACAATTACTAAGTCAGGATTCACACCTAAGTCTTCTTTGGTCTATTTCATGTTATCCCAGATGCGGGGGTAAGGAATAAAATATTTATCAGCTTGCAGTTTTCTTTTCTTTGGGAAGATGTTTCCTTCTCTTCAAAGTCTGCCCTAGATTTAATTATCTTCCTTTTCATGCTTCTAATAAGCTGTTGAAGCCCCTGGGGTTGCTATTTGCCTCTTCCAGATACCCCTTTCTTGGGCCTGGAAAGGCAGACTGCCTGTTAATGCTGAATGAGAGAAAGGAAAGGGTCCTTCAATGAGCATCTCATCAGCTGGATACCTGTGATTCCATTTAATCTTCACACTGCCAAGTCCGGACAAAATCTGCTGTCTCATTTTACAGAGGAGTTCACTATGGCTGCATAGTATTAATTGCCCACTGTCATCCAGCTACCAAGAACTGAACTTCTGATCCCCTGCCCTGTGGCTCCCACCAAGCCGCCCGGCCTCACAGAAGAGGCTCCACTCGGCACCCTGAAGGCTGGTCCAATTTCTAGCTGAGTGGGATGCAGGGCTCAGAGAGGGTGACAAGGGAGCTGGCTTCAGCTGGCCCTTCTGAGTGGTGCAGCTCCCTCCTAAGCTGAGACTCTGAGAGGGAAAATGAGAGAGCACCTGTCTAAGCAGGGACATCAAATTGCCTGAGGAGAAGCTATTAGATATATGAGGAAATTCTTAGTCGATTCTACCGGAAAAAAAAAGGGCTTAGCGTTTTTTCTTCCCCCAACTGAGTGTTCATATAAACCTTATAGGCAATGGAGATGAGAGGACGCTGCCTCTGAAAGCCAGCCCATCTCCTTCTCCCTAGGGGGATTGGGAATGATTTGATTCTGCCAGCTAACGTTGTTCGAGGCCGACTTCATCTCCCCCAGCACTCATCAGATCTGCTAATAGGCCCTTCAGAGCTCATAAAGAGATGACCAAATCTGGGGCTGGGGGGACTCCAGCTCATTTATCTTCCGCAGGCCGATCAGATCTGATTTTGTACGCTGACGGCTGGATGCTCAAGTGTGGTCTGGCCCACTTCTCAGACACCTGCTCAGCGTGGCTGGGCTTGAGGACTCGCAGGAGGGGCTAAGGTCATCTGACCTGCAAGGGTCTCACTGTCCTGACGTGGCAGACAGACACTTACTTGCCAGCCATATCGATCTGTGGATGAGAAAATAAAAGCATTTAGGCTTGGAAGGGAATGATGAAGCTGACTAATCGGAGTGTCAGTTACCACTTTGGGTACTTCAACTACTATAGAAGCTGTGAGTGCAGGCATGTGTACATACACACGATCCCTTTGCCCTTTGTAATGCCTCTGTCAATTATTTTGCAAACATATGCATGGAGAAGAATGTAAAGCAAACATGAAGTCACAGATGCATATAGATATCGCCCCCTCCCACCACAGAAACACTTACCAAACCTGTTTTTGCATTTTTAAAGAACTGATGACATTCTGATACCTTATAGACATATTATTTTTAGTTAAAAGTTGGGCTCATCTTTTTCATCAATAACTTTTATTCATCTAATTAGAAGAGACAGTTTGCACAACAATTAACTAGGAGATATTCATCAAAAAGATTTAACTCATATGTTTTTCAGTTAAATGAGATGAAGGTGATGATAGTAATAATCACCAGCATCTGAGTGATTATGGTGTACTAGATGCACAGCAATTATTTATTCCTCAAAAAAACTCTATAGGGCAGACACCATTCCTGGCACCATTTCACAGATAGAGAAACTGAGGCTTAGAGAATGTTCAAGTTGGCTATGGCTGTGTAACAAACAATCACACAACTTAATAGCAAAAAACATCCATTTTAGTAAGCTTACGGATTTGGAGAATCAGGAATTTGGGAAGGGCACAGAAGGACAGTTTTCCCCTGGTATGATGTCTGGTGCCTTGGCTGGAATTCCATGAATGGCTGGGATAACTTGAACAGCTGGGTTGGAAACAGTGGATCCATTTCTAAGATGCTTCTTTACTCCTGTGCTTAATGTCTGGGCTGGCATGGCTGAAGAACTAGTTCAGCTGGTGCTGCTGCTGAAGCACGTACCCATGACCACTCCAGCATGCTGGTCTCAGGATAGTCACCCTTCTTACTGGCCCAGGACTCCAAGTGTCATAGTTTGGCTCTGTGTCCCCACACAAATCTCATCTCAAATTGTAATCTCTTCGTGTCAAGGGAGAGATCCAGTGGGAGGTGACTGGATCATGGTGGTGGTTTTCCCCCATGCTGTTATTGTGATACTGTGTAAGGTCTCATGAGATCTGATGGTCTTATAAGGCAGTTTTCCCTGCTCTCCCTCCATCTCTATCCTGCCATCTTGTGAAGAAAGCACCTGCTTCCCCTTTGCTTTCCATCATGATTGTAAGGTTCCTGAGGCCTCCCCAGCCAAGCAAAACTGTGATTCAATTAAAACTCTTTTATTTATAAATTACCCAGTCTCAGGTATTTCTTTATAGAAGTATGAAAATGGACTAATACACCAAGTGTGAGTGTTCCCAGAGAACCAGGCAGAAGTTGCATGGCCTTTTATAATTGAGCCTTGGAAGAAGTCACATAGTGTCCCTTCTACTGAATTCTATGGGTTCAATCAGTTACAAGTCCACTTAGACTTGAGGGAAGGGAATATAATCTCCACCTCTGAATAAGAGAAGAGGAAAATATTTGGAATTATGTATTAAAACTGCATCAGAAAGGTTTATCTAACTTGCCAAGATTTCAGAGTTAGAAAGAGACAGCACAGATTTGCAGCAACATAATCTGACACCAGAGCCCACTCTCTTAGTGATTATGTGATACTTCAAGCAACACCTTGTTGGACATGCAGTGGATGCTGAATTTATGTGAGTCAAATATGATCCCAGTTTAATGTATGTTGTTAGTCTGTAAGCAGACAAAGACATGGACAAGGAACATTCTTTAGGGAGTGGCTGAGAGAGTGGTGAGAATCTGGAAGCTGGCTGTGAGAGGAAAGTGTCAGGGGTCTTTGCTTTCAGGAGGTTTTTTACTACTGGAATTAAAGCTGAGATGCCTTTGGATCATAGAGGAATTGAGGAGTTTTCTTTGTACCTAAGTCTTTGCCTTTACTCTGTGAAAACGTTTTTGCCCTTATAGTTGAAAATGCTCAGAGTGACCAGAGCCAGCCAGTTGGGTCAAAGAGTTTTGAGGCTCTGTTTTCACTTACATTAGGGAAATCCAGGAGACCTGAGGCTGGAGTTTGCCTAGAACTTATGTGGTTCTGTAGTGCCTGTGTCTGCAAGTACTCAACATGGAAGCAGCCTCAGGGATGGCCAAGGGAGTGAAGAGTGTACTCCCAGGACATCTGGGCTGGAATCAGTTTGTGGATTTGGCAATCTGCCTGCAAAATTGAAAGGTCTTTGGTGGGGATAATCCCCTGAAACTCTCTTTATGGGAGATAAATTTTATAGAGGGTAACTTCTGAGGATGCAAAATGGGTAACAGGCAAAAGATCTACAGACAGATTTATGGGTGTTGCTTGTGCCCAACTGAGGTTCTTAATCCAATTTTTGGACAAAGTGCCCTGGCTTCGCCTTTGATTGGCATCTGGAACAATGGAGCAATCACTGGCCAGACCTGTTCTGGGCAGGTCAGGGAGGCTTCTCACCCCACCTGAAGAGACAGGCTTATTCCCCAGTCTTGCAGTCTGCTTTGCTGGAGGCTGGGGTGTTGTGCCAAAAAGGAACACTTTAGTGGTGTCCCTCAGTAGTTTCTGGGCTCACAGCACAAGGAGGCAGCTTGGCTAGTGACCCGTGCAGGCAGGACTGCAATTTGCTGGCAGACCTAGGCTGATTATTCCCTGTGATGGGCAGCATGTTCCTTTTGTTAGTGTTTGGGTGGCGTAGAGTGAGGTCTTTCCTACTGGCATGAGGTCAGGTTTCTCCCATAACAATAATAGCTCAGTCATTGAATACCGAAGGTTTACAAAGAACCTGGAACTATGCTGAGAATTTTGTCTTGGGGTGTGTTCTCCATGAAATAGATCCTAAGGCCAAGAATATGGCTCAAATAGTTTATTTGGGATGTCTAACGCAGATGTGGAAGTGGGGAAATTATACAAGGAAATGAAAGGAGCAATAATGAGTGTGGTATCAAGGCAGCTATCATAGTAATAATGAAAACTAATTTCTCTGAGGGAGTTGTGGAATACTGTGCAATACACATGCTTTGGAATTATCCCACCTGAAATGTGAGGGAGTTGTACCATGGTCACTGGTTGGACCCTGCTCCTAGTGATGTAACTCCTTTGCACTTTTGGTTTTCTGTGTGTTTGCATGTGCACACATGTACACACACACACACAGACAGAGAGAGGGAGAGGCAATGGGATTTTCTGCAATTATGGCTCAAAATTTTAAAACAGACAAACAAACATACATTCAGGCATATTGATGCAGGTTATGTGAGCTGGAAATCAGCTTGAGCTTTTTAAAAATTCAAGGGGCTGAGTGGAAGATCAATTGCATCATCTTACTTAATCTTTATAGCAACCCTAGGAGGAACAGACTATTTGGTACCCACTTAATAGATAAGGAAACTGAGATTTGGAAAGGAGAAGTCACTTTGGTTGAAGTTGCACCTAAGCGGAATTGCTGAGGTTTGAATTAATAGGATGACCCATGGGTTAAGAGACCATGATTTTAACTAGTAAGCTATACTCCCTCCCTAAATACAAAGTTATAATAGTTAACAGGAACTGGCCCTCAAATTCCCCCTCTCAGACCTGAGCAGACCTGACTAGAGTACAAATCACAGGACAAAGATTATTTGATTCCAGGGGACAGAGTTTGGGTTAAGGAACCCTCCTAAATAGTATCTCAAGAGGGAGAACCAGGTAAGAGCCTACTAGGCTAGGGATAGATAAGGGAGCCTGGGATCCAGTATAAGCAACCTTCAGCTTTACAAGTAGGGGCAGGAATGGGAGACAGATAAGATTGGAGATTTGAGTCAGACATTGATAGGAATGGGGAAAAAGAAGGTAAGAAATGAACAGCAGCAATGCTTGTGAGTTTTACTGGAGGTGTGATGGTTTGTCAGCCTGGCTAGAGGAAGAGGACAAGGTGACCATCTCTCCCACCCATCCCTGAGCCATTTGTTTTGAGCTTTGGTTGAATATCAGATAATCGTCACCTCTCACCTCCATCCCAACCCTTCTCTTGCTCATCTAAAACTACTCTCAGGTTTCCTTGATCAAGGAAACGTCCCTGAAGACCTTCCAAATTTTCCTTTTAGCCCGTTAGTGCACTATATTCAGTCTGAAAATCCTCCTCCCCTCCCCTGCCTCCCTTACTATAGTCCAAGATACAGCCGTTGCCTCAAATTAAACTTAGGCACATCAAGCCCTTGAGAATAGGGTGTTTTGGACTGCAGGCCACACCCTCTAACAAGCAACCATTAATTGTCCTTAGCATGCCCTTCTCAACTCTTTCTAACTCATATCCCTGTTGGCCACCATTGCTATCCTCGCATATCTGACAGCCTAGCACACCTGGGTGGTGGCATTAGTTCTACACAGAAAGATGGAGCCTGAAGACTGCCTACAGGCCTTCTTTTTTATTTTTTCATTCATCCATTTATGCATTTGTTCATTCATTCATTCATTCATTCATTCATTCATTCATTCATTGATCTATTACCCTGTTTATCCAACCATTCAACCTACTGTGTGGCAGGTGTTGTATCATGGTCTGGACATGTGACTGTGAAGAAGAAAAGTTATTATCTAGTAGAGAATACAGATAAAAAATAAACAATCATAAAATGCATTCTAAAAAACTGTTGTGATAAATGAATAGGATTTTATAATTAGAAAAATTAAATGTGATAAGAATGAGAAACTACCAAGATAGGATGGTCAGTAAAGATCTATCTGGCCGGGCATGGTGGCTCACTCCTGTAATCCCAGCACTTTGGGAGGCCGAGACGGGTGGATCACAAGGTCAGGAGTTCAAGACCAGTCTGGCCAAGATGGTGTAACCCCATCTCTACTAAAAATACAAAAATTAGCTGGGCCTGGTGGCCTGTGCCTGTAATCCCAGCTACTCTGGAGTCTGAGAGAGATAATTGCTTGAACCCAGGAGGCAGAGGTTGCAGTGAGCCAAGATTGTGCCACTGCCTGGGTGGGAGAAAGAGTGAGAATCTGTCAAAAAAAAAAAAAAATTAGATTCATGGAGGAGATATCCTTAAGTTGAGACTTACCTAAGTGATGGCAAGGAGCTAATCATATGAAGAAAGGAGAACATTCCAGAAGGTAGAACTCCATGGATGTGGGCCTGGGATTAAGAAATAGCTGGGCAAGATCAGGAGCAGAAGTAAGTCCAGCCTAACTGGATTCTAGTGAGCAAACAGGAAGGTGGCATCACCTGAGGTTGTAAAAGTGCAAAGGAAATTGGTCATCTAGGGCTTTAGGGCCCTTGGATACTGAGAAACTTGGATTATATTGAAGGCAACATGAAAAACCACTGGAGAATTTTCAGTGTGGTGGTGACATAATGTTCATTTTAAAAAGTGTCACTCAAGATGCTATGTGAAAATTAGATTGCAGCAAGGAAAGGGTGAACAAAAGAGACCTATTTGAAGTCTTTGGCATTTGTTCTGGTGAGAGATGATGGGGAGGCTTGGTGGCCAGGGGCTTGGTGATGGAGATGGAGACACATGACAAATTTGAGATGTGTTTTGGAAGGAGAAATAGCAGGATTTTCTGAAAGACTGCCTAGGAAAATGCTCTATCCTTTGCCAAGAACTGAGAGTCAGGCTTGTTCAGTTCCCAGGCTTCAGAACAATAAGTTGAAAACATGTTGATTCCATGTGATCTGGCGAATGAACAGAAAACAACTAGAAAAACTTTCAAACTTAAATCATACACAAACTCTCCAGTAAACAAAGGACCCTTTCCCTGGAAAATGCACATGTCTACTTAAAAAAAAATTTTGGCATACAATTTCAAGTGATTCCTGGATTCCAAAACACTTTCCATGGACACCCCCTACTCCATCCACAGCAGACAAGGAGGGTCCTATATGTCTGGATCCAAGATAAAAAATCCATGAACTAGAGATGTATACTGATTCTCCTTATCCTGGAAATCTACAACTTCAAGAGTGGACAATGGCCAGCTCTCTTTCAGGCAGGTTTATACATAATCTATTTCTAGGTGATGTTCTCCAGGACAGGTATTCCATACATATCCTTCAGGGGCCCCTGCAGTGTTCTACCATAGTTAAAATGCAGTCAAGTCCTGTTTTCATTCATTCAGTCTCCTGGGAAAGGGATGGGTCAGTCAAACTGAAGCCTTGGGAATATGAACACGGGGTTATTAGGTTCTTGGTATTCTGGGTCATTCTTTTCTAACTTTGAGTTTTCGGTTTTACTAGTAGAACATTGCTTGAGCAATACATTTAAGAAAGAACCTGAAAGAGTTTAGATGCCAGAAATTATCTCTATTATTAGCTTGAATGAACACACTACAACAAAACAGTATATTCAAAAACAATCAGTAAATCTTTTATTTTTCACCAGTAGATTCATTTTTTCCTGTGCATAATTTTATTGTCTATTTCCCACATTTCTTTCAAATGGAGAAAGCAAAACCACACATTCCCATACTTGTGAGAGGTACTTACCTTATGCTTAAACCACCAGAACTTCCTACCTTTTCCAAGATTTGTGAAGACTTTATAATGACTCCATGCCTTACATATACTGTTCCCTCTTCCTAGAATGCCCTTCCCACTGTGTCTTCTTGGGAAACATACTTGTTTTTAAGGTCCATCTGTGAAGTTGCCTCTTGAAGTCTTCCTGACTGCACCGACAGAGGCACTCTTTTTTTTTCTGTACTCCAGTATCCTCTTGTCCATCCTGCTATCACACTACTAGTCATATTTTGGATTTAATTATTTGTTTCCATGTCTGTTTCTCACTCTGGTTTGTTATGGGCAAGGGTGGTAATTTATTTATCTTTTAATTGCAGAATCCAGCCAAAATTTTGCCCACAGTCTAAGCCCAGTAAATGTCTACCAAACGTATGGAGCAATTCTTATAAGAGGCTCTGTGATGTGGATGCAGAAGGTTTATGATGTCCTGGCCCTGGCATACCAGACCCTTACTAATAATTCCAGCATCATGTTGCTGTTATGAAAAGAAGTTCTGACTTGTGAAGCTGAGTCCACTCTCACTGTCTACTCCCTAGTAACTGTTCTCCCAGGCCACCTCTATATTCAAGACTGAGACTGCCCCTTGTAGACCTTTGGTCCCAAGACCTAACCTCATCTTTGTTCCTTCCTTTCCATAGCACAGAAATGAAAGGAAAGACCTTTTGTTTCAATTCTTCATCTTCATAATTAGATACATTTGCTGAGTGCTTACTTTCTATCAGGCACTGTACTAATTACATAAATTAACTCATTTTTGCAAGAGCTCTATTCATTTATTTCCTCATATATTTATGTATTTCAGAAATATTAATTGAGCATCTATTATATGTAGCCACTGTGATGGGCACTGTGATGCAACTGAACAGATGGACAAAGGCCCTTCCTTCTTAGAGCTTTAAGTCTGCATGGTAGAGGGAAAATGATCTGGTACCAATGAATTAAGAAGATAATTCCAGATGGTGACAAATATCGTAAGTAAAGCAAAGATAGTGGCATAGCAGAGATGAAAGTAAGTGGTATGCCGAGGACCTGAGGCAGGGGAAGAGGGGTCTGGAGGATGGTGCAGCCTGGATGGCTGCATATACCTCACTTCCACTTACATTTCGGTAGCCCAGAATTAGTCACATGATCAAATCTAATGTTAAGCAGGCAAGAAAATACATTTTTTTGGGTGACCCAGATGAAGGTTATGGAAAAGGATTTGGGAAACACTATATGAAGTATCATTTCTGACATTTGAGTTGAGGCTGTAGGGAGGAGATGGAAGGGTGGTCAAGATAGAAGGAATCCCACGTGGAAAGGCTATGAGCTGGGGAAAAACAGCTAGGCCCATTTGGTGGCTAAAAGGGTGTTATTATGTCTGGCACATAATAAGCAAGGAACAGCACACTATAAGATATATTAGGGGAGGCTGGCAAGAGACAGGCCATTTAGGATTTGATTCTGAAAGCAGTGAGAAGCCACCAAAAGGTTTTAAGCCAGGGAGTGTCAAGATCATTTTTAAAAACTTGTCCTAACTGTAGTGTGGATAAGTCTCTAAGGGGACAACTGGGGGGAGGGAGCCCCATTATTAGGTTGTTACAGAATGCTTCGAATAGGTGGTAGGGTCAGAGATTTTATTCTCTTTTAAGAAATCATTAAGGTAACAAAATGGATGCTTCGAGCTGGAATCTCTCAGGGCTTGGAAGGATGGAGAAGCCACAGGAAACATGGAACATGCCGAGACTCCAGAGGCAGTGTCTTTATTTCCTGTCTGGGAAGTGACCTCATGTGATCTACTTTAAACAATTTGGACTTTGCAGGAGGTTTTTGAATTCTAATTAAAATGGCATGGACTTTTAAGTCAAATAGAAATGGATCTAAATCCAGACACTACTTACAAGTGGTAGGAGTTGGGCAAAGATGTCTCCCCCAACTTCAGTTCCTCATTTGTAAAATACCTCATTTGTATCCATCAGCCTGGCTGCAGTAACAAACACCCCCAGTATCTCATTGACTTATGACTTTCATTTGTCACTCAGCTGCAGGTCAACTGCTATGCCCCTGCTCCATGCGATTTCTTATTCCAAGACCCAGGCTATGAGCTGAGAAACTTTAAGACATGGCAAGCAGCACATCTGTTCTCATGCCATTGGCCCAAGCAAGTCACATGGCCCATCTGATCATTAGGGTAGGAAAGTATATTCTGCCTACAGGGCAACACCATAAGTCATACAAACAATGGGCAGGAGTACATGATAGTTTTACAGAGAAGACAGTGAATAATTGGGGACAATAATATAATACAATCTGCCACATCAAGCTTACTGAGTTACCGTAGGAATTAAGTGGATGATACATACAAAGCACTTAGTGTTTGACACAAAAAACACTCTGTACAAATAAATTTTTATTAACTAGTTCAATTTATATATATATATATATATATATATATATATATATATATATATATATAATTTGCCAACACAGGATTAAAATGTGTAACTCTTTGCCTCTTACTCTCCTCTCTCCTCTCAATAACCACCTTCCATACACACCTACGTGCATAAACAGTGGTGAACTTGTACAAAATGCACAGCTTTTAGTGGCACGTAGACCTCAGTTGGAAACTCAGTTATGCTGCTTACTCAGTGTGACTGTCTGAGATCACTGTCCTCTCTCAGACTTCAGTCTCCTCATCTGTAAAATTGGAGAAAGCCCACACCATTGGATTGATGTGAACATTAAAACTCAGAACATTTGACTTCTCTTTCCTCTATAGATTTTCCCCAGTCTCTGGCAAGTTCTTATAATTAAAGCATATTCCAAATATGCCAATTTGAGGCAAGTAGAGGATGTCTTCATGACAGGTACTTAGAGAATGTCAACTTTGAGGATTTCTGCAGTAATTAGTAATGATTGCCACTCTCTTTACTAAAAGAAGCTGTGAGGCTCTTCCCTACCTAAAATGCATAGGATGTCTTGAGGGTTCCTGAATATTCCACACTATCCCTTGCTTCCATGCCATTGTTCATTCTGGCCCCTTTACATGGAATGCCTTTTGTCCCAAATGAAATTCTTTTGGTGGGCATTCTAAGATGCTTCTCACCATCCCCACCCGACTATGAGAATTTGCTAAGTGACTACTCTTGACTCAGTGGTTTTAAATTCGGCTTACCCGCCCACACCTGGTAGTATATGTTAGTGGACTAGGGTGCTAATTCTTGGGGATTACTTGGGTCAAACCCCAGTCTTCCTGCTTAGCCTGAGAACCCAGTTGGGACTTTCCTTGGTTCACCCGGTACTGAAGCAAGTAGGGGCCAGTTTGCTATGAATAAGGTGCTAAACAACGCGCAGGTCATCCCGAGATACCCAAAAAACTATCTGGTGTCAGGCCAAAAAGTGGCACAGTTACATCTGTATTTTAGAATGATGTCTCTGATGGCTGTAGGAGAGTACATTGGAAGACAGCAAGGCTAGGGAACAGAACAATTGTTCAGACAAGAGATGGTGCCCTTGTTTTACAAGAAACATTCCTGGGAAATACTTACCGCATTCCCTTGTTGTATTTCTTTGTGTTTGCTAACTGTTGGGTTTGGACAGTGCCAGGGTCTTCAGTAGAGTGACTCTCCTCCAGTGCAGTGCTACTTATGAGAATAAGCCTTTGTAAGAAGACCTCAACAAGAATTTAATACCCAAGTGCACTGTCATTCTTTTCTTGTGACTCATTTCAATTTTATTTTATAAACGTATCAGTAGGGTAATAGACTGGAATGAAAACAAAAAAATGACAATAACATGAAAGCCGCCCTCCATCAGAGAGTCCAGGAAGCCCTGCTGCAGAGCCGCACGGGGAAGACGCTTCATTTTCTCTTTGCTGGGGTAGGATGACTTCAACTATTTTCCTGGATTTTGATGAAATTAAACTACACCCAAGTTGAATTCCAGGTACTTCTAGATTTTTACTCTGAGGCTCTTTCCTGGGCCACAATACCCAATTTTCCTCTGATTACCAAACTGTCAACTTTTTATTGGGATGGTAAGGGATTATTTAAATGTTTGATCCCACATTCACACACACATCTTTTCTCTCTCTCTTTTATTTAAATTAATAGACTATTTTTAATAGAGCAGGTTTAAGTTTACAGAAAATTTGAGTGGAAAATAAAGACCACTCTCATAGTCCCCCATTTTCCTGTGACACACAGTACTCCATTATCAACATCTTCATTACAAGGGTACTTTTGTTCCAATTAATGAGCCTATATATATATATATATTTGCTTGTTTGTTTGTTTGTTTGTTTTTTTGGAGACACAGTTTTGCTCTGTCACCCAGGCTGGAGTGCAGTGGTCCAATCTTGGCTCACTGGAACTTCTGCCTCCTGGGTTAAAGCAATTCTCCTACCTCAGCCTTTTGAGTAGCTGGGATTATAGGTGTGCACCACCATGCCTGGTTAACTTTTGTATTTTTAGTAGAGATGGGGTTTCACCATGTTGGCCAGGCTGGTCTCAAACTTCTGACTTCAATGATCCACCCCCCTCGGCTTCCTGAAGTGCTGGGATCACAGGCATGAGCCACGGCGCCGGCCTGATGAGCCAATGTTAATATATCATTATTAATTGAAGTCCATACTTTATGTTAGGGTTCACTCTGTGTTGTACATTCTAGGATTTTGAGCAATGTATAATGACGTGTACCCTGCATTACAGTATCACACAGAAGAGTTTCACCGTTCTAAAAATCCTCTGAGCTTCACCCATTCATCCTTCCCTCCCTGTCCCTGAACCTCTGGCAACTACTGATGCTTTTACTCTCTCCATAGTTTTACCTTTTCCAGAATGTCATAAAGTTAGAATCAGATAGGAGGTAGCATTTTTGATATCTCTTTCTTGTACCATTTTCCTTCATGTTTTCATGACCTTTCCAGCTTACCACACACACTTACACATGCACACACACACACACGCACACTTACACATGCACACTGTCCTTCCAAAACCGAATCGAAAAGTTGAGAAAAACTCATACCTAACTTGGCTCACAAATTTGTTAAGTTTGAGAGGGCCTTTGGGGGGTCATTTTCTCTCTCTCCCTGCCTTCCTATCAGGAAGTAAACACTGACAATTCACCCAACTCATAAGAGCCAGGCCTCTCCTCCTGGCTTGGTCTGTTCACTTCTTGTTTCCCTAAAAGCAAGGGCCTTTTTGCCTGTGCTGTGTCTGAGCGGTAATTACCTTGTGTCTGTTCTGCTGCCTTCAAATTATTTTTCCCACCTTCAGAGCAATTGCCTCCCACTTCTTATCTCTACTGTGATCTTCTGCAGGGCACAAGGGACCTGTCTCTTGACTCTCATATTTTTGCTTCTGATGTTAAAAAGTCCCCTTGAACTTGCATTTTACAGACACCAGCAAAGCCCAAGTGTCTTCACATAACCTGACACTTCCCGGGGGCAGGGTGTTTGCAATTATAGCCTGAGCTGGCTGCGGGATCAGAGCATTGCCCAGGCCCGGCGAGGCCTGGCCTGCAGAGCACTTTTGATGAGTGATGGGGTTATTATTATGAATGCTATGCGAGGACGCTGGTAAAGTCCCATGGCAGGAGGGCTTTTCTCCCTTCATCTTGCCTTAGCATAGACAGACAGACATATACATACATATATGCATATACCGGGAGGCAGGCTGGCTAGGGAGAGAAGAAAACGAAGTTAGAGGAAATTCTCACACATTTTGGAACGATCTTTCTCCCATGCCTCTGTCTTCCCAGAGTCTCCTGTTTCTCACTGACAGGCCATCCTCTCTTAAGGACCATGAATATAGTTTACTCCCAAATTGAAAAGCCAACCTCTTTTTCCAGCTTTTGTATTCCAACACCCTTCCTTCCCTTTTATCTTTTTTCTTGAGGCTTAGGATTTCTTTCTTTGGAGGCATTTTCTGCCACTTTTGTCTCTTGCAGAGAAAATAAAAAATACCTAGGTAGAAGGATAGTGGTCCTAGCTATTTGCATAGATAGAGTGCTTCTCTAGGGAAACAATTTTTTTCCAACTCTTCCATTGTGTGTGTCTCTGTTCTGTGCTGCAGAGTGTTGATCATTGTTCATTTATGCCTCTTTGGTAAATCTATGTCCCTGTGGGTGGGCCCAACCTTCCCTGAAAGAGGGAGGCACGCCCAATGTTAAATGTCTGGGAGGAGGCCATACTCAGCCAGAAAATGTGATCTTAGGAGGCTTGGCAAGGAGCCTCCTAGTCCTTCCACTTTGGTTTCAGACTTTGAGGAGACTTGATGCCTTTGGAGGAGAGCAGCATTTCACGGTTTCGAGATGGCCTCCCTGATGGGAAGGTGTGATGGGAACTGGGAAGGGGCTCCCAGGCTACGTGTAATGAGCTGAAGGTAGGAAGCCACCCTCATCTTGTCAAGTGGCATGGCTGCTTGTTTCTTGCCTGTTCATTCCCTTCAGTTGACATAATCCCTTTAGAAAAGCCTCCCGGGAAAGTTTGAAATTTCTCTTTAAAACACTGCAGAATCCAGGGAAGGACCTTGCCTCGCTGTTTCAGGAGAGCAGTAAAGAGACTGGAATGCCTCCCAAGATCAGCTGGAGCAGCAGGGAATGTTCTGGATTTCATTTGCAAACACGACTCAAATTTAAAATCGTCATCATATGCCTGTCATTATGTTCTAGATCTTAAAACATCCTTATGAAGTGGCACTGCTCTTGCTCCCATTTTACAGATGAGGAAGCAACATTTGAGACTGTGTATGTCAACTACCCCTCCTCATTTTACATCCTCTATTTTCCGATATCCTTGAAAGAATTGCATGGCATATTAAAAAGGAAGTGGAATGTTTTTGTTACATTTTTACAATGCTCAAAGCACCTTTGTGTACTTGGTCTTCTATCTAGATGGTTAAATTCCATGGATAAAGCAAGACAGAGGCTTTTCTGTTTTTGTTTGTTTTTAAAATTTTAAGAGCTGGACACTGCAGTCTGGGTTGTATGACTTATTGGAAACCGTGTGTCAATAGATGGAGGGGATGGAATTCAAAATTATTGCAATTCCGGGACTTAATCCTCTAGTACTTGATTTTGGCTTCATTCAGAATCTGTTCATGTATGGAAATGCCAAAGACTGGGAATGTAATCCCAATAGTCTCAGCAGCACGCTGGGAATAGGAAGGACTCCCAAGTCCCAGTGGACCACAGACCTGCTAGGTCAGACTTTCCATGTGTTTGCTTAGTTCACTGGAAGTGGCCAGGGAGACTCCTACTAATGTGTCAATTATCTCAGTGTATCAATTAATAGGCTCTGTTAAAAAGTCAAGAAGATGTGGGGATTTGAAATAATCATGTGGATACCTTGGTTCTACACCTGCAGTTTTGCCAACTCACAGGACATAGAGGAAACATTTGATGTTGCTGTTTCTGCTTCAAAGATTCCAATGATTTCTCTTCCTCTGTTTCAGCCCCAGAGGTTACTGACAGACCAAAATATCCTGACAACCCCGGAATGCCAGAAGGAGAGAAGGGGTTTGTAAATCTGAGGACCTTGACTACTTTTGTAAGAAGGAATTACTTGCTAAGTACTGTCTCAGAAAGAAACTCTCTTGGAGGTTACCTGGGGACAAGTGGAGGAAGCAAGCCATAGCCTTTTTGGAATTGTGATAATATTCCAAGGCAAATGTTCCCAGGGGCTGGGATTTTACCTTCTGTCTGTCCTACAATCAGGGTGTAAGATGGAGGAATGCACTTCCCATCTCTGAGCCACGGTTTCTCATCCATAGAATGGGGAGTTTGGATTTCTAAGATCCCCCATCTCACGCTTTGAATGCGATCAGGCTGGGAATTCAAAAGCATCTGCTCACTGGGAAAGGGAGGCAGTCAGGGTGGGACAGGGCTTGTATTGAATAACGAGAAAGGAGCATGGTGACTATGACTTGAGTCAGTCCGGAAATAAAATATAAGGGGGTCTGATCTGAGGCAGAAGAGGACAGCAGAAATTCTCCTAGGAGTGGCAGTCAAGCCAGGTCAGGCTCGGGTCAGGCTGCCTGGTTCAGAGAATGGCATCAATGTGTGCAGAGAGGTTCTTAAGGCCAGACAGGTGTCAGGGCCCAAGCCAAGTGGACTGGAGGTCAGAATAGGGCTTCAGTTCTAAAAAAGGTGCCTGGCTGAGTGCAAAGCAGGCCTGAGTCATCCAGACCTCACAATCATGGCTGGAGTGGCCACAGACAGACCCACAATGGGTGCAGGGGATCCCAAGTTTATGACACCAAGAGTCATTCCAGGCTTACCTATGTTTTCAGGGCAAATACAGGACTGAGTCTAGGCTGGAGGGTTAGAGAAGCTGAAACAGACACCTTTAGAACTGAAGTGTGATGTTTTCATTAATCTGAATACAAACCATAGCCAATATATATGGTGTGCTTTCTCTGTGTCACTCTATTCTAAGTATTTCACATGTGTGAACTCCCTGGCAGGCTAGTAGTATTAGAGCTTTTGCTTATTAATCTCTATGGTAACAGGTCATTAAAAAAAATAATTAATTACTGTGTTACCAAGATCAAAATATAGTAATATTCGCCTCTTCAGCTGTGACCACCACCATAGAAAAGTCCAGGCAAAAATACAGAGATCAGAAGGGGCAAGTGGAACCCTATGCAGGCTAAAGACTCTTAGGAAATATGGGCCCTTGAAATGTCCCCATCTATGTGGGTTTCATTGTCAGTCCTTCTTTCTTTGGCAGGGTCAAGGGCATTTGACCTGTTGATACACCTATTGCTTTTCCAGCAAGCCCTACATCTTTCTAGTAAGGAGTCAATGCACCAAAGCTGGAGGCCACTGGAGGTGACTCCAGTCACCATTTTTCAACTTCTCCTAGAAATGTCTCTTTGGTTTCTTCAGGCTTTGACTTGGGTGACTATGGAGAACGTGACATGGGAAGTTAAAAAGCAACAAGAAGTCTTTTAAAAAGTTTGAATTACATTGAACATATGTCTGAAATGTAAGAAGGGGTAAGCCCTCTTTCTTACCATCCTTCCTGACCATGACCCCTGGGAGTCAGATATCCCAGGCACAGCTTAGCTTTCTAACCCTGCTGTGTTGCCCTCCATGATCTCTCCGAATTTCTCTCCCTTTCCTCCCTTTACACTAAAAATGCTCTAGTTCTGGCCTTCCTCATCTCGTTAATAATTAAGCTGGCTGACTTAACTCCCTGCCTTCTGGTTGCCCTCTTCAATCTGTCCTTGTCTCTGTCAGCAGCAGCATCGTCCTGCTCAAAACCACAAAGACCTCCTACTGTGGAAAGACAGGTATTCAGAATCCACATCGCACGTCTAGATCCCCTGTGATGTGCCCTGAAACAACCTCCACTGTCTTAGCTTTTACTAACATCTTCCATAATTTCCAGGCCCAGCAGGCCTGATCTTGTGCTCAACTTCCCCAACTTAGTCTCCTCCTTCTGTCAGAAATAGCCTTTCTCTATCTCCACCTGAGATTAATGTATCCTGGAGAGTCTATCTCTCTTTTCAGTGTCCATATCAAGGGCCGGCTCCTCCAGAAAGCCTTTCTATACCTTCAACCTCCAACCTCATATCTCATCATTAGAAAAGATCACGTTCTCATTAGAAGCCCAAACCTCAGTATCACATAATATGCCCATCTAACAAACCTGCACATGTACACCCTGAACCTAAAAAAAAATAAAATAAAACAAAAAAAGAAAAGAAAATATACACTGATGAGAAAAAAAAGGATCAAATCCAACTTTAAGTTCCTGAGTCTAACTTTCTAACTTTATTTTAGTGCCTCCCAGAATTATCTGTGTTTGTGTCCACATTAACCATTGGCTGGGATCATCATAAGTGAATCACCATGTTCCCCAAACCAAAAACTGCCCTGGCACACAGGAAGCTTACGTTAGTGTCTTAGTATGGCATATATGTATACACACACTGTACACATGAACACATATCTATGTGATGTTTCCAAACATAGATATGTGTTCATATCCAAAGACAGTTGTCTTTGAAAGTAAACACAATAAACTCGGATAAACTTCTGGAACATGGGGATAGGAGGGTGGGATGAAAGAAAGCATTTAGTAAATTTACATTTCTTTATGTATTTCTTGACTCTTAAAATCAATATATCATAATTTAATAACATAATTTATTAAAATGAAAAATAAAATAATTCATGTTAATTGTAGAATACATACATCTGTAAAGAAGAATGACAAACAGGAATAATTTCCAGAGACTCACAATCTACATACATTCTATTTATGTGATTAGATCCATGTTATTCTTATGTTTCCTTTTTGCCAGTTAGCATTGTATGGAGAGTACTTCTCCATTTTCTATCATTGGGTGTATGAATTGTTAACCACTTTGGAATACTGCAAATAATCATATAATGAATATACATATACTTAAATCTTTGTGTGCATTTGTTATTATTTACTAGGTTAGATTCTTAGAAATAGAACCACTGACTTGAAGGGAATATTATCATTTAAGGTTTTAATCCATGTTGCCAAAATGTTTGTAAGAAAGTATCCATCTCACAATACCCACATCAGAACCAGGTATTACAATTTTTAAAACCTCCCAAACATTTTCTTTTTCTTTCTTTTTTTTCTTTTCTTTTTTTTTTGAGACAGAGTCTCACTCCGTTTCTCAGGCTGGAGTACAGTGGCAGTGACTGCAACCTACGCACCCCCCAGGTTCAAGCGATTCTCCTGCCTCAACCTCACGAGTAGCTGGGATTACAGGCACCTGCCACCATGACCCGCTAATTTTTTTGTGTTTTAACTAGAGACAGAGTTTCACCATGTTGGCCGGGGTGGTCTTCAACTCCTGATGTCAAGTGATGCGCCCACTTCTGCCTCCCAAAATGCTGGGATTACAGGCTTGAGCCACAGCGCCCAGCCCTAACATTTTTTTTTTTATGGATTCTCCCTTTGCTTTTATAATGAGGGCACCTCTACCCTGAGATGAATCAGATGCATTATTGTTTTTTGTCAATTCTTTTACTACTTCTTCTTTAATATTTGAATTTTTGATCAATTTAAATCAAATTAGGTAAATTTTATGAGGTAAGGGAGGAGACATTTGCCTTGTTATAATTCCTGTATATTTAACCAATCATCCATGTCATATTTATTTAATAATCCTTCCCCACACTTTAAATAATTTGTAGTCTTATTTTTGTTCTGTGTTTGAATTACCATAGCTGTATAGTATGATTTGACATCTGATAGGGTAGATTTCACCTTTTTAATTATTTATTTTATATTCTGGGGTCATTCTCAGCATTTATTTTGTCTAAATGAAACGTAAACAGGCTGTCAAGTTTTCAACACAGATCCAAGTGGAATTAAACATTTTTTTTCTTACGAATATTTGGGGACTTCATTCCTTTCTTCCTTTTTTTTCTCTTCCTCCTCCCCTCCCTCCTTCTCCTCCTTCTTATTCTATTCTTCTCTCTCTTTTTCATTCTCTTCTCCTTCCTTCCCTTCCTTTCCTTCTCAACTTCATCTTCTTCGTTTCTCCATCATTATCATTTTCTGTTTATTGATTACACTTAAATAATAACTATTTCATAGAGAAAATTAAAACTAGACATAGTGATCAAATGTTGACATGTTGTTTTTTGTGTCAAATATTCAAATATTTTTAAATTGACATCTAAAAGTTTATAGAAACAGGCACATTCCTCCACCAGAATTTCCCTCTACTCTCAAAAGTAACCACCATTATAAAATGCTGCACTGTCAGCAAACCACCATGGCACATGTATACCTATGTAACAAACCTGCACGTTCTGCACATGTATCCCAAAACTTAAAGTATAACAATAATAATAATGCTGCACTGTCTTTTTTGTGTTGTTTTGTGCATTTTTAACCTCTAATTTCACAGCATACTTATTTGTCCATAACTATATATATAGTGTTTTGCATATTTAAAACTTTTGTACAAAATGTGTCAGAGTGAACATGTTCTTTTGCAATTTCATTTATTTTGGTCAACAATATGTGACTTTTCTTCATGAACATCCTGCATATTCCTTGTTTCATTTATCCTTGGTTATTTAGAACATTTCTTCTATTTTAATGCTAACTTCAATTGACTCAAATTTTGTTGACGGCTTGTGAGATCAACCAAAAGCTAAATGAAATCAGTCTTCTGTGTGTGTGTTTGTTTTTAATGCTTTCTAGATTAGTCTGACATGCACACCCAATCGGAAAACACTAGCGCAGAAGAGGGAGAGCCTAATATCAGCATTACCTAGGTATTAGAAGAATTTGGATATTATTATATACACCTGGCATGATAGCTAGGACAGAACCTGTTCTGCCGGGAGAAGGCGCCTGCTCAGGGTTTCTCTTTCCCTACATGGGAACCCCTGAAGGAGAGTCCTGCCTGTGATCTTCATTTAGAAGGCTAGTGCTGACCACTGCTTGGTTCTCATCAATCCATCCTTGAGGTTAGTACTACACCTGTTTGAGCAGAATTCTGGTCACAGTCTTACTCTGAATTTGGTGTCCTTATAACGCAACCCTTAAGTTCCCTAACTATACCTCACCTAGATTTTCCCACATTGTGTCTCCACAGATATCCCCAATCTCATCTTAAATCTGAATTGAACCTGTCATATTATAGCCTGGCTCTTCTCTCACCAACTATTTGGGGGTAATGTAGTGATTCATTTTGTTTCCACATATTATTTTAAGTTCTTACTACCTCCTTCCCCCATCTAGGTTCAGATTTTCCCCTGCTTTTAACATCTTGGTCCAGGCAGCTACATTATCAAACTGTACTAGGATGGCAAAATCATTTTTTCACATATGCTAACCATCAATGATTAGTGGTGATTTTATGGAAAAATATGTTGAGAATAATTTAGAGGAAAGATTTGGGTTCAGATAGAACTATCTGCCATTGGTAAGTAAAGTAAAGTGATGTTGTCACTTATTTTATCCCATCCATGATGAGAATTGATGTTTATAAAACCTTTGACTATACAATGAGAGTATTAAGCAAAAAACAAGTAACAAAAATTAAAAATAAAATGCTTTTGTAATCAAGGTCAGAGAGGATATTCTTTTACTTTTTCCATTACATTATTCATGTGTGCATAATGGTGTACAGTATTACTTTCCATGTGTAAAAAAGAAATCATACAATAGAGTGCATAGAGAAGTGGAGAAATGGAGAATAGTTCTCAAAGTTATTTGATCTGGCAGATTATCTTCCAAAGATGAGTGCAACTGTATTTTCCATATCACAGCCTCTTCTGGAATATTAAACTCTGCCCCCATCAAGAGGTGGTGTCTGTGTCTGTTCTTGAATTTGGGTGGGTCTTCCCGACTGCTTCAACCAAGAGAGTCCAGTAGAAATGATACTATATGATTTTGGAGGTTAGATCAAAAGACTGCCATGCATTTTAATTTTGTTTTTTGAGGGTTGCTGTCTTTTAGAACCCAGCCAACATACTGTGATGAAGCCTAAACAACTGTGGAGAGGCTCACGTGGAGAGGAGTCAATGCCCACTGATCTATAAGCCTTGGCTGAGCTCTGAGCCAACAGTCATGATCAACTTCCAGCCGTATAAGTGAACCATCTTGAAAGAGGCTTCACCAGCACCAAGTTGAGCAACTTGATTATGTTACCAAAGATCACCTCCTTCCTATCATCTTCCGTCTGAGACTTGCTTAGAGTGAGTTTGGAAGCTGTGTTTTGCTCATCCTGAAGACTGAACATAAGAAAATATTGCTCAAGTTCTGGATGATGCAGCTGCTGAAATAATCTGTGGTGCACTTTCCTTCAGGAATCCTTACCTATTTTTTCAGGTGTTCCACAAGCCTTCTTATCTTGGAATTCAGTAATACTTATTGTGTGGTTGCTTACTGTTCCCTAGGCACCCTGAAGCATTGAAGCTTTGAAGCTTTGTCTCATGCTTTCAAGTAATGTTCTCGTGTTTACCTGCTGATATTCCTTCAAAGTTAGAGGCTGCCTCTCTCCAAGTGTGGAAAAAAACAATCAGATGTCACTAAGATATTGTGTAACAATTCATATTAAACACATGATCTTGTCAGTCAAGAAGAAGAGATTAAAACAAACACCTTGAGAGTTCATGAGTAGAAGTATACAGCCCTGCATTCATGATAATATGGTGCATTTTACCTACCTTGCAGCAGAAAGAGATATCTAATTCCATACACAGCAATGTAACTGTTTAAAGTGCTCCTAAAATTCAGACAAAACAAATTATAAATAGTATCAAGATCAAAGAAGCTGAAAGTCCCTATGTTTGATGTAGGCACAGCAAAGTTTGATGTATATGCTCATTTCTCAGCACTGCAAGTATGGAGAAACCATCAGAAAGCATGCTGAAAATAGAGAGGGCTTCTAAAACAGAAAGCTCCTGCCTGTTTTACTGAAGGCTACCAGATTCTTTCTCAGAAATTTTGTACAGTTCAGAGGCACAAATGCTCTTTTAGGTCCTTTGAAGCACTGGGTTTAATATCGGAATTTAATCTTGGCTCTAGTCTCCAATTCCTTACATAGTCATTCAAGCAATCTTGGGGACCAAGTCTTCCAATAGCATAGTGATATTCATGCCTGAAGTGGGAGGAATAGATATCCTCCTCATTAACAAGGGATGAGAGATCATGTTTCATAGGCAAAATACTCATGCATGCAAAAATGTAACTTTTCCAGTAATTTTTTTAGTACTGAAATTAGCTTAGCTCATTAGCTCTCTCTTCTACCTAGTAGCAGGGAATGCAGTTTTGCTAACCCAGGTGACTCATTATTTCTGTTTTCAAGTTTAGTTTATTTTAGGTAAATTTTTGAATTCATAATGTTTTTCTGACCTTTCTTCTCTTCCAGAAGAGGTTATTCTAACTTCTTAATGGATTTACTTTTGTAGTTGTTACTGTTATATATATATAATAGATAAATATATATAATATATAATATAATATATATTATAATATAATATATTATACATTGTATATAATATATATTTATATATTATATAATATATAATAATATATATTATATATTATATAATAATATATATTAGATACAATATAATATATAATAATATATATTAGATATAATATAATATATAATAATACATATTATTAATATATAATAATATACATTATATATAATATAATATACAATAATATATATTATATAATATATAATAATATACATTATATATAATATAATATAATATATAATAATATACATTATATATAATATAATACACAATAATATATATTATAACATATTATATAATATGTAATAATATATATTATTACATATTATATAATAATATATATTATTACATATAATATAATAATATATGTTATAACATAATATACTGTATAAATATATATTATTTTTACAAAAATCAACTTTATTGTTGCATAACTCACAAAAAATAAAATTCATTATATTAAAGGGTGTATTTTGTCAATTTCTACACAAATAGCCTGCCAGAATTTTGATTGGGATGGTGTTGAATGTAGACCAATTATGGGAGAATTGCCATTAACAGTATTGAGTCTACCAATCCATGGACATGGTATATCTCTCAATTTATTTAGACCTTTAATTTCTCTCAGCATTGCATTGCAGTTTTATGTTTAGAGGTCTTGTACATATTTTGTTAAATTTGTCCTAAGAGTTTTATATTTTGAGATGATAGCATAAAGGGTATTGTATTTTTAATTTTATTTTTCAATTGTTTCTTTGTGATGTATAGATTTAAATTGATTTCTGAATGTTGAACTTGTATTCTGCAATCTTTTAAAATTAACTTGTTAGTTCTAATAACTTTTTTTTTTGTTTTTTTAGGACATTGTATTTACATGATCATGTTGTCTGCAAATAAGGGCAGCTTTAATTTTTTGTAGACTGTATGACTTTTATTTGACTTCAGTAACAGTATTAAATAGAAGTGGTGAGAACTGACATCTTTCCTTATTCCAGAACTTAGAGAATAAGAATTCAGTCTTTCATTATTAATTATGATATTATCTGCAGCTATTTCATAGGTAATCTGTATAATATTGTGGCAATTTTCTTCTATTTCTAGTTTTATAAGATTTTTTAATCATAAAAAAGAGTTAAATTTTGTCACACATATGAATATGTGTTTATACTGAAACGTGACTAGATTTTTTATTCTTTATTCTGATCATACAGTAAATTTTCAAATGTTAAGCCAGTCATGAAAGTCTGAAATCTATTTTTTATAATATACTACCTTTTTATATCTAGATGATTATAATTTACTAAAGATTAAGGATTTTTCTGTGTTTTTTTCATAAAAAATATCAGTCTAAAGTATGCTTTTCTTGTAATATTTTGTCTGGTTTTGGGTAAGGGTAAAAGAGTCCTCATGAAATGATTAGAGAAATCTTCCTCCATACTCTCTTTTTGAAAGAGTTTGCGTAGAATTGTTATTTATTTTATAAATATGTATTGGAATTCACCAATGAAGTCCTCTTGGCTTGGAGTTTTCTTTGTGTGGATGTTTCTAATTAAGGATTTATTTTAAAAATTGATATGGGACTATCCAAGTTTTCTATTTCTTCTTGAGTCAATATTGATAATCTGTATCTTTCAAAGAATTTATTCATTTGAGCTAAGTTGTCAAATTTGTTAGCATAATTTTGTTTATTATTGACCCTTATTTATTACTCTTTAAAATTTCTGTGGATTTGTAGTGATGTCCCCATTTACCTTAAATTATTGGAATTGTTTCTTCTTTTTAAAAAATGCTATTAGTCTATTTAAGAGTTTATAAATTTTATTTGTATTTCTACAGAGACAGCTTCAGTTTCATTGATTTTTCTGTTTTGTTTGTCTAATTTTTATTTCATTGGCTTCCTCTCATTACTTTCTTACTTCTATTCCCTTCAGGTTTAGCTTGCTCTTTTTTATAGATTATTTAAATGAAAGCTCAGGTCACTCATTTTATACGATTTTTGTTTCCTAACATAAGCACTTTATAATATAGTATACATTTCCAGCTACATGCTGATTTAGCTCCTTTCCACAATTGCTTTAATATTTTCTGATATCATTATATTTCAGTTCAAAATATTTTCTAATTTTTCTTGTGATTTATTCTTTAATTCACAGTCTATATAGATGTGTGTTGTTCAGTTTGCAAATTTAGGAGATGTTTTCACATAGAATATTTGTATTCTTGGTTATAATTTAATTTAATTTTTTCAGAGAAGATACTCTGAATAATTTCAGATTTTTTGGATTTATTGATACTTCTTTTATAGCTTATAATATAATATAACACCATATAGTCTTCCCTGTGCACCTGAAAAGAATGCATATTATCATGTTGAGTGGACTATTCTAAACATTTCACTTAGGTCAAGTTGGTTTTTAACGTTATCAAAGTCATCTATACCTTTACTACTTGTTCTAATAATTACCTGCTGACTTGTTCTAATAATTACTGAGTGAGCAATGTTGAAGTCTTTTAACTATAATTATGAATTTGTCTCACTGTCTTTTCAGTTCTATCAACTTTGGTTTCAGGCATTGTTGAAGCTCTGTTATTAGGTTTGTATACAGATTGAAAATGTTATATCTTCTGGATGTACTTTCTAATTTTTCATTATAAAATTCTTCATATTATTTCATAATATTGCTTATCCTGATGTCTACATTGTATGATATTAATATAGACATTCTAGTCTGTGTCTAGTGTTTGTTTGCATGGTATTTAATTTTGTATCCTTTAACTTGTAACCACACTATGACTTTAAAGAGGGCTTTCTACAGTTGGCCTATATTTGGGTATTGCCTTTTTATCCTCTCTGACAGTCTGTCTTTTAATTGGAGTGTCAAGATTAGTAATATTTAATGTAGTTATTGGTATAGTAAGTTTAAATCTACAATCTTGCTATTCATTTTTTTAATTGTCTTCTTTTCTGCATCCGTTTTTGTCAATTATTGTTTTAGTGTTCTATTATTTCCACTACTGGCTTATTAGCTAGCCCTTGCTTTAGTTTTTAGTATTGCCCTAGGGAATATAACACACACCTTTAACTAACTTCAGCCTACCTTTAAATGATATCATCTCACTTCATGAATAATGTAAGACTCTTATATTATATACATTATATGCTTTCATTTATCCCCTTCCATCTTTTGTTACCATTCAATTTGATTCATGCCTATGTTATAAATAGCATTATTCTTGCTTCAAACATTTGTCTTTTGAAGAAATAAAAATGAGAAAAATAGTGTTTTATATATACTCACTTATATATACCATTTCTAATGTTTCTCATGCCTATGATGTAGAGCTAAGTTCTCAGCTGGCATAATTTTCCTTCTGCTGGAAGAACAGCCTTTAATATGTCTTATAGTGCAAATCTGCTGGTGATGAATTATTTCAGCATTATTTATCGGAAACATAATTTCACCCTGATTTTTGAATTTTACACTTTTCCCTGTGGAAGGGAACTTGAAGAATTTTATCAGGGGAGTTTATAAATGCCATGCTTACATTTGCATTCCAGGAATATCCTTTGGACAGTCTCATATCCTTTGGACAGTCCCGATTGTTTGGCTTGGGAAAAGTCTGAAAGCAACAGGAACAGCCAGGAGGCTGTTAAAATAATCCAGGGGAGATATAATGAGGTTTCAAATGAGTCAATGGTGGTAGGGGTGGTGATAAGAAGCCTGGTTTGGAAGATAATTGTGTCATCTGAACTTGGGTATCAAATATAAATGGAGTTGATGACTCCCTGCACTTTGGTTATGGCTCTTAAGTAAGGAGAGGCCCTGTTTACTAAGGTGAGAATTTGTAGTAGGAGGAATTGGTTTGTGAGATCAGTGGTGCTCATCTTCATGATGGTGCAGTTCCTAGGACTGGGGGACTGTCCCAGATGCCATGCCCAGCATGCAAGTTCTCCACTGAGATGAACCTCTTATCTGTTTGGGGTCCAGGTACACTTCCAACTCTTGGTACACTGCACACCAGAGAAATAGAGACTGATTTTTGTCTAAATCACTGAGCATGGACTCTGGCTTTAGACTCTAGGTACGTGATATTGAGGGTCTCCCACTTCCAGGACTCTGGCTTAGATTCTCTGTTCCTTCTGGCCTGCACTGGGCAGTTATGGATAATGTCCTTAGGCTAAAATAACTCCAGGTCAGCACCTCTGCACACAGTGCTTGGCCTGTGGCCTCTCTCGTTGCATCAGCCTCACCAGGCTCTCGTTCTCTCTGTTTCTGCTATCCCACTGGTTCCAGCAAGTCATACAGCTGAGTTCACCCCAAGTTATGACATTATTTAGACTTTTCCTTTCAACTCGGAATATGAAACAAGGATAAATCATTCAACCTCCGTCGCCCATTTAACCCCTGTGTAAACTGTCTGAGGAATATAATGATAATTACCTTTTTCAGGGACAGAGTTGAGGGGAGAGTCAATTAAGGCTTGCACTGTGCTTTGAGATCTTTCAATGAAAGGCTCAGGGTTATTACTGTTAACAAGATACCAGAGGGATATTTGCCAGCAGTGACTCCCTTTGAGCCAGCATGTCTGTCATTAGTAATTTGGGGGCTTGGCACAGAGTCATGGGAATGTTTTAATGGCTTCTGTTCAACCCCAGAAATAGATTGTGAAGTTGCAAAAAGAAATGCTTGTTTTCTCTGCTCTCCTCTATTTCTGTACACGTGGTGACTCTCAGGGGAGATCTCAGGTTCTTTTGCCAAGGGCCAAAGAAGTGAGAAACAAGGTCTTATGCTGCCTCAATAAATTCTGACAGAATACAGTGGTCAGGCCTGTTCCAGAGACTGATTTAGAGAGGGGCTATACCACCAGATAGTAACTCTGGCCTAAACTGCATTTCTGGAACTGCCTGGGGAGCTTGCTAATCCACTGAAGTTTGGGAGTGATAGGTAATATTATCAAGTTGTGAGTGATAGGTATATTAATATTATTTCCTAAATAAATATTTAGAAAATGTTAGTTAATTTAAACAGGTGATTTTATTCCTAAACCAACTCTCAGATGCTTTTCAGAGTTGTCTCTGTGAGTCAGGAAAACAATGTTTTCTGCCTAGGATGCGTGGACTTGTTTCTAGGACCTGGGGAAAGAATATATGTGTCCAACCAACTTGTGTTTGGCCCTTCATTGGCAGAGTCCATGCTTTAGCTTAATTTTCAACCAAGTAATAAACGGTTATTTTAAAAGCTCCCATCACTCCCTCTTCCTCAGTTTTTTTCCTTTGTTTTTTACTCCATTCTTTGCTTTATATTTAATCAATTCTTTTCTCTACCTATCAAAGCAAGATGACAGACTGCAAAAAGCAGCAGATATCTGGAAATGAGAAGTAGCTTTGACTCTTACTGATGGTGACCTTGGGCACGTCAGTTAACCCCTACAACATTTACTTTACCCTCTGAAAAATGTGGTGATAACCCAAGGTCCCGGCAGGATGGCTGGGAGTCAATATGGACACAGTTGTTTCAGATGTTGCAGATGCAGAGTCACATAAACGTGTGAAGCTACTGAATGTAAACAGTAGGGTATAGTGAAGACTCCGGCCAACTGGAGCATTCTTGCCCCATCCACAGGGAGCCGCTGTTATTCTGTTATAGCAAATGTTTACCAGACTTTCTTTCTTTTCTTCTTTTTTTTAAATTATACTTTAAGCTCTGGGGTACATGTGCAAAACGTGCAGGTTTGTTACAAAGGTATACACGTGCCATGGTGGTTTGCTGCACCCACCAACCCGACATCTACTTTAGGTATTTCTCCTAATGCTATCCCTCCCCTAGCCCCCTACCCCTTGACAGGCCCCAGTGTGTGATGTTCCCCTCCCTGCATCCATGTGTTCTTCTTGGTCAACTCCCACTTTAGAGTGAGAACAGGTTGTGTTTGGTTTTCTGTTCTTGTGTTAGTTTGCTGAGAATGATGGCTTTCAGAGTCATCCGTGTCCCTGTAAGGGACATGAACTCATCCTTCTTATGGCTGCATAGTATTCCATGGTGTATATGTGCCACATTTTCTTTATCCAGTCTATCATTGCTGGGCATTTGGGTTGGTTCCAAGTCTTTGCTATTGTTAACGGTGCCGCAATAAACCTACGTTTTTGCCCCATTCACAGGGAACAGCTATTACTCTATTATAGCAAATGTTTACCAGACTTTCTTTCTTTTTTCTTCTTCTTATTATACTTTAAGTTCTGGGGTACATGTGCAGAATGTGCAGGTTTGTTACATAGATGTACACGTGCTATGGTGGTTTGCTGCACGCATCAACCTGTCATCTACTTTCTTTCTTTTTTCAAAGCACATAGGGCACTTAGAAATGTACATAATGTGTCCTGATTTTTTTAAGTGTTGGAACCAATTCATTTTCTTTTGCAAAAAGATGTGGAACAATTACAACATGGTTGTAGGCTGAGTTTGACTAACAAACAACCAATGCGTTATTTGCAATTTATTTTATCCTTTATCAATTTCTGCCTTCTTCCTCTTCTTCTTTATCCTCTAATACTTTTTCTTTTTCTATCTATTTTTCCCCCTGACAACAGTGTTTTCTTTATATTATCCTAAAGTAATACTGGATTTTTTGCTTGGGATGTATTTACATAAACCACAATTTCCTCATTCTTCCAACAGGCCCACTCAAATTCCCATCTCTTTTCTTATAAATGACAATACAAAGACACCACCAAGCCCACTGAGTTTTGAAATAGTTAAGTCTATACTTCCATCCCCAAGGGAAAACTGGAAATAATATATCTTCCTAGTTTTACTTAAAAAAAAAAAAACAGAATAAAAAAATTAAAAAAGACCCAACTTGGCTGTTGACAAGATCACCAGGAATGCTAACTCATCAGTCACTTGGGGCTATCTGCGGTTGAGTTCACCAACCCTTGGCCACATAAATGGTGTTAATCCTGAGCCCAGTGAGAAACTGGCCTGAAGGAGCCATGACCATGTGGCTCCATTGCCTTTCCAGAAAAATATGCTAAAGAAGCCCCAGCCACTGATTGTGCAGTAGTAAATTGTATGTAAAAGGTATGCTCATCACCAAAAATGAGCATGATTCTTCCCAATTGCAGTGACTTGCCTTCTTTTAACTCTTTTCATGAGAGAAATGTGACTACTTTATTTAAAACAAGAAGAGACCCCTTTGGAAACAGTGTAATGATACTTTGTATGCATGCCCACATTTTCTGTTCCCTCTCCACTGACAGAAATAACTAATCATCAAGGGCACTCTTCCCATTGAGTCTAGATATAGCCACAAAATCCTTCATATACATAGCAGCCACGATCAGTCATTTGGGGTAGGCATGTGGGTTAAAACCCAGTATGCCAAAAAGTGAAAACAACTCAAATATCCATTAAATAGTAAATGGGTAAACAAAATGGGATATATCCATGTTATAGAAAACAATTTGCCAATAAAAAGAAGTGGAGTATGGATACACATAACAACATGGATGAACCTTAAAACATTATGCTACGTGAAAAAGAAACAAACACATAATACCATATATTGTATGAGTCTACATATGGAAATATCCAGAAAATGCAAATCTATAGAGACAAAAAGTAGATTGCAGCTTTCTGGGGGTAGGGGTGGGATCAGGGGCTGTTTACAAGTGGGCTCAAGGTGTGTTTTCTAGGGTGATGGAAAGGTTCTAAAATTAGATGGTGGCAATGATTGTACAATTTTATAAATTTACAAAGAGTCATTTAACTGTACACTTAAAACAAGTGAATTCAATATTATGTAAATTATACATTGAAGTCAATAAATCTGTTAACAAAACACATGGAGTAGGCTTCCCTGTTTGTCAAGACATTTGACTACCTGGAGTCAGGGAGCCATGGAGCATAAGTTACTCCAGGATCTTCCACTGACTTACTATGTAATATTAAGAAAGAACTTCGTTTCTCTGTCTGCATTTTCTTCATTTGTAAGTTGATGTGTTTGAGCTGATGCTCTTTCAGGAACTTTTAAACTCCTACAGTACCTAAGAAGAAGCAAAGCAGGAATAGTTACTGCAATATTTCACCACAAAATAAAAGCAACCCAAATATCCATCCTACCAGGCTGTCAACTTTTGGGGAGGAGCAGAGATTGGGGATTCATCCCTTGCCAATGTCTGCCTCACAGCTCTCCACAGAGAGTTAAACAGTACCATCTATTGGTATAAGGAGATTAGGAAAATGAATATTTATGAGACTTCATATACAATATCAAAAGTATTTTCTAAGAAGTGAATATCAGCATGATGTATGACAGTGTGACATTCTTGCTCTGTCCAATGTGTCTTTTACTCTTCCCAGAGAGTATGAAACATTGGGAAGAAAACATCACCCTCTATAATCTAGTCCAGTTGTATAAGTAGTTACAGTGAAAAAAAGAGTTGTGTGTTTGTGTATGTGTGTTCCCTTGCTTTGGGTATGTTGTATTGGGTGAAGATGGGCTTTGGAGTCAAACAAACCTAAATTTTCTTCCAGGCTCTGCTATTAAATCCCTGTGGGATCATCACTTAACCTCTCTAAGCCACCTGTGACATGGGGGTAATCTAATTTACCTCCTAAGGTATTTCGAAGTCCTAGGAGACCTTCTTTGTTAGACAGCTAGAGTGGTTCCAGAAACAAAGTAAGTGTTTCCTAAATGTTTGTTTCTGACCTTTCTGCTCTTTCTCTGCCCCTCCACCACGTTCAAGGTCTGTTTGGAAATGGCTGGGTCTAGATAGTAGGGACTCAAAACAAAAGTTGCCCACTTCTCTCGATAATTAGATACACAAATGCAGTCAACCAAGGGCGTGTTCCTTTGGAAGGGGACCTGGCTATGTTGAATGACTGTTCACTGGCTCTGGAAATGATCCTGTCTTACCACTCTGCCCTTCTTCACTTTTCTCTTGGGCCTTAAGGTTTTCTAATTTAGAGTTATGACTCTTTGGTAAGACACTAGGTCCATGATAATGAATATTCCTTGGCACTGAGGTCATGGCAGAGCCTCCGATGAGAATTATTTCTAAGCTAGATATCCCAGGAGCCCACCCATCCCTTTTCAAATTTTGTCAAAGCATCCAAGTTTCTGTTTCTGTTTTGGAGCAAACCCATGGCTGTGCTGTCTGTCATGTGTCCTTTTAAGACATAGCCAGGAAACTCCACAAAGCTGGGTGCCATCAGATTTTGCAGGGCCACACACACTGATGGGCAAAACCAATTTTAGCAAGATTTTGCATATGTTTGAATGTCTTATTGTGGTCATAGAGATGCAGATACATGATAAATATTCTTTAGGGGAAGGGAGAGAAAAAGATGAACATTTGTGGGGCCTATTTTATGTTTGGCATTCGAGATGTTTATTCTTCTATTCACTTATTTAAAATGAGTGAATAATTTTGACTGCATTTTTGTGTAACAAAAAATATCAGATTCGTTGTCAAAACAAATTAAAAAATGCAAAAGTGCACAGGGCAAAAAGTAAATATATTCCTACACCAGCAACCACACCGCCTTCTCCACTTACCATTCCTTCTTGAAATTTTAATTTCAAGTGGAAGTAACCACTTTTAGTAGACTAGTATGGATTCTTCTCTTGACCCTCTTTTAGGCACTTTGCCATAAATGCAAATTGTTCTGCAATCCCCTCACTCTATTTATATACCTGCTTGCCTCTCTACATGATTACAGATAGAGTTCTCTCGCTCCTTTTCATGACTATCTCACATTCGATTTCATGAAATAACTCACGTTTGTTTAGCTATGCTCCATCCATGGTCATATGGATTGTTTCTTATTGGTAGTACATGTAACCAATGTGTCTATTTGCATAAACTTGCAAGTAATTTTGTAAAATGGATTCTTCAAAAGAATTTATTGAACAAAGTGTCTAGCAGGCAGGGAACTGGATGCTCTAAGTACAGCAGGGACAAGATGTAATTGCTTCCTGCCTCCCTAGAGTTTGCAATCTAGTCTGCCATTGTATTTCAAATGTCTACTCCATTTTTCCTCCACCTCTTCCCTGCTTATTAATGTAATGATAATTAGTCCTGGTTTATAGATAAGAAGCCTTTGGCTCAAAGAAGTATATGAACACAAGCAAGTTCACCCAGACTATTAATTGCATAGTTGGGAAACATTTTCACATCTGACTCCAGAGCTTCTAAGCTGCCCATTACCTGGTCAATGACTAGTATTTGGTCAGTTGCAACCCCCAAAGATGTGTCAAACTTACCTATCTGGTATTGGACTTAAAGCATCAGAGATCCAGGTGGATTAGAAGCAAAAAGATGAGTTTCTGCTGTTTGTAAAACCATGACACAATAGCTCATGAGGAGGAGCAGAGAGACCCCTGGCCCCTATTATTCATGGAAGGGTCTGTCCTGGGGTCAGGCATACCAGGTTTTGAATTTCAGGTCAGCCACTTAGCATCTGAATAGCTTCAGCCAAGTAATTTCTTCTCCATTAGATTCAGGTTTCCTCATCTGTAAGATGAAAAATATCAACATCCACCTTCCCAGTGGTTGTGAGGTTTCAGTGAGCTCATGTGCATAAAGTATTTTGCATAGATCCTGAGATAGAGTGGGAGCTTGACAAATGTGAGCTATTGTTACTGCTTTCATTTTAATGTTTTTTTTTTTTTTATTGCACTAAATCTGATTGCCCTCTGGAGTCCCTGCTTGTTCTGCCAACTCTGAGCCAAACACCTGCCTTCTCACCACCTTTACTGTCCTCAGGAGCCCTTGGGAAATTCTGAGTATGGCCTCAGCTCCCATCAGTGGAGAATGTGAACATGATATGTCCCCAATATAGTCCAGGATGCAAGGAGGCTACTAATGAGAAATGGAAAGGTGGGCACCGTTAATGGTTTTCCGAGGAGTCATTTACACTCAGTTTGGGAACTGGGTGTGATTTCTTCTTAGAATAACTCCCTGAAGATTTGTGACCTGTTCTGATCCTGTCATCTCATTTCCAGAGTCTCTTCTGTCCTCTGCAGGCCCAGCTTTGGAACTCAGCTCTTTGGCCCAGCTCTTGCTGCTAGGTTCCACAAGCACAGATGCTACTTGTCAGGCTTGCGCCAAGTTGCCCGGCCGGGACACTCACCACTGGGCCAGGCCATCCCTTTACCAAGCTGGGCTCTCAGCCACAGCTGGAGAGGTGCCAGGGGGAAGGAGGCAGGGCCTGCGTGAAGCTGGTGGTGTGGGTAATCGCGTTTGGGAGCCTGAGATGGCCTGCAGCTACAAGGGCAAGATTAGTGACATCAGCCCTTCCCAGGCAGCAGGTTCAGACAGGAGGAGAGGGAGGCCGCCGGCGCCCGGGTCAGAGGGGGCATTGGCAGCCAGGAGGGTGGGCCCTCCCAGACCTGGGCTCCTTGGGGCCTGCCTGCTCTGGCATGGTTGTTGGGGAAACCTGTTGGGTAAGCTCTTGTGTGTTTCCCTGTAAGGCTAGGTCTTACAGTCAAAGCAGAAAAGTGGGGTGAGGGGAGGGAGCTCTTTAATGGCTCTGACATGTACTTGAGAAGCTGCCAAAGGGTGGTTTATGTTTCTTAAACAGAGATGTGTTATGATAGTGAGGCTGCTTCTGTGGTGGTGATAGCTGAGCCCTGCCCGAGGCTGGGGCTCCCTGACATGCTCCTTTGCCAAGACAGGAGGCAGCATGGTGAAGGAGTGGATTGCCAGATTTGGGGGGCAGCAGAGGTAGCCGCCCAGGTACACAGAGTATATGACCTTGGGGTAGTCAGATCATCTACCTGAACTTCAGTTTCTCATCACCAAAATAAGAATAATGGTTTGTCCCTCACAGATCTCCATAGCTGCATGTTCCTTAGCTGCATACGTACATTGCACTATTCTAGGCGTTTTGCAAATATCTCACTTACTCCTATACTGACCGCATGATGCAGGTGCTATTAGGAGTCTTGTTTTACACATAAAGCACAGAGATACCAAACGATTTGGCTGAGATCTCATAGCAAAGCAGGCAGAGCTGAGATTGGACTCTGGGCAGATGTCTCTAACCTTAACCACTGTGCTATGCTTCCCAGAACTTGCCTAGGACCCTGGTCCTCCCCCTCCAAGCACTTGAGTCATTGTGGAATAGCACATTAGTTGATGTGATTTTGGGGTGAGTGTCCATTCCCCTAACTGGATTCTGAGCCCTTCACCTTGGTTTTTGCTCATCTCTGTATCCCCAGCACCTAGCTCTGGACTTAGTAAGGACCTCCCTGCAGTACCTGTGTGAAAGGCTGCCAGGAGGATCAAGATAAAGAACTCGAAATATTTGGTGGCTCCCTGTGAAATCACCCAGCACTGCTCTGAGCTTACAATAGGTGGTAGGGAAATGCTTATAACCAGGGCAGATATGCTGTGGGGCTGGGTTTGCCTCAGTGACTTTGTTCGGGGGACACGATCAGTCATAAATGCAGTTACTCCCAAATGGCAAAATTTGGAGCAATCTATTTGACTCACCTATAAGAAGAAACTGGGCAGGGACCATGTTGTTCAGGCAGGCAAGCACTGCGGTCATGTGCCTCATAGATCAACCCTTGCGCAGTTGATCTTTCAGATAGCATCTCCTCAAAGCAACTACCACCAAACCTCAAAAGGCGGTCCAGCCCACCTTTCTGTCTCGGGGAGAAGAATTTCTCATTTTGTTCAGCAACATAACCTATCCTCATCTTTAGCTTCAGGCCTAAAGCAGAAAATCTCTGAAGTGCCAAGGGGTTAAATGCCTTCAAGAGAAAAGAAGAGAAGCTCCTTTTAGGTTGTACATTCTCTCCTCTCTCTGCAGCCTGTGTGTTTGCAGAGCCTGATGGGCTAAGAGAAGGCAAGTGCCAGTCTCAAATTGTGTGCATTGTGGATGTGCGAAGATGCACCCAGCATTCCTTCTCTAACGCTGATGAATCCCACACTTGTGGAAAATCTGATGTTTTCCCAAAATGTTTGCTAAATTATCCATAGTATTTCCACCTTCCATTATGCTCATCCTGAGTTTCCTAGCTCAAGCTCCTGAACACATTGAAACCCACCTTTGGGCATGACTAGATTTATTGTGGATTTGGCTGGTATGATGCAAAGATGCTACTAGCCTGTCAGACAGACAGACACACGGACAAGCTGAAATGAAAGCATATTTCTAATTAATCTCTATGTTGGAATGGGTAATTTGTTTAGAAAGCATCAAAAAAGAAATATCTACGAGAATGTTATTACATTTTGATGTATTCAATTCTTGTCAGCAAAGAGAACATTTTAGAAACATGCTTGAAACAACAGTGTGCAGAGGTAGCATCAGGCAGAGAACAAATGGCTTCGGTTTATTTGCCCAAAGTGGAACACAGTCAATCAGAAAGCCTCTGCAAATTTATGGGGAGCCTATTATATACCACACCCTGTTTGGGGACTAGAAAGTTCCTTCATTTAGACTCATTTGCCCCTATACTCAGTTCTGTACCTGGAATGATAATAAAGTGAAAGAAAGAACATGTCAGTGTGAGAAATAATTTTTTTTTTTCTTAGAGAATGCTCTAGTTACCTGCTTGCAAAGTTCACTGGGGCCAGGACTGGCTATTTAAGATAGAAAATTACCTTACTTTGGGAGCAAGAGAGTTCCTGGCACTTTTGGCTGAGGTCTTTATTTTTCAAGGAGGTGTCCTCATTTGCTAAAGACAATTTCTTGGCTCCAGCAAACCAATTTAACAGTCACCTGCATTCCTTGACAGGACTATTGCGCCTCAATATTGCCACACCTGGGGCGTGTGCTGGGGCCCTAGATTTGAAGCATGAATATCTTTATCCATTCAGGGTGAGGTGGTGGCAGCTTGTGCTACACTCCCTACAGGTGGCTTGGCTCTGAATCAACCCCCTTTGATTCACATGGGAAGTCTTCTTTAAAAATTACTGATAGCTGCTTCAAAGTGTATGTCCTATTGATAGGGGAATCATGAGTCTCAGAAGATCTGGGGCTAACCTGATATCGTGAGTCTGCTATTTTGTCCTTAAAAATGGTACGTAAATCTGTTTGATTGAATGTATAACTTTGTAAGACTTTTTATGCACGTCCAAAGTTGAACATATTTTGTCAGGTTATGTTGACTTAAGAAATTGTGTCATTAAAAAAGGAAAATGAGAGTCAACTGTTTTATAAATGTTAGAAATCTTGCATTGTAGAGGAATCAAACATACTCATGCTGCGTTGTTGCTCTGTCTTATCCCTCACTGGCTATAGAGTATAGATATTTATACACATGTGCGCACGCGCGCACACACACAAGGTCTCCTTGGACAGCCTTCTTTTTTTTTTTCTTGCTTGCCAAGTGGCTCTGAGTATATTCAACTCTATGGCTCTTGATCCTTTTTGACCTATTGACTCACATCTGTCTAGTCAGAGTTATTTAACGGGAGCTCTTGTGTTTTAACATTTGGGCACCCAACACTCGGGTTTCTAGTTTCCAGGAGGTGGCCTCACCCAAGACATTAGGGCATCTGTCCTTGCCTGCCCTGACCTAGTTCTTCTTTCCACCTGGGCTATCACTTTAGCCCTTAACTTTAAGCTGTAAGTTCTGCTCAACAAGTCCTCAGCTGCTCACAGGAGTCACTAGAGGTTGCTCCTCCTTCCTTCAGTCTGGTCAATGTCAAGGCCCAGTAAGGTGTGCAGTGCATGCCAATGATGATTGAAGGGAGGTGCATCCTCACTAGCAAAAGGTCTGGGCTCAGCGGTGACTCATGCCCACACCTGCCAAGGGCATTACAGAGAAAGTCTCATCTAGAGAGCCTGAATCTTCAGGCCACATTACCAAGCAGGTTCTAGGGAGGAAGTAGAAGGAGGGATGTGGCCATAAGGAAAAGTAGATGAAGGTGGGTTCAGATCCTTGAGCCCTGATCCTTGGCATATAAACATCCTTGGAGGGATGTTTATATGCCAAATGCCATTTTAGTCAGGAACCTTGGTTTTCAGGTTGATTTTAAAAGCCATCCATAGTCCCAGTTAATGGAGAGAGTGCTTGGATAGCATATGTAATAACATTATATAATATTCACAATAATAACCATTATATTGATTAACCCTAACCATTTGCCTAACAGTGTGCTGGATGCTTCACTAGATTGGCTCATTTAATTATTTCATCAACTTAATGTAAGAAACTAGTATTCCCTTTTTACAGAAGTGAAAACAAAGGTATAGATAAATCAAATAACTTGCTCTGAATTCCATAGTTAGTAAGTGGTAAAAGTGCATCTAAACTCAGGAAGCCTGACTCCAGCTCCTGCACTCAACCACAATATTCTAGTGTCCCATGATGGTATAAACTAGGGATTTGCATATCTTCTCTATACAGTGCAAGATAGTAAATATTTTAGGCTTTGAGGCCATATGGTCTCTGTGGCAACTACTCAACTCTGCTGCTGTGGCAATCAGCATTTTTTGACAATATGTACATTAATGGTGTGGCCATGTTCCAATAAAGCTTTGTTTATGAAAAACAAGCCATGGGTTGGATTCAGCCTATACACAGTAGTTTGCTGGCACTTGGCATAAACCAAAGAGGACATGGAAGTTTCAGATTTAACAAACGTTCATTGGGACACTTATGTTTCGGGTACTTCAATTAATTTATTTTATTGATTCTTTCAAAAGCTTTAAGGTAGGAAAGGAATTCCCAGTTTACAAATGAGAAAACTGAAGCTCAGTGAAGTTAACTTTCCTGGAGACTTACAGCTAGTAAATGGCAAAGGAGAATTGAACATAACTCATCACAACTCAAATTCCTTTGTCGTTTTTCTTTGTAGGCTTTCCAAGTAGACTGAAGCCCCATAAATAATCAAGTCTCCAGAAGCTATACTGCTGATTTTTTCTTTTTCGGGGAAGTGTGAACATGTCAGAACTTGGCCATGACTAGCTGCAAGGCATGCTGGGACCTCAGGGACAGGAGGCTTCTGGAAGAGGAAGAGGCACTGAGATAAATATGGAGGAAACTTGCCCAGTTGGAAAACTGGCTGTTGGTAGAGGGAGGGGTTCCAGTTGTCCAAATGGATGTAGAGAATTCCAAGAGGTTCCAGCTTAGTCTCATCCCTGTAGTGGGGCATTGTGGGAGTGGGAGTGTGAGCAGAGATATCAGGAATCTCCAAGCTGTGATAACAATGGGGTATCATCCTAATTTGGAGCAGGGTGCAGGTTGGAGGCCCCTGGAAGGAGGCAGCTGGAAGGGGCCGGCTGTCATTGGAGTGGGCTGGTTCTCAGAAATAAGTTTTAGCCTCTGGAAGCATCTGGAGTGAGAAAAAGAAATCCAAAATGGAGCACACACTCATATAACCCAGGTGGACACCTGCCTCAGCCTTTACACCTCAGATTAAGGGTGTATCTTTACAGAGGCCTTGGCTGAACACTGCAGTAGACACCCCTTGCTCTTCTTTGTTACTGGGCTGTATTTTTCTTTACCCAGATAGACTCCCACTTCCATACCTTTCCACTTGCCACTCCCTTTTCCGGGACTGCTCTTTTCCCAGATATCCTCATGCCTTGCTCCTTCACTCCTTCAAGGTTCTCTTTCAAAAGTCATTTACGTGGGAGGCATTCCTTGACCACCTCATTCAAAATGTAAAAACCCCTTTCTCCCCATGATGTTTTATTATCCCTATTTCCTGTTTTATGTTTTTTCTCCTTAGCATTTACCAGTAACCTGTAATATGTGTTACCTTTTTATCTTGTTTCTTGATTGCTGTGTAGAAGATCTATGAAGTCAGGAAAGGTCTGTAGCTTTGTTACTGTATATACAGTATTTAGAACAGTGCCTGGGACATTGTTGGCACTCAATAAATATCTGTCGAATTGATGAATTAACTTCTCACAAGTTGCAATTACATATTTAATCATGTGTTATCTTTATATCCCACTAGACTGTAAGCTCTGTGAAAATGAAGACCATGTTTGTGTTTTTATTACTACATCCTCAATGCCTATATTATCTGAGGTGCTCAAAAGAAACAAAAAACAAAACAACAACAACAACAACAAAATACAAAAAAAATCACTTGAATGAAAGAATGAGTGAGAATTAGGAAGATTCTTCTAACTGGCAGAAGAAGCACAAGAACTTGTATATCTCGTCATCCTAGCTCTTATCAAGGAATTTATTTCTCCCACTGACGTTATAATTCTTTTTTTTGTTTCTTTTCTTTTCTTTTTTTTTTTCAGACGGAGTCTCACTCTGTCACCCAGGCTGGAGTGATGGAGTGCAGTGGCATAATCTTGGCTCACTGCAACCTCCGCCTCCCGGGTTGAAGCAATTCTTTCTGCCTCAGCCTCCCTAGTAGCTGGGATTACAGGTGCCCACTACCACGCCTGGCTAATTTTTGTATTTTTTAGTAGAGATGGGTTTTTGCCATGTTGGCCAGGCTGGTCTTGAACTCCTGACCTCAGGTGATCTGCCTGCCTCAGCCTCTCAAAGTCCTGGGATTACAAGCATGAGCCACCGTGCCTGGCGTGATCTTATAATTCTTTAAAGGATATATGTTGTGTCTTATTCGTGTCTGACCTCAAGATCCTTAACAGCAATTGGCACTTAGTAGGTAATAGTTAATTATCTGCCGAATGAATAAAGGCATGCTGTAGCAGTAAAAGCAAGGCCTAGGAGTGCAAAATTCATTTGAGAGCTCACTGTCTGGTGAGGCTGAGACTGGTTTGTTTAGGATGGACATGGAGTAAAGTCTTCGTGGCAATGGAGAGTTTTTGCCAGAGTGACTTAGATGTGCTTAGCCATGAGGCAACCTTATGTTGAGGAAATATGTTGTGTCTTACTCATGTCTGACCTCAAGATCCTTAACAGCAATTGGCACTTAGTGGGTGATAGATAGTTAATTATCTGCCAAATGGATAAATCTGAGGAGATCCCCTGCGTTTGTCAAAACTCGCACAGAGGACAGGGAAGGTAGTGTTGAATCCACAGGGGCAAAACTCAGACCTGCAGCTGAAAGCAACCAGGGAAGGCTAGGTACTGATAGTGGAGCAGGGATAGAATGTACAATTAAGCCCGGTGTGGTGGTGGTTCATGCCTGTAATCCTAGCACTTTGGGAGGCCAAGGCGGGCAGATTACTTGAGGTCAGGAGTTTGAGACCAGTCTGGCCAACATGGCGAAAATCCATCTCTAACAAAAAATACAAAAACTGAGCCAGGTGTGGTGGCGGTGCATGCCTGTAGTCCCAGCTATTTGGGAGGCTGAGGTGGGAGAATTGCTTGAACTGGCAGGCAGAGGTTGCAGTGAGCCGAGATCGTGCCACTGCACTTCAGCCTGGGTGACAGAGTGAGACTCTGTCTAAAAAAAAAGAAAAGAAAAGAATGTACAATTTAGAAGATTAATTTGATGTCAAAAAGTCAAAGATCAGAAGCTAAAAAACCACTTGGGCATTACTGCACATGTTCAGAAATAAGCATTATGACCTTGATTTAATAGGAGTAAAGTAATAGAAATGGAAGAGAAGTGGGAGCATACAAGAGGCGATTAGAAGGAATAAGTTATAAGATGTAATTTTTAAGTGGATATCTGAAACAAAAGAGAAATAATATGCTTATGTTTGGAGAAAAAAAAATAGTGGGTGAGCACTGCATTCGGCCTTTTCTGTTCATTGTCTCACTTTATCTCCAAAATAACTTTGTGAACACATGCCATGGCCCCTATTTAGAGATGAGAAAACAGACTCAGAGAGGCTAAGAGACAGGCACAAAAGGCTGGAGGTGGAATTCAGGTCCAGTTACTTCTACTTTCAAAATCTAACCTATTTATACAAAGTGACTTGAGAACTGTAGGTGCTGTTTAGATCTGGGAACCAGAAATGAGCATTTAGTGGCTGTGATATTGGATGGACTATGTTAAACAAATATCTGGCTTCTTAAAAAAAAAAAAAAAAAAAGGAAAGAAACAAAAAACAAGGCAGAGTGCTGAGTCACTCACCCCAAGCAGCCTGAGGGAGGTAATTATAAACAGCTGGAACAGACATCATGGGGCTCCACTAGAATAACCAGAGGAGAAGCTGGAAGGGACTGGCTCCGGAAAGGAGAAGGAGAACTAAAGCAGGGAAGTTACTGCAGAGGACAGAGCATGACCAGACACAACCAGATAGAGCCAAACAGAGCAGAAGCCTGCTGTTATGAAAGAAAAAACAAAAAAAGAAATCCAATTCTAAAAATGCAAGAGTTCTTTCAGCTGTTATCTCTCAGTAAACAGTAAAGTAATAGACACATGGCCCTGAAACCCTGAAGCCTTGACTCTCCATCACATGAAAATAAGTTTGAGTTGAGGCAATAAAAGTGGTAGAGAGGCCAATCAGAAATCTACAGGTAGAGGGAAAAGCTGGATGATGAAGTGCCCCATTTGGACTTAGAGGTTATTTGTTCTTAGGCTTCTCTCTTGTAGGTATTGGTGGCTCGTTTTTCTTGAAAGGCTAAGTAACTAATGCCTTTTATTGATGAATGGCCACTTGCCTTTTGATATACAGCCACTGAGTTAATTTTCCCTTCCACAATTTGAGACATCTCTGAATTGTGGTATTTACTAAGCTACCCCCATTGGGGACCCTGGGATCATCTGGGCAGCTTGCGAGACCCAGGCCCAGCCAGGGCAGGTCTGACATAACCCTGGCCCTGAAGCCTCAGCTAATGATAGAATATCATCCTATTGACTCCTAAATGGGAAGTCAGGAGGGGAAGTGGATTGGGAACGTGGGGTGAGGCATGCCCATTTGCTGCACCAAGCCACCATCACTGGCACCTCCTCTACTCCATGGACTTAGCTATAGGCCCAAGGACAAGTTGGATTTCAGGCATTAGCTTCATGTGAGAAGGAGATAACGTAAGTGTCCTGCAGTCTTTTTGACTTAAGTACATAGAGGTGGGTGAACAGTTGGATGTGAAAATGTTAATTTGCAAATAAATGTTCCAAATGCGCAAGCAGGGCCCATTTGCAAATGGAAATGATATAGGGCAAGAAAAGCTGAGTACCAAGGAGCATGGAAAGAATCATCCCTTGGTTTTTGTTGAGAATGTAAAAATGTGTAAGCATGATGTTAAGCATCAGAGACAGTTTGAGTACAGACAAAGATTCGACAGACTTGGATCAGAACAGCAATTCTTCAGTTTAAAGCTGTGTGAGATCAGGTAACATTTGAAACCTTTCTGCCACTCATCTATCAATGGGGCTGAAACTATGTAAGATGAGGATGAAACTGGATTAATATAGTACCTGGTACAGAGTAAATTATCAATGACTATCGGTTTCCTTTCTCTTTCTTTTAAGGTGCAATGTGAATAAATGAAGATACCATGGAATGCAAAGCCTCTGCTTAGAGCTGGGTTGAAAAATCCCATATTTGTAACAATGTAGATCAACAAAAATTCTTACATGCCAGTCACAATAATGGCAAAACCAAAGCATAAGGACATAACTCATTCAAGGTCATGAAACTTAGGTGGAACTCAAATTCAGTTTCCCAAAAGCTGCTTTGAAGGTTGGCCCTGAATTTTTCCTTCTCTAGCTCATCTTAAGGTCTGTGTTTTTAATTAAAACCAAACTACTTCCTCTCAGTGAACATACCTCATATCTCAGCAATCATTAGGAGCACAATGGGTCCTCCTCTTGCCTTAATAAGGTCGAGAGAGAAACAACAATAGCAGCTGCTGTCCTCCCCACCTCCCTTGGCTCTGCAGCTTAGCGTCTCCCTCTCTCTGGAGAGTCCGTGAGTCAGAATCCATTCCTGGGGACCCTAGCTTAGGAAGCTGCACTCAGTTTGCCTGTGTGTGCAGAGTACCCAGCCGTCTCAGGAACTCTTTTTTTTTTTTAACTTTGAGATGGAGTCTCACTCTGTCACCCAGGCTGGAGTGCAGTGGCCTGATCTCGGCTCACTGCAACCTCCGCCTCCCAGGTTCAAGTGATTCTCGTGCCTCAGCCTCCCGAGTAGCTGGGACTACAGGCGCACACCACCACACCCAGCTAATTTTTGTATTTTTAGTAGAGACAGGGTTTCACCATGTTGGCCAGGATGATCTTGATCTCCTGAACTCATGATCCGCCCTCTTCAGCCTCCCAAAGTGCTGGGATTACAGGCATGAGCCACCATGTCCGGCCTTAGCCCTCTCAGGAACTCTTATGATGAGGCACTTGCTCTCAGGCTCAGCACTGACACTGGTTCTTGGACTGAGGCTGCCTTTGGTCCTTCAATTGCTGTCCTCCCACCATCAGGTGATCACTCTTGCCCAGGGTGTGTTAAGGGTAATGGAATGAATGAATTCATACTCATAGCCCTGGTAGTTGAGCAGATGCCTTTTGAGTTTACTCAGTGAGGAAGGTAAGGACCCTCTGCAAAGACTGGTGCAGAGGGAGGGAGCCTTTCCTCCCCACTCCACTTCATCGTTTTTTAAACACACAGAAACACAGAATAAGATCCCTGTATTACTTGGGTTCTGGTCTCCTTTCTACTACTTAGTAATTGACAAGATCAATTGTCTATCTGCAAAAGGGCACTGTTTAGTGAGCTTATCTTTTTCTATTGGAAGTTCTGACATTTGATGACCCTGGAACAGGACTCAGGGGGACACAGAACCCACTCTGGATCAAACAGACCTGGTTGAAAAACCCCAACTCCTACACTCACCAGTTCTTGGACCTTGGAAAATTTTGAGTCTCCATTTCATCAAAGATATTGCATGATGGATATAAATGCTTAACATATACTGCTGGTATACAGTACATGCTCAAAAAAAGGGCAGCTTAAACAATCTCCCACATATCATCTCAATGCATGCATATACAAAAGAATATATATGCCCTTCCCTACATTGCTAGCAAGAATAGTCTCTTAAAGCTCCGCTTCAGAGCCATTTTCTGTTGTTTCAGAACAAACACAGCATATTGTAAATTTTCTGTGTTCCCTCCGAGACAGCTCCAAACAGAAGACAGGGCTGCAGGGAGCCAAAGAGCTGGGAAAATGCACAGCATTTCTGGTTCTGGGGCCTGTTAAGCAATAGGAAAACACCCTTTGGGGATGATTGCTGACAAAAATCCCTTCCTGTTCCAAACTGGAGGCATAGAATGGAGCAGAGCAGGAGGCAAGCCAGCAGTGGTTTCATCTGGGACCAGCTTGCTCATCTGATGAGGCAAAGACCCAGCGCTGGGCTCTCGTCCCACCCCCTTGCATTGTAGGGGAGCCATCAGAATGGGAGGTCGCCATGTTGGCCAAAGGCTTGTCCCAGGGGGCTTGGAGAGTGACAAAAGTTGCACAGAGTCCTTTTTCAGGGTGGTCTCTGACAGGGACAGAGAATCCAGGAAAAGTTTTGTTGATAGAACAGTAAAACAGAAACACATTTTTGGGAATGACACTTCCAATTTGGGGTCCAACCTCCTAGACAATATTGAAGCCTTGGTATAAAGAAAATGCTCAGTCCTTCAATTTGGGGTTCAGAGTGCATGGGTTTCCTCCCTATAATTGCTCTTTTTCTTTCCTTGAACACAAAAGAAAGTTAAGCGCTGCATTCCAGGATGGACCCAGAGAGAGAATGATCCATTTATTAAGAGCAGAGGAGACGGTTTCCAGAGGATCTGTAGGAAAATGCCCTTTGCCGGCAGGCGCGTGGCGCCCAGGCTGGGCTAAGCTGATTAAAGCTCCATTCAGAATTGCAATAACCCAAAAGATAAGCTGGGGCAACTGATGGGCCTCAAGATTAGCCACTAAACGGATAGCTCTCTCTGGGATTGTGGCTGCTGTATTTTTGGAAACGGGGCACTTTCTTTCCTTTCTTTCTTTCCTTCTTTAAAAAAAATTCTATTTTCTCATGGCTCTGCGTGCGAACCTCATTAATTTCCCAAAGTCTCGGCAGAAGAACAATTGCTCTAATTCCATCTGGCAAGGTTCTAAAGGCTGAACATTTCTCGTATAATATAAAATATATGGAAAATGAAGAGACACACTTATATATGACCCCTGTAATGGATGGCCCAATATACATAATAGGCTACACCCCATATGCAAACACACACATATGTGTATATAAATATTTTTTTCCATGCCTTTCTGCCCTTATCCTGGAATTTTTAGCAATCTGGCCTGTCCCTGCTTATTAATGATGTTTCCAGAGCAGAGCTCATTGGTGCACTTTCAGCAATGGGCTGATTAATAGGTGGGCACGGGGGAGCTCTTTGGAAGCCAGGGCATTGCTGGCTTGTTGACCTTGATGCTCCAGGGGATAGTCTTGTTTCAAACTATGGAATCTCAGTTAGCATCATAAATTGTGGAGCCACTGGTTTTATTGCCCTTCTGCCTCCTGCTGGGAATGTTGTTTCTCTTTAATAATGGGCTGAGCAGCAGCAATGAGCACTTCCCTTCCTCCTCCTCCCTCCAGGACTTGCCCTGTGCATGCTTGCTTTCTTCTCCCCCACCTCCACTCTCTACCTCCCAGCCCTGATCACTAAAGCAGACACATGACACACACGCGCACACATACACTGCACACACAAGCACCAGCTACACACACTTGCATCCATGCAGCTCTCATATGCATACCCAAGCATGTACATGCACACACAGACATGCATGCACACACACACACAGACATGCATGCACATGTGCTCACAGGCTCACACACATATATGTGCAGTAAACACACCCATGTAAATATAGAGATCTGTCATCCTCCTGACTTTTAACTTTAGGACTTAGTAAGGACACCCCCCACCCCGACTTTTCTTGGGCTAAATCAGGCAGGGATTTTCAAAAGGCACTTTTCTAAACATCAAAGAAAAACAGAAAATAACCAATCTGAGAAAATATGAAGATTTCATGCGCGTCCGTGTGAAGAGACCACCAAACAGGCTTTGTGTGAGCAACATGGCTGTTTATTTCACCTGGGTGCAGGTGGGCTGAGTCCGAAAAGAGAGTCAGTGAAGGGAGATAAGGGTGGGGCTGTTTTATAGGATTTGGGTAGGTAAAGGAAAATTACAGTCAAAGGAGGTTTGTTCTCTGGCGGGCAGGAGTGGGGGTCACAAGGTGCTCAGTGGGGGTGTTTTTGAGCCAGGATGAGCCAGGAAAAGGACTTTCACAAGATAATGTCATCACTTAAGGCAAGGACCGGCCATTTACACTTCTTTTGTGGTGGAATGTCATCAGTTAAGGTGGGGCAGGGCATATTCACTTCTTTTGTGATTCTTCAGTTACTTCAGGCCATCTGGTCGTATACCTGGAAGTCACAGGGGATGCGATGGCTTGGCTTGGGCTCAGAGGCCTGACATTCCTGCCTTCTTATATTAATAAGAAAAATAAAACAAAATAGTGTTGAAGTGTTGGGGCGGCGAAAATTTTTGGGGGGTGGTATGGAGACAGAATGGGCAATGTTTCTCAGGGCTGCTTCAAGCGGGATTAGGGGCGGCGTGAGAACCTAGAGTGGGAGAGATTAAGCTGAAGGGAGGTCTTGTGGTAAGGGGTGATGTTGTGGGGATGTTAGAAGAAACATTTGTCGTATAGAATGATTGGTGATGGCCTGGATATGGTTTTATATGAATTGAACAACTAAATGGAATAACAGAAGGAGAAAAACAGGTATAAAAGGTCTAAGAATTGGGACGACTCAGGATATCTGATTAGAGAGTGCCTAAGGAGATTCAGCATAGTCCTGCCAGCAAAGATTATTTATTTACTTCAAGAGTTAAGAGTGGCAGTTTGGGGATAGCACCAGGAGATATCAGCTGTTATGGCTTGGAAAAACAGTGTAAACCGGCAGTGTAAACAAGAGCAGGGCATGTATGAGTAGTTGAGAACGGTGAATAGGAGTATGACTAGACAGAAGATAGTAGGGATGACAAGTTTTTTGGGGGCACAGTCTAAGTTGGTCTGGTGTCTGGAATGAGACTGGGGCCTAATAAAAAGGAGCGTCTATACAGGAGCTTAAGTGGGCTGTACCCTGTAGCACTCCGAGGACAGGCCTGACTTCTGAGAAGGGAAAGTGGTAAAAGTATTGTCCAGTCCTTTTTAAGTTGGTGGCTGAGCTTGGTGAGGTGTGTTTTTAAAAGACCTTTAGTCCGTTCTACTTTTCTTGAAGATGGAGGACCGTAAGGGATATAAAGGTTTCACTGAATACTAAGAACCTGAAAAACTGCTTGGCTGATTTGACTAATAAAGGCTAGTCTGTTATCAGACTGTATACAGGTGGGAAGGCTAAACTGAGGAATTATGTCTGACAGAAGGGAAGAAATGACTGCGGTGGCCTTCTCAGACCCTGTAGGAAAGGCCTTTACTTATTCAGTGAAAGTGTCTATTTAGACTAAGAGGTATTTTAGTTTCCTGACTCAGGACATGTTGAGTAAAGCTAATTTGCCAGTCCTGGGTGGGGGGCAAATCCTTGGGCTTGATGTGTAGGGAAGGGAGGGGGCCTGAATAATCCCTGAGTAGTAGTAGAATAGCAGATGGAACACTGAGAAGTTATTTCCTTGAGGACAGATTTCCACGATGGAAAGGAAATGAGAGGTCCTGAGAGGTGGGCTAGTGGCTTGTACTATAGCATAGCCTGCCTTTGCTGGTGTGTGGCGATTAGGCCTGGTGGAACTGCCATCAATAAATCAAGCGTGATCAGGGTGAGGAACAGTAAAGAAGGAAATATGGGGAAATGGTGTGAATATCAGGTGGATCAGAGAGATACAGTCATGGGGGTCAGGTGTGGTATCAGGAATAATGTGAAAGTCCGGGCCAGGAACAATGGTAATTGTGAAAGAGCCGGGGAGCAGAAAGTATATGCGTCAGATATGAGGAAGAAAATAGATTTTGGAAGTTATGAGAAATGTAGAGAGTGAGTTGAGCATAGTTTGTGATTTTTAGGGCCTCTAACAGTATTAAAGCAGCGGCAGCTGCTGCACGCAGACATGAGGGCCAGGCTAAAACAGTAAGGTCAAGTTGTTTGGACAGAAAGGCTACACGGTGCGGTCCTGGCTCTTGTGTAAGAATTCTGACCGCACTAACCATGCCTAGGAAGGAAAGGAGTTGTTCTTTTGTAAGGGATTGAGGTTTGGGAGATTAATCGGACACGATCAGCAGGGAGAGCACGTGTGTTTTTATGAGAATTATGCCGAGATAGGTAACAGATGAGGATGAAATTTGGGCTTAACTGAAGTAATGGCGGCTGTCTGTGAAGCCTTGCGGCAGTACAGCCCAGGTAATTTGCTGAGCCTAATGGGTGTCAGGGTCAGTCTAAGTGAAGGCAAAGAGAGGCTGGGATGAAGGGTGCAAAGGAATAGTAAAGAAAGCATGTTTGAGATCCAGAACAGAATAATGGGTAGTAGAAGGAGGTATTGAGGATAGGAGAGTGTATGGGTTTGGCACCACAGGGTGGATAGGCAAAACAATTTGGTTGATAAGGCGCAGATTCTGAACTAACTTGTAAGCCTTGTCTGGTTTTAGGACAGGTAAAATGGGGGAAGGGAAAGGAGAGTTTATAGGTTTTAGAAGCCCATGCTGTAGCAGGCGAGTGATAACAGGCTTTAATCCTTTTAAAGCGTGCTGTGGGATGGGATATTGGCATTGAGTGGGGTAAGGGTGATTAGGTTTTAATGAGATGGTAAGGGGTGCGTGAACCATCGCCAAGGAGGGAGTAGAGGTATCTTATACTTGTGGGTTAAGGTGGGGCAATACAAGAGGAGGACGCATAGGAGGCTTTGGATTGGGAAGAAGGGCAGCAATGAGATGCGGCTATAGTCCAGGAATAGTCAGGGAAGCAGATAATTTGGTTAAAATATCTCGGCCTAATAAGGGACCTGGGCAGGTGGGGATAACTAAAAAAGAGTGCATAAAAGAGTATTGTCTAAGTTGGCACCAGAGTTGGGGAGTTTTAACAAGTTTAGAAGCCTGGCCGTCAATACCCACAACAGTTATGGAGGCAAGGGAAACAGGCCCTTAAGAAGGTAATGTGGAGTGGGTAGCCTCCATATTGATTAAGAAGGGGATGGACTTACCCTCCACTGTGAGAGTTACCTGAAGCTCGGCGTCCGTGATGGTCTACGGGGCTTCCGAGGCAATCAGGCAGCATCAGTCTTCAGCTGCTAAGCCAAGAAGGAGTCAGTCAGAGAGCCTTGGGCCAGAGTTCCAGGGGCTCTGGGAGTGGCTGCCAGGTGAGTTGAACAGTCCGATTTCCAGTGGGGTCCCACACAGATGGGACACTGCTTAGGAGGAATCCTGGGCTGCAGGCATTCCTTGGCCTGGTGGTCAGATTTCTGGCACTTGTAGCAATTTCCTGGGGGAGGAGGTTCTGGAGGAACGCCTGGCCACTGCAGTTCAGGCGTTTGGAAGTTGTTGTGTGCTGGAGATGTGGCTGGGGTTTGTCTCACAGTGGAAGCAAGGAATTGCAACTTTTTTTTTTGTTATTGTACACCTTGAAGATGGGTTAATTAAGTCCTGTTGTGGGGTTTGAGGGCCAGATTCTAATTTTTGGAGTTTTATTTAATGTCGGGAGCAGATTGGGTAATAAAATGTATATTGAGAATAAAATGGCCTTTTGACCTTTTAGGGTCTAGGGCTGTAAAGTGTCTCAGGGTTGCTGCCGAACGAGCCATGAACTGGGCTGGGTTTTTATATTTGATAAAAAAGAGCCTAAAGGCTTCTGATTTGGGATAAAGAAAAAGGAGCATTAACCTTGACTATGCCTTTGGCTCCAGCCACCTTTTTAAGAGTAAATTGCTGGGCAGGTGGGGGAGGGCTAGTCACACAACGAAACTGTAAGCTGGACCAGGTGTGAGGAGGGGAGGCGATAAAAAGATTACAGGGTGGAGGAGCAGAGGCCAAGGAAGAATTGGGACCTAGCTTGGCCTGGCGAGGAGGGGAGAGGTCAGATGGGTCTGTAGAAAAGGAAGATTAGAAAGACTCAGCAACGCTTGGGGTTGGGACTGAGGGGACAGGAGGGAGGGAAAGAAGGAAGATTTGGGACGAGTTGCACTGGGCACAGAGACTAGGAAGGGACTGATGTGTAAAAGAATGCCTGGATGTCAGGCACCTCAGACCATTTGCCCATTTTACTACAAGAATTATTTAGATCTTGTAGGATGGAAAAATTGAAAGTGCCATTTTCCAGCTATTTGGAACTACTGTCGAGTTTGTATTGGGGTCAAGCGGCATTGCAGAAGAAAATAAGATGCTTAGATTTTAGGTCAGGTGAGAGTTGAAGAGGTTTTAAGTTCTTAAGAATATAGGCTAAGGGAGAAGAAGGAGGAATGGAAGGTGGAAACTTGCCCATAGTGAAGGAGGCAAGCCCAGAGAAAAGAGTAGAGACACGGAGAAGCGGTAGGGGTTTCTTGCCCTCCAGAAAAGCAGAGAAAGGGTTGGGGCATGGAAATAAGGAATTAGGGCACAGAGATAAGAGGTTGGGGTGCAGAAATAAGGGATTGGGGGTTCTTGCCCCCTAGAAACACGGGACTTGCCACTAAGGGTGAAGGAGAAGGGGTTGAGGGGTACTTGCCCCTCCCCCAGAAAAGCGGGACTTGCCATTAAGGGTGAAGGAGAAGGGGTTGAGGGGTACTTGTCCCTCCCCCAGAAAAGCAGAGAAGGGGTAGAGACAAGGAGAGAAGGGGTTGGGGTACTTGCCCCTTCCCCAGAAAAGCGGGACTTGCCGCTAAGGGTGAAGGACCAAGGCAAGCATCCCTGCGTGGTCTGACACCTTTGAAACGTGGGTGAATAATCAGAGAGGTGCCCCTGCAATGATTAAACACCAAGGGAAGGCTGCCTTCCCAGTCCGTGACCGACGCCAGAGTTTTGGGTCCACGGATAAAATGTGTCTCCTTTGTCTCTACCAGAAAATGAAAGGAATTGAAATTAAGAGAAGGGAGAGATTGAAGTGTGGCACCAAGATTGAAAGGAGAAAGAGGTTGAGGGATAGTGAGGGAAGCTGGAGAAGAGAGTAAAAAGAGGCCGCTTACCGGATTTGAAATTGGTGAGATGTTTCTTGGGCTGGTCGGTCTGAGGACCTGAGGTCATAGGTGGATCTTTTTCACAGAGCAAAGAGCAGGACAGGGGATTGATCTCCCAAGGGAGGTCCCCCGATCCCAGTCACGGCACCAAATTTCATGCACGTCCGTGTGAAGAGACCACCAAACAGGCTTTGTGTGAGCAACGTGGCTGTTTATTTCATCTGGGTGCAGGTGGGCTGAGTCCGAAAAGAGAGTCAGCGAAGGGAGATAAGGGTGGGGACATTTTATAGGATTTGGGTAGGTAAAGGAAAATTACAGTCAAAGGGGGTTTGTTCTCTGGCGGGCAGGAGTGGGGGTCACAAGGTGCTCAGTGGGGGTGTTTTTGAGCCAGGATGAGCCAGGAAAAGGACTTTCACAAGATAATGTCATCACTTAAGGCAAGGACCGGCCATTTACACTTCTTTTGTGGTGGAATGTCATCAGTTAAGGTGGGGCAGGGCATATTCACTTCTTTTGTGATTCTTTAGTTACTTCAGGCCATCTGGTCATATACCTGGAAGTCACAGGGGATGCGATGGCTTGGCTTGGGCTCAGAGGACTGACAGAGGATAAAAATAGTCTTGTTTTCAAAATAGAGAATTCTAGAATATTAGTAGAAATAGAAAAGGGTTGGCCTGCCTTCTAAGTACTGTTCTCAGAAGAGTAAAGATAACTCTCCTTGCTTCCTCATTTCCCCACCCCCGTGGTCTCCAGGAGCCATCCCACTCCTTGGGCCTCAGGGACAAATCTCCATACGCAAGCTTGTCCTGGAGATGAGTCCAAGGGAAGGTTCACTTACCTGTCTACTGTCAGCTCCTCCCACTTCTAGTTCATCCTACTCCCACACCTAGTGAGTTCATGTTTCAGATCTCAGTTCAGATGTCACTTTTTTAGGGAAGCTCTCTGGGGCCTCCCTGTCTATCAAACCCTTGTCTTGACAGAAGAGTACTATGTTTCCTGTCCCTTTCACAGTAACCATCACAGTTGTAAATGTGTGTTTATTTGTGGGAGCATTTGGTTAATGTCTGTCTCCATAGCTGGAATGTAAACTCCTCCAGTGCCGGGACTCCACATCTGATTGCATTCAGCCCTGCATCTCCAGTACCAATCCCATTACTAGGAATGTAGTTTACACTAAATAAATATTTGCTGATTGAATAAGCAACTCTTCTGTATTGGATTACACACATAGGAGAGGTGACTTCCCAAATCTATTCTAGTTCAAATGTCTAGTATGACAATCTGTTTCCATACTGTAGTAGGTGCTGTTGGTGCCCTGCTCAGCTGCCCTTTGCTGGGCTGGTGCATCCATGTCTCATCAGTGCTAGATGTTCTTGACTCACAGCTGGACCCTTCAGAGAATTACTTGCTATCAGGAGCTGTGCCACCCAGAATGGCCTGGGAAGCTGCATTCTCTCCAGAAGTCTGTCAGTAGCCAATGGCCAACTAACACAAGGGCAGAAAAGTTTGGCACCCTTGCCTCAAGGTGGGAACTCTGTGGTTCCACGCAGGCTCCAGAGCTGCCTGTGGAATGAGGCTGAGACTAGACTTCAGCTGCACCCTCACCTTTGCCCGGTTTCTTCCTCTGCCCTATAAGGCTTCCCTCACACACTTGCAAGTTTTATTTGGGGGCACTCCTTCAATAGCTCAATTACATATGAATCTCAGCTTAGGAAATGCTTCTAGGAGACCTAAACTAAGACACATTCAATATGCATAACCAAAAGGATACTGGTAATTTTTTTTTTTTTTTTTTTTAGATGGAGTCTCTCTCTGTCGCCCAGGCTGGAGTGCAGTGGTGCCACCTCAGCTCGCTGCAACCTCTGCCTCCTGGGTTCCAGTGATTCTTTTGCCTCAGCCTCCCAAGTAGCTGGGATTACAGGCATGCGCCACTACGCTCGGCTAATTTTTGTATTTTTAGTAGAGACGGGGTTTTGCCATGTTGGCCAGGCTGGTCTCAAACTCCTGACCTCAAGTGATCCACCTGCCCCGGCCTCCCAAAGCGCTGGGATTACAGGCAGGAGCCACCACGCCTGGTTGATACTGATAAATTGATTCTCTGGAAGAAAATGAAAACAACAATAAACAACAATTCTGATTTGTAGCATTTATCAATTATACTACACAACTATAGTAGTAGTGTAAATAACTCCTACTACAGCCATTTTCAAGCTGCCAATGTGATTGCTGCTGAACACAAAGTTGAAAAGACATGCATGCAATTGGCTCATGGGAGTCAGTAAGAGCTATGTTTAAAATATCATAACTCATGATATACATAAATTAAAAGTTGTACACATAATATTAATATTATGATTAGTACCATTTTGATGGTAACTATGTGCTAGGCATTTTGATAAATACTTTATTTTTACCTCTGTCCTAATCTCCAAGAAGCTTATACTATTCTTACCCCCATTTTATAGAGGTAGAAACTGTGGGTCATAGAGTTACATTATTTACCTAAGGTCACACTACTAGTAAATGGTGTCGCTGAGATTCAGCTCTGACTCCAGATTCTTAATGCATGACCAACTTTAGTGTCACCTACTAAAAGGCAATAACTGCTCCCTTCCTGAGTATAGAATTTTACATTTGGAATAGTGACATTTTTCTGTACAGCAATTTTCATTCCTTAGCATATTTGATTATTTCAATAGAAACTATGCAGGGCAAACATGAATATTTTAAAGATGAGGACCTTGAGACTCAGTGATTTGTTCAAAGGTTCTAAGGCTCAGAACTAGAGTTGCACACCTGGGCTTCTCACGGTCCAGGTGTCTTTCCAGCAGACCTTAGTCTTTCTTCCTCAGAACCTCAACTCTCAATGACAGCTTCATTAACCTCTGGATGTAAAATTTAGCCAATCCTTATCCAGAGAAGGCCAGCATTCAAGGTATTGAATGAAACATCATTCATCAATTCTTCAGCGGATTGGGCACCTACTGTGTGCCAACCAAGGTTACGTGTAATTTCAAGTAAGGAAGGTATGCCCAGGACTCCTAAGGAACTGGAGGTTAAACCAATTGAGTTTAGTTTAGCATATTGTCACGTACTTGCCACACCTACCAGGGAGTTTCTGAGACTTTGTTTTGGAGTCACAGATGCAAAGCGTTAATGCAGGACGTGGTACATGACTGGATAGTGATAGATCTAACGAGGCCCCTTCTCCTTCCTTGGTCCAAAACTGTTAACAGATCTTGCTGGAAAATGCCAGTGCATTTATGTTCTGATGGAATGGTGCACATAGGACATCCATGCCTGGAGGTTTTTCATTCACCCCTCAACGCCATCTTGTGGGCAATGAAAACTTTGCCAGGGTTTGGGGAAGCCTGCCCAGCCATTGTGTGATTTGACTTAAAAATCAGAATTGGATAATCTATACAGCTGTAGAAGCAAATCTACAGATCCTCTCAATGTGTAAAATTTGGATTTAGGAATTCAGAATAATGGAGTCTACTCCTGGCACCATTAATGATATTGATGTATGACAAGGTGCCTGACTTTGGTTTCAGTTCTCAGCAGAGGCTGTAGAATCAGGTAGATCTAGGCTGGACTTTTGACTTTGTAACTGTGTCCTTGGCCAAGTCACTTGACCTCTCTCCATCAAGTTTCCACATTTGAGAAGTGGAAATAAAGTCATGCTTATTTTACTTCCTTCTTGAGAAAATACAATGAGATGATTCATGATTAGTCCTTTACTCTGCATTTCAAATGCGTTCATCCACGGTAGATGTTATTGATATTATTGTGGCCATTATAATTGCTTTCAATACAGACTACTTTTTTTTGCCTTTTTGCCTCTTAGAATTGCTATCTTGATGGTTATAGACTTGAAACTCTAAATCAAATACTAAGAATTATTAACTGATGTACTTTCTTCCCTTTCTGTTGGAGAAAACCTCAGGACAAGAATCATCTCTTTCCAAGTCTGGAACAGTGGATGAATTAGGTGGTTGTTAAGTAGAACAGAGAGCAACTTACTGGGTATTTAGCACCTGTAAGTCAATAGGCGTTGAGCAGGAGGGTCTGATGATTCCCCTGAAACACACACCTATTGGGGAGTTTTTTGCATATAAAGACATAAGGAGATTATTAAGGAATAGATTAACATTTCTCTCCATTTGATAGTCTGTTGAAAGCTACCTGTCCTTTCCTCTGGGGGCCCGAAAGAACTATATAGGGTTTAACATGCTATTTTACTTATAATTTCTAGTTAAATTGAGCCGTAGACTTCATTATTAAAATCTGTAAATTCAGCTGGCATTTATCCAACACCTGCAGTGTGCCTAGCCTTGTGCAGTGGTGGAATCAGACCAAGCTCCTGCTCTCAAAACATGGGTGCCGTGCTAAAATGGCAATCCAGAACTTGACAGACTGCACACCAGAACTGATCAGGGCTACCAAGAAGGGGCCTTTTGAAGAGTTATGGGCTGAACATCAAGGGACACAGTGCTCTCACTGCTACTCCGTGGCTATGCTGAGTGGAGTTGCCATCCCGTGGCCAGCCTCAATTTCATATTGGTTGTGAGTCTGAAACATCCGGATAACTGTGAGCTCAACCTTTCTTCCCATCTCAGCTTGCTCTGGATTTATCAGAGAGGTAGGGAGATAGGATAGCTGGACTTTGCAGAAATTCTTTAATGAGCCAAGCACTCTGGCAGACATATATAATGTTACAGTGTAGTGGGCATTATTATAGTTACTCTACTGATGAAAAAAATGAGGGCTCAGAGAGTTTAAAAATTTACTCAGTTACACGGAGGATGACAGTGTGTCTGACCCCAAATTCCTAGCTTTTTTCAGTTACACAGGCTGATGGCTGGTAATACAGAAAAAAAAATCTCACTGTGGATACAGGTTGAAGAAGATTAATCAATGCCTCTGCCCTCAGATAACTCATAGTCAAGTAAAGAGGTTCTTAACCTTTTAGGGGGAAGGGCAGGGTGTGGGGATGTTGTGTAACTTTGAGACGCTCCCTCGAAAAATGCTGAAAATCTTGTGCACTACTTCAGAGGAATGTTTGTACACCCTCCCTGTCCCATCCCAATCCCCAGCAGAGACTCTGAGCTCAAAACTCCCTGGAAGCAGACAGTAATTCCAAGGTGCCCTGCCCTGTGGAGGAAATGCTGCTAAGTATTCCACTGGAAACTGCATGGACAGAAATAAGTGCTGGTTGTGGAAATCTCCCCTTCCACGCTGGCTGCTGCTGCAGAGCTTGGAAGGAAGATGTACACGACAGTAATTATACTAAAGGACTCAGGCCATTCAGTCAGACGCAGGGCTGACTTCTGAACGACCATGGAGCAGAACAGCCACTGCTAATGCTATGGATCCGTTTTGTGTAATCAGCGTGAATCTCCATGGGCTTTCTTGGGTGAGCTGGAGATGAGGTGTAATTCCCTTTGCAGAATAGATCTGTATGGAAAGTGTGCCACAGAGTGAAAACCCACGTACTGTATTGCAGTTCCTTATTTGTTTTCAACCTAAATTGGAAAGGTATTTCTTGGGGTTGGCAGTTGCTGAGATAATTTTTTTTAAATTAAGAGTTAAGTATGATCAGGACTTCTAGGGTGCTGGTATGTTCTATTTCTGGATCTGGGTGCTGAGTACACTTAAGAATGCGTATTATATTTTTTCTATATGAAGATTGTCTTTCTTTGTGTGTGTATATATGCTTTATGCATACATTTCTATATATTCTATTTAGTGGGTATATGAAAATATTTTTTGAAAAGAATGAGGCAAGTTATATAAGAACTGACCTTTTAAGTGAAAAAAAATATAGTCATCTACATAATTTAAAGTACTCAGTTACAATCAGCCAAAAGTCTGCCATATTAGTTTAAAAGTCCTGTGAAACAGGACTGAGACACCTCAACACATTGAATTGGGAGTTCTAGAAAGATCCTCCAGCTCCCTTCCAGGACATCTTTGGGTGCCTCGAATGACTGGCCCCTGCTCTTCTCTGAGGCCCTGCCTCCTCACTTGTGGCTTCTTCCAGCTGAGACCTGGCTGCTACTAGATACAAGGTAACCTGAGCAACCTCACAGGCCCACCAGGTTGTGGAAAGAGAAAGGAGTCTGCTGCCAGGTCCTTGGTGTCTTTTGCATCGAGGCATTGGTGTGCAGCCTGAAACTGCTCCCCTCCCCCATCTGCTACCTTTTTTCTGGGCTCCATTCATTCACAAGTGCTTAGGCCTCAGTTTACTGGGCAGCACTCCAGTGTCCTCTTGGAGCCTGCCTCTGCCCACCTCTGGACCATCTCTGTCCAGGAAGGGGCTGGTTTTAGCTCCTCCAACCCCCTAGTCTGATTGTCCAGATTCTAAATCCCACCTTCTGTGCATACACCCCGGACTTTAAACATGAGATATCAACTGGACACCAAACACAGTGGCTTTTGTGCCCAACAATGCTCAGCGTCACGCACTTGCTTTAATCTCCCCTAGACTCCCACTCCAGTCCTCCTTCTGCGCAGCCTCTGCAGACCCATTTCCATTGTGTTCCTTTCTTCCCTCCCTCCTGGCTCCTGCTGTTTGGCGTCTGAGTTATGACGTCCTGTGTCCCATTGCTTTGGGGAAGCTGTTGACTTCGGAAATGGGAAAATCTGACTGAAAGGCAGGAGGAAGGGAACCAGAGTCAGAGCCGAGGCCTAAGTCAGCAGCAGCGGTCTGTGAAGCTGCGAGAGACGGCATTTGTACTGGGTCACTGGATGGAGGGTGCGCAGCACCTACACAGGCCAGGCAATCCCTGGAAACTCAGCCTAATTGCTCTGTCTTTGGGGGGTAGGAGGAGAGGATGGGATGTAATGACACAAAGGGATGTGTTTATCTGCCTTTGTCTCTCCATCACTGTGAAAATGCCCCAATATCTGTTTTAATTCCCTACTCATTTTGCTATTTATTCACTTCCAAAAAGATTTAAGGAAGTTAATGTTCCATATGTCATGGGTTATGTGGATCCAAAATGCCCCTCTAAGATCCGGTATAGAGCATAATTTCTGAGAATATATTTCAGAAGACACAATTCTCCAAGGCCAGGGTCAGGGAGAGAATAGCGAGTGTGTTGCAGGATGTCAATAAATCTGCAAGACCTCAGACACATGCTTTTGCCTCTCTCAACCCATTTCCTCCTCATCTGTAAGTGGAGATAATGATCAGACCTTGCCTGATTCTCAGTGGTGAGGCCTAGTCAAGATGTGAGAGAGCTCTTTGTAAACTATAAAATGAGGAGTTATTAGGAGCCAAATGTGCACAAATTTCAGGAAATGAGATTCTGCTGGACAGCAAGAGCCTCGTGATATAGGAAGTGTCTCAAAGTCTGGCTTTTTAAATTGCTGTAAAATCAAGTATGTAACAAAACCTGTGTGACTCTCTTGGCTGCTGGGATAAATGTCTTTGCTTTCCTAGGCTGCAACCACATGACCCTGATTATTCTGCCCTTCTGTCTGTATTTTTTGTAGAATCTTGGATCTGTTATTTTTTCAACTTTTTTTCCCCCTCAGTATCATCATTGGATCCTTTTCTTTATTTGCATTTTAAAATGGTTGAGTTATCAAGAGTTCTGTTTTTAAGCTAGAATTGCGTCTCACTACACTTGTTCAATCTGGGTGATCTCATCTTCCACCATCCAACTCCTGATAACCTCCAAATCTATAATAAATCCAATTCCCCCACTCTAAATTTCAAACCTGAGTATGTTCCTGTCAACTCCTCCTCTTACCCTCATATGCCCCTAACTGACCTAATACATTTTTCCACCAAGTTTCTTTTCCCCCAGTCTTCTGTATCTGAACATATCTGTATTTCATCTGCCCAGTCCAGAAAGACTGACTATAAGTACCCTTGAGGTCAGTGGCCACACTTGTCATTTTCATTATCGAATTCCCAGTGCCTTGTACATAATAGGGGCTTAGCACAAATTTTTTTTAATGTGTAAAAATTATGTTATCTCCTCTCTCATTTCCCACTAAATATTAATAAAATAAAATTATATAAATTAGATAGATACATACATAGGTATATAGATAGAGCTTGTCTTAGAGCTTACCATTTAGCCACTTGAGTATTTGCTGGGTGTAAGATGCTGCGTCAAGCCGTTTACATGCAGTTATGTGTTGCTTAACGATGGGGAAATGTTCTGAGAAATGCGTCATTAGGTGACTGCATCATTGTGTGAACATCATGGAGTGTATTTACACAAACCTAGGTGGCAGAGCTTACTACATGCCAGGCCATATGGCATTGCCTATTGCTCCTAGCCTAAAAATCTCTGCAGCATCTTTCTGTCCTGAATAGTGTAGGCAATTGTAACACAATGGTACGTATTCATGTATCTAAGCATATATAAACATAGAAAAGGTACAGTAAAAATATCGTATAAAAGATAAAAAATGGTACACCTGTATAAAGCACTAATCATAAAAGGAGCCTACTGGACTGGAAGTTGCTCTGAGTGAGTGAGTGAGTGAGTGGTGACTGAATGTGAAAGACAAGGACATGACTGTGCAGAGTATACACTTTATAAACACCAAACACTTAGGCTACACTAAATTCATACAATCATATTTTTTTCTTCAATAATAAATTAACCTTAGCTTACTGTAACTTTTATAAACTTTTTGTAAGAACACTTAGCTTAAAACACAAACCGATTGTACAGCCGTACAAAAATACTTTATTTAGATCTTTGTATTTTTTTCTATTAACTTTAAAAAAATTTTAAACGTTTTCATTAAAAAGTAAAATACAGGCCAGGCGTGGTGGCTCATGCCTGTAATCCCAGCACTTTGGGAGGCCAAGGCAGGTGGATCACGAGGTCAGGAGTTTGAGGCCAGCCTGATCAACATGGTGAAACCCTGTCTCTCCCAAAAATATAAAAATTAGCCAGGCGTGGTGGTGCCTGCCTGTAATCCCAGCTACTCAGGAGGCTGAAGCAGGAGAATTGCTTGAGCCCAGGAGGCAGAAGTTGCAGTGAGCCGAGATGGTGCCACTGCACTCCAGCCTGGACAACAGAGCAAGACTCTGTCTCAAATTAAAAAAAAAAACAAAAAAAAACCCCAAGATACAAACACCCACATTAGCCTAGCCCTACACCGGGTTGAGATCAACAAAATTACTGTCCCCCTGTCCAGGGACAATAACAGCTTCATTATAATCTTGTGGGACCACTGTCATATATGTAGTCTGTTGTTGACTGAAACATCATTAGGTGGCCAATGACTGTATTTATATAATGTATTTTACACACACACACACACAAACACACACACCCTCATACACATACACATCTCTGTATGTATGTGTGTTTATATATGGTATATATTGTAGGGGAAGCAAAACTTTGTTGCCTCTGCTGTCTTAGGGTCTCTGGCTGGGCCTGAGAATTAATTTGGCTTAAGACAGATTAACAGGATAAAAGCATACCAATTTTAAATATAAATTTTATAAGACACAGGAGACCTCATTAGGAAATGAAGACTCAAAGACCTGGCAAAACCTAAACGCTCTTATACTAGGTTGAACAAAAAAAGGGCAATGGTGGCAAGGCTAAAGGAAGATAAGACTTATTTTAACAAGGATCTGTTTGCACAGAATTCTCTTGGTCTCAATTTCCTGTCCTCCATGATAAGAATGTTTCCTTTCTCTTGGTATAGCGGGGACAGTTCTCAAATTAGAGAACTGTTTCTTTTTTTTTTTTTTTTTTTTTTTTTTGAGACGGAGTTTCACTCTTGTTGCCCAGGCTGGAGTGCAACGGTACAATGGTGCAATCTCGGCTCATCACAACCTCTGCCTCCCAGGTTCAAGTGATTCTCCTGTTTCAGCCTCCTGAGTAGCTGAGATTACAGGCATGTGCCACCACGCCCGGCTACTTTTGTATTTTTAGTAGAGATGGGGTTTCTCCATGTTGGTCTGGCTGGTCTCGAACTCCCGGCCTCAGGTGATCCGCCCGCCTTGGCCTCTCAAAGTACTGGGATTACAGGCATGAACCACCACGTCCGGCCTTCATCTCTCTCTTTTGAGAGATGGAAGGAAGATCAGAGTGTCCTTCTTGGATCTGCGGTTTTTCAAGTTCCTTTAACTCAGAATAGTCAATATGCCAGGGCAACATATTTTGGGGTGGCATGTTCTGAATTCCTTCAGTGTGTGTGTGTGTATGTGACATATTTATATATATATATGTATGTGTATAACTTTCATTATCCTGAGATGTACAAGTTACCTATTTTACAGTTGAATAAACTAATTTTGCTCCAACTCATTCAGATAACACATGGTAAAACAGCATTTGCTTTTTAGTTCTAAGTGATATACAAATACAAATCCTTATAACAACTTTTTCATGTCAGAAACTCTTTCCTACATGGCAAGCAGGGAAACTGAGGTGGAGTGAGGTCAGATGCCTTGCTAAAGGCAACAGCTGATAAGCTGGAGAACAGGATTCCAGTCCCAAGTCTGTGCTATGCTGGTTCCCAAATGCTAAAATCTGCGTCATAACTACTGTGCTGTAACACCTTCATATCCACCCGAACACAGGGACTCCTGTGTCTCACTTCTTGAGTATCTTCTCATTTGTCCTTCTCTCCTCTATGTAGAACAGAGCGCAAACAGCACAAACCAGTGAGATGTGCTGAATAAGTGAATAAATGAGTAGAAAAAGTAAATGAATAAATGAACGTCCATGTTTGCTTCAATTCTTTTCATGGACCTACTGTCTCCGCATTTTTTTTTCTAAAAGGTATGTTTTTTTTCTGCCTCTGCTTTATGTAGTTTAGCATTGCTTTCTAAAGATCATGATCATTATTCCTTCAACTTCTTTCATCCATTATCATTTTTCCTTTAAACAGCTGATTGAAAGGGGTTTGTTTCCTTCGTACAGGTCATTTTTGTCTAGTGGTGAGGCCAAGTGTTTTATCCCATGGGAATGCATCTTCATTTTTACAATGGAAGTCAATGGGAGTTAATAAAGGGAATGGAGAAAGCAAATCTCTGCCAACTGCTTAAGTGTGCATCCTTTTCATCCCGAGAATCCCACCTGTCTTCACAGTGTACCACTCGGGGAATTCTACCAGCAGCTGGGTGGGCATTACATGTGACGGTGGCTTTGTGAACATTTGATTGAAGGTGTCATGCTCACGGGAAACATGAGGTGCTTAGAGTATTTGTCACAGACCCCAGTTAAGCAAACAGGTCACTGGTCATCTTGAAATGAAGACCCTCAATGTTTCTCAAACTCACCACAAAACATCCGTGAGGCTCGACTCACTTCCTGTGTTTTTCTGCCCAAACTAATTCACAGCCACTCTCATGCCGTAGGGCCAATGTATTGAACGGGTGTTTATGAACTTCCATGATGCCTCGTTTTTGCTAGGTAAGAAGCACCGTGGCACCACAGGTATGAGTCTATGCTAAAGCCATATTCCTGGAGTTTTAGTTCTAACACTGAGGAAACTGAAGAAGTTATTTAGCCTCTCCATGCTCCCATATCTTCATCTGTAAAAAGTGAGTAGTAATAAGGTTGTTTGGAGAATTAAATAAGATAAGGCTATTAAAGCACTGAGCTAAGTCCTGACAAAGGGTAGGTGCTCAGTGGGTATTTCTGGTGAAGGTGATGATGACGGTGATGATGCTGTGGTTGTGCAAGATGCAGAGATAACTTAAACACATCAAGACACTCACACCCAGCAGCCAGGTAGAGAGCTAGACACGTCACCACACAGTTGATTGTGAGAAAGGTATAAATAACAGGTACAGCAGTTTAGCTGGCAGAAAGCACTCTTGGCTTAGGTTATCAGGAAAGGTTTTCTACAAGTGTTAGTATCTAAGGTGGGTCCTCCAAATATGTAGGCTTTGGAGATGCAAGGATAGACTGGAGGGCCAGTGTTGATTAAACAAAATCAAACCTGGCAATAACTCCTTCCGTAAAGCTGAGATATTTTCAAGTTGTCTTTACTACATGTTCTGCCATGAAAAATTGTGATGAGAATTTTACATTTATATAGCACATTTATTTTTAGAGGCTCCAGTGATATTAATAGAAGACAAAAACCTTCAATTTTAATGTTGGTCCTTCTTAAAAAATATATGTTCTATCCCTTTTCTTCCAATGAGCTCTCTAACTCATATCAGATTTAGTGGGATGTTTGGACTAACTGTGAGATCTGAAATTATTTGAATATTAAAAATTAAAAAAAGTTTTAAGAAATATTTCAAAAGTAAAGTTTGTGGAAAAAGTCTTGGTAACAAAGGAATACCAATTATGTTCAGAAGTGCCAGGGAGTTGGATGGAGCAACAATCCAGAAAACAAATGTTGAGATGAAAGGCATGTTAAATATGCTATCAGGGTACCCATGGAATATTTTCCACTTTGGAGGCAGACAACTAAGGATCCTATAAAACGTAGGTCAAGGAGTGGTAGACAGTGTTTCTTTGAGCATTTTGCAAGACACAGCAAAATACACTTCCCAGTGCCCAATAATGGTATTATGAGCCCTGGATCGTCAGATCGTACCAGCCTGGTGCTGTGTGCTGTGACATGTTGATCATGACACATTATTGCATGTGACACCCTTTGTAAGGAAGCTTTATCAAAATCCTGCTTTACCATCAGCAAGACGAAAAATCTGCTGGCATTGGAACAAGAATCCTAGGAGTTTTAACACCACTAACTGTGCAGAAGTGCTTAGTCCTAGCAGCCTGAGATGGGGGAAACACAGTTGCTAATTTGTCTAAAGTAGCCTCTCCTCTCCAACATCCCCTACTGCTATCCATTTCTGCTGTATCTCATCACCTTGCTTTGCTTATTAATTGCCTTTTTCTTCCTGAAATTATTTAGTTGAGAGGTTGATTGTTTAATATCTCTCTTCTCCGTGTAGCTTTGGTATGCTCAACACCTAGTAGAACGTTTGATCCATAACAGACTCTTAATAAAAATTGAATGAATGACTAGATAAACAAATGAGTAAATACAACACTTATTTCCCTGGTACAGGTCTCATTAATTCTCACTGTCTACTGCAATAATATTATTTGTGATGACCTTTAACTTATTTTTTAAATTTGTAAAACTTTTTAATTGAAGTATATTCAGAAAGATACGTATATCATAAACACACTTATTCCAGCTCAATACTTTTTTACAAACTGAACACATGCATGAAACCAGTTTTCAAATTAAGAAATAGAACATTATCAGCTTCCCAGAAGCCCTCTTGTTGCCCTCTTCCAGACAAACACTGGTGCCTGTCCAAAGGTAATCATCATTTAAGAGCAACTTTCAGTCTTGCCTGTTTTTGTACCTTGTATAAGCAGATTCATTCAGCATGTGACCTTTTCAGTTTGTCTTCCTTCACTTAATACTATGTTATAAGATTTAACCATATTGTTGTTCATAATTATACCGTGCTCAGGTTATATGTAACATACAAAAATATATTTATCCACCACCTACTCTCTATTTGGGCAGTATCCAGTTTGAAGTTATTATGAATAGTGCTGCTGTGTAGTCTTGTACGTGACTTTATATACACACATGTACATGACTTTGTGTACACACATGTACACAGCGTTGTTGGGCATATGTCTGGAAATAAAATTATTAAGTCATAGGGTCTGCAGATGTTTAGCTTAATAAATATTGCTAAAAAGTTTTGCAAAGTGGTTATACCAATTGACAATTCCTGAAGTTATAATGTATGACTTTTTTTAGCTAGTCTACATCCTTGCAAACATAATTTCTATCATTTTCATTTAATTGTGGTAGTTTTTTTAGCTGCCCTTTCCTCCTATAGTCTCACATCCCTTCTACATACAATAGCCTCTCCTGCCAGTCTCCAGAGGGACTGGATAAAATCAATGCCTGGTATCAACTCTTTAACAACTCTCTAAGACTAAGCAGGGTTGCAAACTTACATCCATCAGGGGCATGTGGGAAAAGATTCAGTGCTGGGTACTGTCCTATGGCATGGTGGGTTCTGTGGCTAAATAGGTAGTACATGCCCTATATTCCATGAAAACTTTAAAAGCACAGACCTGACTAGATCAGGACCGCCTGGTGGCCACATGTTGAAAACCCTGAATGTCTGGGAAAATGTCCAAACTCCTTAACCCAGTTTTTCAAGTCTCTTCTTCTCCTTGCCTTTTTTTTTCCATCTGACTTCTTGTAGCCATTTTTTTTTCCTTTTTCTCTTTCTTTTTTTTTCTCACATACCCTATACTTTTGCCAGAGTCACCTTTATCACCTTTCCTATATAGGTCATACACGTTCACACCTTCATGCTTTTTAACATTTTGTTCTAATGATCTGGGGTACTCTTTCTCTCTTTTGCCTGCTGGGTACATTCAGATCCCTGGCTAGATGACCCAGTGGAGGATTTCTAATTCTTATAGCAAGAGTGAATCCCATCCAGCTCTATTTCCCATAAGGTTCTTTTCTTTACTCTATTATCTACTTATGACTTGGTTTTGAAATCATTTGGTTACTTGCCTGACTTCCAAGTTAGAACTTGAACACTAGGATTTAAATGATCAGGACTGACTTGAAGTCATGAATGTATTCAAGAGTCTAGGACAAGGTCTGGGACACTGTAGATGGTAGATAAATATTTGCTGCATGAATAAATGAATGAATGAATGAGTGAATGTGGTCCTGGACCTCAGATACATGACAATTATGCTAGGAAAATGTCATTCGTTATGTCAGATGGCATCAAATATCGAAAGAATATAAAATATAAAACGATGCTTGGCAGAAATGGGAAAGAGAGCATGTTAGTTAGACAGGGTTGAATTAAGAAGAGAATGTAGGAAGGAATGCTGGAATAAGAATTTCTAAACTGGGAGCACTAGTAATAATAACACTATTTCCAGGTCTTGCTACAATGCTTGGGTGTATTACGTAATTTAACTCCTATAATAATTCTTCAAGAAATAATCTCAACTTTACAGAAGGTGAAATTGAGCACAGAGAGGTTAAACAAACTTTCTCAAGGATGCAAAGTTGCAGAAACAAGATTTGAATCCAAAACGTCTGGTTTGTCTCAAAGGCTGAACCATCTTGCGTAATTGACTATACATTAACCACATTTTTCCCAATAATCCAGCAACAGGAAGGAAGAAATTACTGACCCCATTTTCTAGATAAGAAGGTCAACATTCAGAAACTGAAGGAACTGGGATTCTCCAAATCTAGCACTCTTTCCACTATTCCGGAAGATAGATGGGTGTTGAGGGGAGGGGAGAGGCAACTCCCTTAAATAAATCCCATCAGTTTCTTTGTTCACAGCACTGAGGCCAGAGCAGAAACATAAATTAAGAGTCCTGGGCTTGGGGCTGGGTCTCTCTCTTGAGTCTCACCTCCCCTGCAGGGCTCTGCAGCATTTCCCAGGGCCTGACCATGGCAGGCATTGTGCCAAGCAGCTCCAAAGGTTTAGTCTACATGATGCCTCTTGGGAATCCTTCTCTGGAGAAGACATTTCAAAACAAATCCAAGCCATCTTGTTAGAGGCT